>NC_000004.12:4813017-5119514 GCF_000001405.40 Homo sapiens
CCTGTTACAAGGTGTCTTCTTGAGAACAGCTCATGATAGAAATAGTAGAGAGTCAGTTAGTCAGTTGAGAGATGGGGGTCACAGGGAAGTAAGCAAAGAGTTCAGGACGAAAAATTAGAGGATGTAAGGCAAATGCCACAATTTTACAATTAAGAAGCCCTTGCTCTAATGTACACACCTAAAAATCAGTCACAAAGAGACAGCAGAAGGTGGTTACTCAACAGAAAAGCCTGAGGTTGAATGTACATGAAGTTTGAAGTGAACAATGAAGCAATGATCTAAACAATGCCAGGAAGACAAAAAAATGATTTTTATAAAAACTTTAATTATCTAGACATTTTAGACAAATAAAATTGCTCATTGTTATTTAAAAGCAAAAACAAGACAAAAGAATCACAACCAATAAATGACTCCTATTTGTTTAATAGCTTTGTTTATGGAGTATATGAAGCAGACCTAAATCCAGTATGCAGTGTACAGATTCCAGACTTAAATCTCCAGAGGGCAGAGGAGACACCTCAAGCATCTGGGGTCTTCTGTGCCTGGGAATTGGGGGCACCAGGCAAGTGATCATGGCAAGCAAATCATTCCCTGCAGAGAAGAGCTTTTACTACAGTCTAACAGAAAATTATCCTAAGATTTCTTTTGTTGGTCTCTCACCACTCCTAGTCAACCAAGTATTGGAAGTTCTAGCCAGGGTAGTCAGGGAAGAGAAAGAAATAAAGGGTATTCAAATAGGAAAAGAGGAAGTCAAATTGTCTCTGTTTGCAGACAACGTGATTTTATACTTAGAAAACCCCATCATCTCAGCCCAAAAACTTCTTGAACTGATAAGCAATTTCAGCAACGTCTCAGGATACAAAATCAATGTGCAAAAATCACAAGCATTCCTTTACACCAACAATAAGCACACAGAGAGCCAAATCATGAGTGAACTCCCATTCACAATCACTACAAATAGAACAGAATACCTAGGGATGGAGCTAACAAGGGATGTGAAGGACCTCTTCAAGGAGAACTACAAACCACTACTCAAAGATATAAAAGAGAACACACAAACAAATGGAAAAACATTCCATCCTCATGGATAGGAAGAATCACTACTGTGAAAATGGCCATACTGCCCAAAGTAATTTATAGATTCAATGTTATTCCCATCAAACTACCATTGACGTTCTTCACAGAATTAGAAAAAACTATTTTAAATTTCATATGGAATCAAAGAAGACCTCATACAGCCAAGACAATCCTAAGCAAAAAGGAGAAAGCTGGAGGCATCACACTACCTGACTTCAAACTATATTTGATACCAGCATAGTACTGGTATCAAAACAGACATATAGACCAATGGAGCAGAACAGAAACCTCAGAAATAACTCCACACATCTACAACCATCTGATCTTCGACAAATTTGACAAAAGCAAGCAATGGGGAAAGGATTTCCTGTTCAGTAAATGGTGCTGGGAAAAGTGGTAAGCCAGGTGCAGAAAACTGAAACTGGACCCCTTCCTTACCCCTTATACAAAAATTAACTCAAGATGAATTAAAGACTTAAATGTTAAACCCCAAACCATTAAAACCCTAGAAGAAAACCTAGGCAACACTATTCAGTATTGAATAGGCATGGGCAAAGGCTTCATGGTGAAAATGACAAAAGCAATTGCAACAAAAGCCAAAATTGACAAATGGGATTTAACTAAACTAAAAACCTTCTGCACAGCAAAGGAAACTATCATCAGAGTGAACAGGCAACCTACAGAATGGGAGAAAATTTTTGCAATCTACCCATCTGATAAAGGTCTAATATCCAGAATTTACAAGAAACTTAGAGAAATTTACAGGAAAAAAACAACCACATCAAAAGTGGGCAAAGGGTATGGACAGACACTTCTCAAAAGAAGACATTTACATGGCCAAAAAACATGAAAAAAAGCTCAACATCATTGATTATTAGAGAAATGCAAGTCAAAACCACAATGAGATACCATCTCATGCCAGTCAGAATGACGATTATTAAAAAGTCAGGAAACAATAGATGCTGGTGAGGCTGTGGAGAAATAGAAATGCTTTTACACTGTTACTGGGAATGTAAACTAGTTCAACCATTGTGGAAGACAGTGTGGCAATTCCTCAAGGACCTAGAACCAGAAATACCATTTGAACTAGCAATGTAATTACTGGGTATATACCCAAAGGAATTTAAATCATTCTACTATAAAGACACATGCACATGTATATTTATTGCAGCACTATTTACAATAGTAAAGTCATGGAACCAACTCAAATCCCCATCAATGATAGACTGGATAAAGAAAATGTTGTACATATACACCATGGAATACTATGCAGCCATAAAAAGAATGAGATCATGTCCTTTGCAGGGTCATGGATGAAGCTGGAAGCCATCATCCTCAGCAAACTAACACAGGAACAGAAAACCAAACACCACAAGTTCTCACTCATAAGTGGGAGTTGGACATTGAGAACACGTGGACACAGGGAAACAACACCTACCAGAGCCTATGGAGGGGTGGGGGTGAGGAGAAGGAACTTAGAAGATGGGTCAATAGGTGCAGCAAACCACCATGGCACACATATACCTATGTAAAAAACCTGCACGTTCTGCACATGTATCCTGTTTTTGTTTTTTAGAAGAAATAAAGGGGAAAAATATCTCTTGTTGGGCCCCTGAGTTGCAAGACTGACAGTCCCTAGAGATGAGCTGGAAGGATTTGCCTTTCCATCCGTGCTAACCCTCTGACCTCGGTTTCTTTATCTATAAAATGGGAGCAAAGTTCCCTACCTCCAGGCTTAATTGTAAAGATAAAATGTTTGAGGAGTAGATGTTTCATCTGTCTGTCCAGGGGGTACAGAGGTGGAGCACACTGATGTTGGTCCATCTTGCTTGGAAACAGAGGGTCTGACAGGTAACAGTTCTTTCAACTTGGAGACAGAGAAATATGCCTTTTATGTCCGTGTATGGAGTCTAAAAAAGGCAATTAAACCTGAGCAGTTGGGAACGTTCAGATATCTCTAAGCCAAAGAACAGCAGGGATTTGGGTAGGGTGGCTGGTATGAGTGGACAATCATTTTCAAAGCAATTCTGAATTCCTCTGGGTTCCGAAAGACCCTGCCCATGCTCAGGGACCTGACAGATCATCTAAAGTAGTCAGATACTCTCAGCTCTGCCTATGAAGAAACTGAAGCCCAAATAGGGTGAGCAGTTTTCCTGAGGCCATCTGGGCAAGCCAAAGTATATTTGTGCAATTGTGTTGCTATAAAGAAATACCTGAGACTGGGCAATTTATAAAGAAAAGAGATTTATTTGGTTCACAGTTCTGCATGCTGTAAATGAAGCATAGTGCCTCAGCATCTGCTTCTGGTGAGGGGCTCAATAAGCTTCCAACCATGGCACAAGATGAAGGGGAGCCAGTGTGTCACATGGCAAGAGAGTGAGCAAGAGAGAGATGCCAGGCTCTTTTAAACAACCATCTCTCACATGAACTAATAGAGTGAGAACTCATTACCATGGTCATATGGTTTGACTCTGTGTCCCCACCCAAATCTCATCTTGAATTGTAGTTCCCATAATTGCCATGTGTTGTGAGAGGGATCTGGTGGGAGGTAATTGAATCATAGGGTCAGTTACCCTCATGCTGCTCTCATGATAGTGATTGAGTTCTCATGAGACCTGATGGTTTTATAAGGGGTTTTCCCCCTTTTGCTTGACACTTCTTCTTGCTACTGCCATGCAAAGAAGGACATGTTTGCTTCCTCTTCTGCCATGATTGTAAGTTTCCTGAGGCCTCCCTAGCCATGCAAAACTGTGAGTCAATTAAACCTCTTTCCTTTATAAATTACCCAGTCTCAGGTATGTCTTTCTTAGCAGTATGAGAATGGACTAATACACACAGGGAAGGCATTTCATGAGAGATCCACCTCCATGACTGGAACACCTCCCACCAGGCCCTGCCTCCAACACTGGGTATTACACTTCAACATGAGATTTGGAGGGAACAAATATCCAAACCGTATCACCAAGTATCCTGGAATTGCCAGGGGCATAACCCTGCCGTGGGGTGTGGTTATAAATCAACTCTTACTTTGGATTTATCTTTGAGGCTTCCTCTGATCCCTAGTGTTGAAGTTTAAATGTCACTTCTCAAAGAAACATCACTGACCTCTCCCAAGGGAACCCTTTCTACTGTCCTCTAGTGATGCCTTGCACACTTTCTGGAGGCTCCTCCATTAAAATCTACTTTGCCCATGAAACATCAGCCTCCTCTCTCTTGGTGCTCACCTCTGGTCATGGGGACCTTCCAGAGTGTTGCTGAGCAAACGAATGCATGAATGTCATTGTTACACACCATATAACCAGAAGTAGAATTGGACCAAGTAGGTTCTTTAATGCTATGTTTAGCCCACCCTGGATGTGACACTCTTGTCTCTTGGTGTTCCTTCTCTTGAATTCCTGTGGACATGCCTGGCTCCTGCGCATCATTCTGAGAGCTGGACCTTGTCTGACTCACCAGTTTCTCCTGAAACCCCTGGCATAGTTTCCTGCATATAGTAGGTGCTCATGGAACAGTGGGTGCAAAATGGTGGGGTTTGAAGAAGACCTAGTTTTAAATCTTGACCTCTATAAGTCTCTTATAAAGACTTGACCTCCCCCACAGGTGGATCTGGATATTCCCTTATTCACACCCCACTGACCTGTGCCTCCATTTGTTTGTGTGTCTGTGTCCCATGTCTGCTTAATCATTGTGTCTCTAGGTCTCAGCACAGGCTGGACATATGAGTGGGCCTTGGGTAGTCTTTCAAAGATCTAAAGGACAGAGAGAAAAGCCCAGGAGTTGGTGTTCCATTCGATACACCCCTAGGTCAAACAGTTTCATTAAAAAGTAGTGACACCTCACCGACTCCGAAGTTTGCCAACTTAGCTCCCTGCTGGAGTCTTTTTCCTCCGCAAACCCAACAGAAGCCCCCACCCCATCAGCAATGAAGAATCAGGCCTTTACCAGCTGCGGGGGCCGCATAACAGTAAAGCAGCATAATTATATCTTAATAATTATTTTGCAGCATAGGATTTATAATTACTAAATGTGTGATAACTGCTCCTTAAATGCCCATGCTCTTTAAAAAACCTAATTTATAATTTAAAAAGCTGACACTTCTTGGAGCGCTTTATTTTATCTTGTCGGGAGTAATGGAAGAGTAAGTTATTGAAAACCTTTATTTTTCATTAGCCTTAAATTCAATGACAATTAATGTGCCCAATTTGATTATAAACTGCACAAATTAAACAATAAAGAGCTGTCTAATGAGAAATTAATTATGAGGAAGGGAAGGGGAGCGGGGCGGGATAAAAGCAATCACTTATGGCCCGTGGCAGCATGTGTCAGGTTTTAAAGGAGATGAAGGGCCCTCTCCTCAATGTGTGTCTTTGCTGATAGGACCCATCACAGATCAGTTGATCCAGAAACCATAACAGCCTAGTAATTGAAACTGCCAAAATCAATAGTGCTGACAGCCTTAATTAAATTAAATATGGCTGTGATGGGCTCCCAGAGCCCGGCGTCTGCGGGCCACTTGACCCTCCGGCTGAGCGTGCCTGATGGAGTGCAGCCACCGCGTGATGGATCTCACCCCAGGGGACAGTTGGGGACCAGGCTCCTGCAGACAGAGGCTCCAAAAGGAGTGAGGCGCTGCCCGCCCCCTGCTGCCTGGCCAGCCCGGTGGCTGAGGAAGACTCGGACATGGAGCCAGGATGCCTTTCCCCTCAAAGTGTTGGCTCTGTTTTGTCGGGAGTCAGGAAGTCTGTGTCCTGTGGCACCTAATTTAGGAGTGCAGAGGAGCCCCATGCATTAGAGAAGGGGGAGCATGAAAGGAAAAGACAACGCACCAGTGAATCACTCCTTGACAAATGTGACTGTTTACCACACCCTTGGATGAGAGGCATTCGTTTTTCACGACAGCCCTGGCAGGAGAAACTAGTCAGATAGGCCAGCCTCATTTTCCTCTTCTGTAGAATGGGTACATGTGCTGAGAGAGTTGCAGGAGTTGGATACATAAAATGCACAGCCTGGGATGCAGAGCCCTGCATGGGGTAAACAGCTGATGAATGGATAAAGGAGCGAATGAACATGTCGCTGCCATTGCCACTGCCATAGACTGTCATCCCATTTTGCAACAAACAAGCAGGGGCCCAGAGAGGGAATGTGAGTCCTTCAGACTACACACTCAGGACCTCTGACCCAGACCCTGGGTCCTTTCCTCATCAACATGGTGCCGCCCAAGCACGAAGCATGTTTAGTTTTGGCAGATACTTTTTCCCCATACAGATCCTGCCCTGCGAGAAAAGGTATGGGGATTTTCAACTCCATTTAACAGATGAGCAAACTAAGCAGCTAGGCAACTTGACCAAGGTCACTCTCTTGGTGAGTGCCAGAGCCAGGGCTACAACCCAGCAACCCGTTAGAATGACGCCCAAAACTGAAGCCAAGGACTGACAGAGGGACCCAGACCCTTGGCTGGGAGGCCCAGGGAACAACTTGGCACTATAGAGCTGCTAGAATCTGGGACCTAATCTCTCCCCAAGAAGCCTGATTTTTTAAAAAGGTCTATTTGCTAAGAAGACAAAGTACAAACCCATTAGCAGCTCTTGAAGTTTTGTTTTTGTGGTTGTTCCTGTCATTCTTTTTTCTCGCTGCCAAAAAATCATCAGGTTAATTTTTTTAAAACACATGGAAAGATCTAGGACACACCCGTCCCCTCCTGCCATTCCTGTGAATTTGGGGATTAATACATGGGGTTGCTTAGATACCTTGGAGCAAGTAACCCCAGCACAAGGTAGTGGAAAGAACTCTGGAGTTTTCACAGAAAGCCTTCGTTGGATTCAAATCCTGACTCCATTGTTTATTAGCTGTGTGACCCTGGGTGTGTCACTCAACCTCTCTGCTTTCTTTCCCTACATCTGCCCATGGGTACAAGACCTCCCTTCCTCTCGGAACTGATGTGTTATTGAAGCAGTGATGCCCAAGAAAGGGCTTTGCAAATGAGAGAATGTGATGTAAATGGCATCTCCTCTGTTCATGATCAGGCACTGTTATTCCACTTGCTTTAGCCACAGGTTGAGTGAAGGAAAGAAAATTGCACATGATCATGTTCTGAGATATTGTTCTTTCCTTACAAAAAAAAGAAATCAATGACTACAAAAAAACTGGCCTCATAAACATTGGTTTTCACCATAGGAAGCTCAACAAATAAATATCTTCACAGTTTGCTCGGCTGTCGGCAGGCTTGAGCTGACTTCTTAAATGACATGAAATAGGCGGCTCGAGTTCCCCAATGTTTATGTCAGCACTAACAAACTGTCCCTTCATTACAGGCCTGCCGGAGATCAGAGGCCCAGATTATTGAAGGAGACGCCTATGAGATGCCCAAGCGGTTGCTGTGACAACTCTGCTGGAGGGCGGGAGGCGGCGAGGGCGGGCAGCTGACTGTTGGCTGTGGACAGGCTCCAGGCGTGCCAGGCCAGAGTGGGGATAATTCCACCCCAGGTTGCTTAGCTGAGGGTTCTCTGCGCATTAAGCACCTTAACTCGCTGTCCTGCTGCACCCCAGCCACAGAGGCCTTGGTGAAGGTGAAATCTTAGAGAATAGCTGGGAAGCCAAAAGGCCAAGCAGTTTGATGACTATTTCCTTAAAGCTGATGAAAAAGCAACGTGGATAATATTTCCTAACAATAATGGCCAGCAGTTAGTGTTCACTGCCAGGCCCCTGCCCAGTACCAAGAGCTCAGGTTTTACATCAGCATGACGTGACCTATGTGGAATCCCTGGCTAGCTCTGTGACCTTGAGCAAAGTCACTCAACCTCTCTGAATCTCAGGCACTAGTGTTGACCATGGACACAATAACACCTTCCACCTCGTAGGTTTGCTATGCAGCCCTGGGGCACTCCTGTGCAAAGCCCCATGCAGAGCTCAAGCATGGGGTCTCTGGGACCACACTATCAGGGTTCAAACTCCAGCTCTGTCACTCTCTGGCTATATGACCTTGGGCCAGTCACCTAATCTCTTGAGCCTGGTTTTCTCATCTGCAAAATAGAGATACCAGCACCTGATACGATTTGGCTCTGTGTCCCTACCCCAATCTCATGTGGAATTGTAATCCTCAATGTTGGAGGAAGGGCCCGGTGGGAGGTGACTGAATCATAGGGGCAGACTTCCCCCTTGCTGTTCTTGTCATAATAAGTGAGTTCTCATGAGATCTGCCTGTTTAAGTGTGTAGCACTTCCCACTTTTCTCTCTCTCTCCTGCTCCACCATGTGAAGATGCACCTGTGTCCTCTTCACCTTCCATCATGATTGTAAGTTTCCTGAGGCTTCCCCAGCCATGCTTCCTGCACAGCATGTAGAGTTGTGAGTCAATTAAACCTCTTTTCTTCATAAATTACCCAGACTCAGGTAGTTCCTTATAGCAATATGAGAATGGACTGATACAGAAAATTGGTGCTGGGATTGTATAAAGATACCTGAAAATGTGGAAACAGCTTTGAAACTGGGTAATGGGCAGAGGTTGGAACAGTGTGGAGGGCTCAGAAGAAGAAGGAAGGTGAGGGAAAGTTTGGAACTTCCTAGAGACTTGTTGAATTGTTGTGACAAGAATGCTGACAGTAATATGGAGAGTGAAGTCCAGGCTGAGATGGTCTCAGATAGAGATGAGGAACTGGAGCAAAGGTCACTTTTGTTATGTGTTAGCAAAGAGGAAGGCATTGTGCCCCTGCCCTAGAGATCTGTGGAACTTTGAACTTCAGAGAGATGACTTGGGGAATATGGCAGAAAAAATTTCTAAGCAGCAAAGTGTTCAAGATATGGCCTGGTTGCTTCTAACAGTGTATGATCATATGTGTGAGCAAAGAGATCATCTGAAACTGGAAACTATATTTAAAAGGAACACAGAGCATAAAAGTTTAGAAAATTTGCAGCCTGACCATGTGGTAGAAAAGAAAAACCCATTTTCTGGGGGGTTTTCAAGTTGGCTACAGAAATTTTCATAACTAAAGAGGAGCTGAATGTTACTAGCCAAGACAATGGGGAAAATGCCTCAAAGGCATTTCAGAGACCTTCATGGCAGCCTCTGCCATCACAGGACTGGAGGCCTAGGAGGGAAGAATGGTTTTTGTGGGCCCAGTCCACAAAAACCTGTGCAACCTCCTCAGGACACTGCTTCCTGTGTCCAGCCACTCCAGCTCCAGCTGCGGCTAAAAGGACCCCAGTTATATCTCAGGTGGCTGCTCCAGGGGGTGCAAACTGTAAGAAGCCCTGGTGTTAAGCCTGCAGGTACACAGAGGGCAAGAGTTGAGGCTTGAGAGCCTCCACCTAGATTTCAGAGAATGAAAACACCCCGACGTCCAGGCAGACGTCTGCTTCAGGGCAGAGCCCTCGTGGAGAACCTGTACTAGGGCAGTGCAGCGGGAGAAATGCAGGGTTGGAGCCCCCACACAAAGTCCCCACTGGGGCACTGCCTAGTGCAGCTGTGAGAAGAGGGCCACTGTCCTCCAGACCCCAGAATGATAGGTCCACTGACAGCTTGCACCGTGTGCCTGGAAAAGCCACAGGCACTCAACACCAGCCCATGAAAGCAGCCTTGGGGGCTGTACCCTGTGGAGCCACAGGGGTGGAGGTCCCCTAGGCCCTGGGAGCCCACCTCTTGCATCAGTGTGGCCTGGATGTGAAAGAATTGAGTCAAAAAATATTATTTTGGAGGTTTAATATTTAATTACTGCCCTGCTGGGAAGTATTTAACATATATTTTTTATTTACTATTTATTTAATATTCAACTACTCCCCTGTATGGGGCCTAAAATCTCTTTGTTTTGGCGGATTTCTCCCTTTTGGAATGAGTGGATTTACCCAATGCCTGTACCCCATTATACAAATATCTTGGAGGTAACTAACTTGTTTTTGACTTTACAGACTTATAGGCAGAAGAGACTTGCTTTGTCCCAGATGAGACTTGGGACTTGGACTTTTGAGTTAATGCTGGAATGAGTTAAGACTTTGGGGGACTGTTGGGAAGGCATGATTGTGTTTTGAAATGGAGAAGAACGTTAGATTTGGGAGGGGCAAGGATCAGAATGATATAGTTTGGCTTTGTGTCCTCACCCAAATCTCATGTCGAATTATAATCCTCAGCATTGGAGGAGGGGCCTGGTGGAGGTGATTGGGTCATGGAGGTAGACTTCCCCCTTGCTGTTCTTGTGATCATGGGTTTTTGTGACATCTCGTTGTTTAAAAGTGTAGAGCACCTGCCCCTTTGCTCTGTCTCTCCTGCTCCACCATGGGAAGATGTGCCTGCTTCCCCTTTGCCTTCTTCCATAATTTTAAGTTCCTGAGGTCTCCTCAGCCATGCTTCATGTACAACCTTCAGAACTATGAGTCAATTAGACCTCTTTTCTTTATAAATTACCCAGTCTCAGGTAGTTCTTTATAGCAATGCGAGAATGGACTAATACGGAAAATACACTCAACTCAAATGAATATGTAAAGTACTGGTGTAGTTAATAAATATTTACTATGATTTGATATTCTCAGAACTATTAGACAAGGAGGGTTCTGATGCTCACAATCTATGCATGAAGACTCTGAGGCTCCAGGAGGTTGGGTGCCCCCTCCAGGGCCCACACCTCCTGACTGAAATCTCATCACTGGAATTTACATCCCAGCCAGCCTGAGACCAAAACCTGTGTGCTTTCCACTGTGAGCCACAGTGACTGCGATGGGGAGTAATACATCACACACATGTGTACATGCACATACACACTCTGCCATATATCATGAATTGCTGGTGAAATTATGAGTCCACTGGGCACAAATTACAACAGGGATAGATAAAACACCTTCTTCAAAACAGAGCCTTCCACTGGAGAACTGAGCTGGCTGACCCTGTCAGAGCTGGTTCCAGGCTGCTCTGGCCCTGTGGCTTTTCCAGATTTGCAGGATGATAGGGGAAGATGTAGTTCACTCCCCTAGTCCAGTGCTGTGTGAATTGCAGTAAGGGAATGCAGAGGGGCAGGTTAACTCAATCAGGTGGAGGGCTATTAACTGAGGTGGGCTTACTGAGGTCATCTGAAAATATCTCGACTCATTCACTCATTCATTCATTCATTCTCACATTGTTACTGGGTTCCTGCTCCTTGTAGTGTTGCACCAGGACTGGGGAGACAGGCATGTAAAACATGGTTCCTTCCCTCCAGATCAAAACCACAATGAAATATCAAGTCACACCCATTAGGATGGCCACTATCAAGACAACAGAAAATAACTGATGGGGTTGGTGAGGATGTGGATAAATTGGAGCCCTTATGTACCTTGTGCACTGCTGCTAGGAATGTAAAATGGTGCAGTCACCGTGGAAAACAGTGTGGCAGTTCCTCAAAAAGTTAAACATTAAAAAAAGTCAAACAGAAATCCAGAAATCCCACGTCTGGATATACCCAAAGAATTTAAAGCAGGGATTCAAATAGATATCTATACACTCGTGTTCATAGTAACATTATTCACAATAGCCAAAGGGTGAAAACAACCTAAGTGATCACTGACAGATGAATAAATACAATATAGTACACACACACACACACGTGAATATTATGCAGCCCTAGAAAGGAAATTCTGACACACATTACAACATGGGTGAGCCTTGAGGACATTATGTTAAGTGAAATAAACCAGACACAAAAGCACAAATTTGTGTAATTCCACTTATATGAGGTCCCTAGAGTACTCAAATTCATAGACAGAGAATGTGTAAGGGCAGTTGCCAGGTGCTGGGGTGCAGGCAGAGAAGAGGAGTTATTGTTTAATGGGGACAGTTTCAGTTGGCAAAGATGAGAAAGTCCTAGAGATGGATGGTAATGACTGTTGTACAATAATATGAATGTACTTAGTGCCACTGAATCATACACATAACAATGGTTAAAATGGTAAATTTTATGTATGTATATTTCACCACAATAAAAAATGTCTGGACAGGAAATAAAATATACAGTGAATAGAAGGGCCAATTCTAAATATCAGGGACAGGACAGAGATCAACTAAGCAACCCATTGGAATTTATTTCATGCCTCTTATGTGGGAAAGCAAGCAGGCTAGCTGGGACCATGAGTGAGGTGATGTATTAGTCTGTTCTCACACTGCTAATAAAGACATATCCAAGACAGGGTAATTTATAAAGGAAGGAGGTTTAATTGACTCACAGTTCCACATGGCTAGGAAGGTCTCACAATCATGGCAGAAGGTGAATGAGGAGCAAAGTCACATCTTACATGGTGGCAGGCAAGAGACAGTGTGTGCAGGGGAACTCCCCTTTATAAAACCATCAGATCCTATGAGATTTATTCATTATCATGAGAACGGCACAGGAAACACCTGCCCCCATGATTCAATCACCTCCCACTAGGTCCCTCCCACAACACGTGGGAATTACGGGAGCTACAATTCAAGATGAGATTTGGGTGGGGACACAGCCAAACCATATCAAGTGGGATACTACCTAGGAATAGGAAAGGAGCTCCATGCCCGCACTGCTTGGGACTTGATGAAATGCGGTTGCTGATTCAGTAAGGGGCCCTGGGTCTCTGCATGTCAGCCGGTTCCAGGTGATGCTGCAATGCTGCTGCAGCATGGGGCACACTGGGCATGGCCAGTGCAACTCACTCAGAGGGGCCATGTGAGGGAGGCAGCAGGACAGCAGCTTGGTGTGAGACGCCCAACATTTGAATCCCTGCCTTGTTGTTTGTGCTGTTAGTTAGAGTTCTGCAGAGAAGCAGAACCAATGGGAGATGATGTCTCTCTGTCTGTCTTGTCTGTCTCT
This sequence comes from Homo sapiens, assembly GCF_000001405.40. Classification (NCBI taxonomy): domain Eukaryota; kingdom Metazoa; phylum Chordata; class Mammalia; order Primates; family Hominidae; genus Homo; species Homo sapiens. The sequence continues at coordinate 4,825,892 of NC_000004.12, forward strand.
CTCTCTCTTCTCTCTCTCTTTCTGTCTCTATCCATCCACTCATCTACTCACCCACCTATCCATTTGTCCACCAACCCACCCATCTATCAATCCACTCACTCACCCTTCATCTATGTATGTATGTATGTATTTATCTATCTACCAATTCATCTATTTATCCATCCATCCATCCATCTTTACCTGTCTTTGTATCTATCTATTCATCCATCATACCTATATTTATCACTCTCTCATCTTTTAATCTACCCATCCGTCTATCCAACCATATCTATATTTATATGCCTCTCTCATCTATCTATCTATCTATCCATCTATCCATCTATCCATCTATCTACTTATCAAAACATTTATCTGCAAGCTGGAAAGACGAGAGTTTTTTTTTTTTTTTTTGAGACGGAGTCTCGCTCTATCGCCCAGGCTGGAGTGCAGTAGCGCTATCTCGGCTCACTGCAAACTCTGCCTCCTAGGTTCATGCCATTCTCCTGCCTCAGCCTCCTGAGTAGCTGGGACTACAGGCGCCCACCACTGCGCCTGGATAATTTTTTGTGTTTTTAGTAGAGAAGAGGTTTCACCATGTTAGCCAGGATGGTCTCGATCTCCTGACCTCGTAATCTGCCTGCCTCGGCCTCCCAAAGTGCTGTGATTACAGGCGTGAGCCACCACGCCTGGGCAAGACAGAGAGATTTTAAGGAATTGGCTCATGCAATGGTAGGAGCTGGTAAATCTGAAATCTTTAAGACAAGCTGGCAAGCTGAAAACTGAGGAAAGAGTTGATGTCATATGGTCTTCAGTAAAAATCTGCAGGCTGGAAATTCAGGCAGGCTTTCTAGGTTGCAGTCTTGAGGAGAGTTCTTTCCTTGGGAAACCACAGTCTCGAGTCTCAAGGCCTTCAACTGATTGGATGAGGCTCACCCCCGTTATGGGAGGTCCTCTGCTTTGCTCAAAGTCTGCTAATTATCAAGGTCATTCTCATCTACAAAATACCTTCATAGCAACATCTGGACCAGTGTCTGTCCAAATAAGTGGGCACCGTAGCCTAGAAAAGTTGACTCCTAAAATTAACCATTGCCTGGCTTACTGGCTGTATGAGCTTGGCCAGCCACTGAGCTTCTCTGGGCCTCAGCACCTGCCTCTATAAAATGGGGATAACCAAGCCAATGGCATGCAAGGGTTAGCAGGTTTCAAACCAAAAGTGAATTTGCAGTGCTGAGCACAGTACTTGGCACACAGGAGGTAAGAAAGACACATTCAGGCTCCCAGCCAGGTGTTATGAAGGGCCATGTGTCACAAGTGGTCACATGTCCCCTGTGCTCAAGGACCCTAAGACAATCTGTGAGAATCAGGCCCAGGCTGACAAAGGCAGGGGGTCTTCCCTGGAGCAAGGGCAGAGGGCCTCATCATCTTTCAGAGACAGATCCTCCGCAGGAAGAAAAAAAAAAAAACAATCCCAGACATCAGAAAAAGGAGCTGCCTCTGGCCTGACCACATTTCTTCACCTTAATTGCTGCTGAGGAATAAATCTGTAGGGTGTCAGAGGGCAGCAGACACATCAGGGAGGATGAGGCCAACGTCTTCGAATTCAGCCAGCCCTTCAGAGATCAAAATCTAATGCCCTCTCTGCATTGCTCTGCAAGGGAATCTGCCTGTGTTTCCTGAGAAAGCCGTGTTTGTTTATAGATTTGCAATCGAGGTCCAAGGCTCTTTGCCTGGCCTGACAGGTCCCCCATAACCTAGCCCCTGCCTACCCCTCCAGCCCATCTCCAACCAGCACCTCTCCTTGTCTTAGAAGGAAGTCTCAGTCACACTGAGCCATTCCACTTATACTGGGTTCCGTAGTGTCTCTCCAAACTTCATGTCTTCCCGGAACCTGTGAATGTGACCTTATTTGGAAATAGGGCCTTTGTAGATGTGATTAAGATGAGGTCACACTGGATTGGAGTGGACCATAATTCCATGTAACTGGTGTTCTCATAAGAAGAGAAGAGATGCAGCCATGGGAAGAGGGCCATGTGACGATGCGGGCAGAGACTGGAGGGACACATCTGTAAGCACCACCTGTGTTGTTGCCAACCACCAGAAGCTGGAAGAGACAAGGAAGACTCCTCCCCTAGAGCCTTCCTAGGGAGCACAGCCCTGCTGACACCTTGATTTGAGGCATCTGGCCTCTCAAACTATGAAGGGGAACATTTCTGTTGTCCCAAGTCACCCAGTGTGTGGTTATTAACTACAGCAGCCACAGGAAATGTGTACACCATTCATCATGGGCCAGCAGAGCTCCCCGCCCTGCCTGCTGCAGCCTGGCTAGCCCCTTCCAATCCTCAGGAGAGACATCACCCTCCGGGAAGACCCCTGTGGGCCTCCAGCCCCAAGCACTTCTCTTTGTCTCAATGCTGATGACAACCCTGTCATTGCCTGTACCCCTCTGCCTCCCCGCCGGATTATAAGGGTCTCCAGAATGAAGTTCCCACTGCACTCATCCTGGGTGCTCAGCACTGCCTGGCACGTAGTAGTGGTCACCTAAATGTTTGTTCTCCCCCACCATGACCTAGAGTCTAGAGGGCAGACCTCTGCACAGCACCTTTCTAGGGCCTGGGCTCAGTTTTGAGGCCATGACAAAAATGTTTATTTCTGGCATCGGTGGCCTGGAGGTGTAAACACATACCTGGTTGAGACACAGCCATTCCTATCTTGGACTTCAAAATAAACTCATCTCCGTAATTGACAGTCCCTGCACATTATAGGCCCTTATTAAGCCTGGCAAGACCTCTTAAGGGCAGGGAAGGTCACCCCAGGGCATGAAGAGGAGGCTCCCCACTTCCTAGGCAGAGTCCCATCCCCTAAGAAGGAATTCAGCTCCCCCTGCTTCTCCCTCTCCTCCTCCTCCTCTGCCTTCTCTCTTTTCCCTCTCCTCTATCCTCCTCCCCTTCCCTCCTCATTCTCTTTCTCTCCTTATTCTTCTCCTTCTCCCTTTCCTTCTTTCTTCTCTTCTCCTCTTTCTTCTTTTCCTCCTCTACTTACTCCTCCTTTCCTCCTCTCCCCCTCCTCTCTCCTCTCCTTCCTTTTCTCCCTCCTCCAGCCTCTCCTGGCTTACAGGGGACCACCATTATCTATTTACTCCCCGGGAGCTGTGCAGGCATCCCCTGCACAACCAAATCAGCCCATTGCACAGCCCTGTCAATCCTTCTGTCCCAACCTCTTTCGGAGCTTCCTCCCCTCTCCATCCCCACAGCCCTCCCTGTATCACGAAACAGGTTCTCACCTGCTCCTGCTGCTTTCTCACTCCTGATCCAGCCTCTTCATTGAGCCACAGGTGTCTCTGTCTAAGAAAACCTCATACCTCCCCACTACATGATCCCTTCAATGGCTCCCCACTGCCTTTGGGTTAAAGATCTGAGTGTTCACCCTCACCTACAAGCACTTTGGGAAGTGGTTCCTGCCCCTATCTACACTCATCCCTCAAATCCCCAGCCATCTCCAGGTGCCACCCTCATGTCCTCCTTCCTCTCCATCCAGAATTAGTTATGCTGCACAAAGTGCAGGTCTAAACCCCAGGCCTTTAACAGTGCTGTTCCCTCTTCCCTGCATTTTCCCTGTTGATTAAACCCCTGCTTAGCTTTCCAGACCTGGATCAGATGTCTGCCCTTTCCTGAGTCCCTCTTACCCCAGAATTATGCATCCATCCTTGGCATTCCCAGCTCCCTTCGTGGAAGGAGGATGAGGGGTGCAGATCTTGTGGGCCAGCCCCTACAGCTCATTCTACCTTCCAGTCGGACTGCATCTTCCTGGTGTGACAGGGAGAACTTGTGGTGTGCTGACAATGAGGAGTGGCTGACTCCAAGACCCCTGGCCTGTCCTGGCTCATCAAGGCCTTTCCTCATCCTCAAGGGGAATGGGAAAATAGCTGGTTTATCCTTGCATCATCAGAAATTAGGCTAAGCCTGGAACAAAGTGTGTGAGTAAATATTAATTGGATAACTGAGAAAAATAATCAGGAAGATAAAGAACAGACAAAAGATGAAAGAGAGTCAGCAGGGAGGATGGAGAAAAGAAAATTGAGGATGAAGCTATACTCAAAGCTCAAAGCATGCTCCTAAAGGACCCATGAAGATACCCATTTTAGAGATGTGGAAACTGAGGCCCAGAGAAGTCCCGGTAAATTGCCCCAAAATAGCACATCTGTTTGAATCTGAAACCCAAACCCATGTCTGTCTAATTCTTTCAGTTATTCGAGGTCATTGTCATGAACCTCTGCCAAGCCAGGTGCCTCTTCTCTCATTCCTGTGCAATTGAGTTTTCCAATGCTGCTTCTAATTTGCAAATACAGTTTTTATTCCTCATTATAAAAGTTGTATGTGCTCATTTTAGAGAACCAGGAAACTAGAGAAAAGTATTTAAAGCAGCAAATATAATTTCTATTATTCCCATCACTCTAGGACAATCCCTGTTAAAATTTTAATAGTTTCTAGCCTTTTCTATGTGTTTATATTTGCTATATACATGTTTAGATTAGATTTCTAATGCCATTTAAAATTATGCTTTTTTCACTTAAGACCACATCCTCAGCATTTCTCTACATCACTAGAAACTCTAACGCTTTTTAACTTTTTTATTGAGGACTTACTAAGTGTCAAGTCCTGTTCTAAATGCAGGCTTATGTTCACATTTGCTATACAAGTGCACTATCACTTACTTGGCTTTGCCTCTATGGTTAGGCATTTGAGTGGCTTTGATTTTTTACTCTAGCAGTAATTCCATAATAATTTATTTTTGAGACAGGGTCTCACTGTCTCCCAGGCTAGTGATCATGGCTCACTGCAGCCTCAGCCTCCTGGGCTTAGGTGATCCACCCACCTCAGCCTCCCAAGTAGCTGGGACCACAGGCACACACCACCTTGCCTGGCTAATTTTTTTAAAAATTATTTTTTGTAGAGATAGGGTTTCACATGTTGCCCAGGCTGGTCTTGAACTCCTGGGCTCAAGAGATCCTTCCACCTTGGCCTCCCAAATTGCTGGGATTACAGGCATGAACCACCACGCCTGGCCAACAGACTTTTATGGGCAAAAATTTCCACCCATACTTGGATAAGCAATTAAGTTTTAAAAGTTTAAATATTGCTATGGAGGAACTGTGTCAACCCAAAAAATTTGTATGTTGAAGGTGTAACCCCAGATGTGACTATATTTGAAGACAGGGCTCTTAGGAGGTCATTAAGGTTAAATAGGGTGCCACAAGGGTGGAGTCGTGATCTTATGGGACTGGTGTCTTTATAAGAAGAGGAAAGGGCTGGGCGCGGTGGCTCACGCCTGTAATCCCAGCACTTTGGGAGGCCGAGGCGGGCGGATGACGAGGTCAGGAGATCGAGACCATCCTGGCTAACATGGTGAAACCCTGTCTCTACTAAAAAATACAAAAAATTAGCTGAGCCTGGCAGCCGGCGCCTGTAGTCCCAGCTACTAGGGAGGCTGAGGCAGGAGAATGGTGTGAACCCAGGAGGCGGAGCTTGCAGTGAGCCAAGATGGCGCCACTGCACTCCAGAGGAACAGAACAAGATCTGGAGGAAAGGCCATGTATGCACACAGTGAGAAGGCGGCCGTCTGCCAGCCAGGAAGAGAGCCCCACCAGGAGCCAGCCCTGCTGGCATCTTGACCTTGGACTTCTGGCCTCCACAATGGTGAAAAAAAATAAATTTCTGTTGTTTAAATCCCCCAGGCTGTGGAATTTTGTCATGGCAGCCGGAGCTGACAAAGACCAATACCATGCTCATGACTTTGGTTATGGTGAAGGTTTCATGGGTGTTTACATTTGTCAAAACATATCAAATTGTACACTTTAAACACAGATATTTTAGTGTTTTCTATCATATCTCAATGAAGCTGTTTTTAAAGTTAATATCGGTGCTTAGACTGAACTACACCATATTTTATCCTGATAAGCCTCTCCTACCCATTGGAATCTGTGGGGATCTCTGTCGGATTTCACACAAGCTCCTCCTCGTCTGCATCAGTGTTTGCAGGCGGGCTCATGCCTTCAGCCACAGTACACAAGACTGGGCTGCCCACAGGCTCTGCCACTCCCCAGCTCGGTGCCCTTAGGCAATTCCTGCCTGTCTCTGAGCCTCAATTTCCTCATCTGTAAAATGGGGGCAATAACGTTTTCCTCTTGGGTCGCTAGGAGCTGAGACCTGTTAGTCACTTTGGCAGAGAGCTTGGTGTATGAGAAGTGCTTGAAACTGTCTGCTTTTAGAGTATTAATCATGAGGAAATTATGAGGCCCTGTCAAATGCCAAATTAAATACAAGCTGACTAAGCCTTCCACCTTCCCTAAATTGACTGTCAGTTTCCTTAGTGAAAACTTAGACCTGTGTTTTCAAAGCGCAGCCATTGCATCGGAATCACTCAGGAGGCTTGTTCGTTTATTAATTTATTTATTTCAGTAATTTTGGGGGGAACAGGTAGTGTTTGGTTACCTGGAGAAGTTCTTTAGCAGTAATTTCTGGATTTTGGGTTTCAAAATAATGGCATTTGCGGCAACCTGGATGGAATTAGAGACCATTATTTTAAGTGAAGTAACTCGGGAATGGAAAGCCAAACATCGTATGTTCTCTGTCATAAATTGGAGCTAAGCTATGAGGATGCAAAGGCATAAGAATGATACAATAGATTTTGAGGACTCGGGGGAAAGGGTGGGAGGGTGGGAGGGATAAAATACTACACATTAGGTAGAGTGTATACTGCTTGGATGATGAGTGCACCAAAATCTCAGAAATCACTGCTGAAGAACTTCTCCATGTAACCAACCACCACCTGTACATATACCTGTACACCACATTTTCTTTATCCACTCATTGATTGATGAGCACTTGGGCTGGTTCCATATTTTTGCAATTGTGCTGCTACAAACTTGCCTTTACAAGTGTCTTTTTCATATAACGGCTCCTTTTCTTCTGGGTAGATACTTAGGAGTGAGATTGCTGAATCAAATGTTAGATCTACTTTTCGTTCTTTAAGGAACCCAGGGGGCTTATTTAAAATGCAGATTTCCAGTGCTGGAATAGGATTGCTAAAAAAAATTTAAAATTGCAGGTTAAAGAGCTCTGGGCCAGATAGACTGAATTAGGCTCTCTAGAATTGGATCCCTGGAGTGGGCATTATACTACATACCTGGAGAAATTCTAAGACCTACCTCCCTGGGAGGGAGTTTCATTAATTACATTAATGAGAATATCACCAGCTACTGTTTAGGAGCATTTGCCTAGCACATTTATCCAACTCAGGAATAGTGCTAAGAATACAGTGTGAATGATCTCAATAAATCCATGTAACATCCATGTGAGGTGGGTCTCATAGTGTCCCTGTTTTACTGAATATGAAAATGGGGCCCAGACAAGTTGTCACTTGCTGAAAGTCACATTGCAGGGCTGAGTTTCCAATCTGAGTCTGTCTTGTTTTGAAAGGCAGTGCTGTTAATTACTACACTATTTTATGCATCCGTTCATGAGACCAATATTTATTATTTACTAAGTGTCAGGTATTTACTAAGTGTTTAGATTTGAAAAACTGTATTAGATCACAAAAATTCTCCTATTGTGATTACAGCAATATTGTAGGTTACAGGTTAATATACAAAAGTCAATTGCTTTCTTGTATGCCCGCAATGAACAAGTGTAATCTGAAATTAAAAACACAAAATGATTTACATTTGCACCTTCAAAAATGAAATATTGGATATAAATCTAATAAAACATGCATAAGATCTACTTGAGAAGAACTACTCAACTCTGATGAAAGAAATCAAAGAAAAACTAAATAAATGGAGGCATTCCATGTTCATAGATAGGAAGATTCCATTTTGTGAAGATGTAAGTTATTTCAAACTTAATGTGTAGATTCAGAGCAATCTCATTCGAAGCCTCGGCAAGTTCTCTTGTAGCTACTGACAAGCTGATTCTAAAGTTTATATGGAGAGGCAAAAGACTCAGAAATAGCCAACACAATATTGAAGGAAAAGAACAAAGTTGGAGGATTGACACTATTCTACTTTAAGACTTGCTATAAAGCTGTAATAATCAAGAAGGTGTGGCATTGGCAAAAGAATAAACAAATAGAGCAATGTAACAGCATAGAGAGTCCAGAAATGGAGCCACATAAATACAGTCACTGATCTTTGACTAGGGGGAAAGTCAATACAATAAAGATCATCTTTTCAACACATGGTACTGGAACAACCAGACATCCACAAGCAAAAAAAAAAGAAAAAAGAAAAGAAAAGAAAAAGAAAAATTAACTCAAAATGTATCATAAACCTAAATGTAAAATACAAAAGTGTGAACCTCCTAGAAGATAACTTAGGAGAAAACCTAGATGGCCTTGGGTTTGGTGATGACTTTTTAAATATGACACCAAAGGCATGATCCATGAAGTAAATAATTGATAAGCTGGATTTCACTAAAGGTAAATATTTCTTCTCTGCAGATGATAGTCAAGAGAATGAAAACACAAACCACAGACTGGGAGACAATATTTGTAAAAGATATATCTGATTTAAAAGAAACATTATCCCAAAATACAAAGAATCTTAAAAAACTTAACAATAAGAAAACAAACAACCTGATTACAAATGGGCCTAGGGCCTTAACAGACATCTCACTAAAGAAAATACAGAGATGGCAAATAAGCATATGAAAAGATGGTCCACATCATGTGTCATTAGGGAAATGTAAATTTAAACAACAAGGAGATAACATTGTCCATCTATTAGATGGATAAAATTTAGAACACTGAAAAGACCAAATCCTGTAAGAGTGTGGGGTAACGGTGTATTAATCCATTTTCATGCTGGTGATAAAGACATACCTGAGACTAGGTAATTTATAAGGAAAAACAGGTTCAATGGACTCACAGTTCTGTGTGGCTGAGGAGGCCTCACAATTATGGTGGAAGGTGAAAGCCACATCTCATAAGGTGGCAGACAAGAGAAGAGAACTTGTGCAGGGAAACTCCCCTTTATAAAACCATCAGATCTCATGAGACTTATTCACTATCATGAGAATAGCATGGAAAAGACCTGCCCCCATGATTCAGTTATCTCCCACTGGGCCCCTCCCACAACACATGATAATTATGGGAACTAACAATTTGAGATGAGATTTGGGTAGGGACACAGCCAAACCGTCTCAAACAGGAACTCTCATTCATTGTTGGTGGAAATGCAAAATGGTACAGCCATTTGCCAACACAGTTCAGCAGCTTCTTACAAAACTAAACATATCCTAATCACATGATCCAGCAATCATGCTCTTTGGTGTTTACCTAAAGGCGTTGAAAACTTATGTCCATGCAAAACCTGCAAACAGATGTTTATAATAACTTTATTTGTAATTGCTGACACCCAGAAGCAACCATGGGGGTCTTTAATAACTGAATGGATAGATAAACTCTCTGGAACATCCAGGAAATGAAATATTATTCAGCACTAAAAAGAAATGAGCTATCAAGCCACAAAAAAAGACATGAAGAAAACTTATATGCACATTACTAAGTGAAAGAAGCCAGTCTGAAAAGACTCCATATTGTATGATTCCAACTATATAACATTCTAGAAAAGGCAAAACTTGGAGACAGTAAAAAGGTAAGTGATTGCCAGGAGTTACAAGGGAGAGAGAGATGAATAGGCAGAGTATGGAGGATTTTTAGGGCAATAAAAATACTCTGAGACTGGGCGAGGTGGCTCATGTCTGTGACCTCAGCACTTTGGGAGGCTGAGGTGGGCAGATTGCTAAAGCTCTGGAGTTTGAGACCCACCTGGGCAACATGGTGAAACCCCATCTCTACAAACAATACAAAAATTAGCTGGGTGTGGTGGTGCATGCCTGTAGTCCCAGCTCCTCAGGAGGCTGAGGTGGAAGGAGGCTTGAGCCCGGGAGGTCAAGGCTGCAGTGAGCTGTGATCTTGCCACTGCACTCCAGCCTGGGTAACAGAGTGAGACCCCATCTCAAATAATAAATAAATAAATACAAAGCAAATACTCTGCATGATACTACAATGATAAATACACACCATTATACATTTTCCCAAACCCACAGAATGTACAACAGCAAAAGTGAACTCGAATATAATCTTTGGAGTTTGGGTGATAATGATGTGTCAAGGTAGGTTCATCAATTGTGACAAATGTATCACTCCGGTAGGGATGTTGATAATGGTGGAGGCTATGACATGTGCAGGCAAGGGGCATATGGGATAGCTCTGCACCTTCCTTTCAATTTTGCTGTGAACCAAAAACTGCTCAAAAAATATTGTCTTTAATTTTTTTAAGTGTACCAGTCAGGTAGGATAGGTTATGCTGCTGTAACAAACAACCCCTCAATCTCCATGTTTAAAATAACAAATTTATTTCTTGCTTATGCTGTATGTCCACCGTGGGTCACCAGGGGGCCTCTGCTTACCACTGGAGGTGGTGACCAGACTGCTCGAGTAGCCAGCTCTCAAATATTCCAGGTCACCATGACCATGGGAAAGAGTGTTCTGGAGGATCTCACAACAGCTATTTTTTTTTAAGAGACAGAATCTTGCTCTGTCACCCAGGCTGGGGTGCAGTGGTGCAATCATAGCTCACTGCAGCCTCAAGCTCCTAGGCTCAAGTGATCCTCCCACCTCAGCCCCCCAAGTAGCTGGGACTACAGGTGCATGCCACCATACCTGGCTAATGTTTAAATTTTTTTCAGAGATGGAATCTCACTATGTTGACCAGGCTGGTTTCAAACTCCTTGCCTTAAATGATCATCCTGCCTTGGTCTCCCAAAGTGCTGAGATTGCAGGCATGAGGTACCATGCCCAGCCACAAATGGCTGTGAAATCTTTTACCTGCAGTGACACAAGTTACTTCTGCTCACAGTCACATAGCTGAATCCACTCATGAGGGACAAGGAATGGCTATCCTCCCATTCTCTCTTGGAGGTGGAGAGAATAGCGCTGTTGGCTACCACAAAAAGCAAACTGCTGGCAAATGAAGATCATTTGCAATCATGATAACTGCTGTGAAGAAGTGAAAGCAGCGTTTTTGGGTAACAAGAGATGGAGGAGCCTGGTGCAGGGAGCTCCTTTAGATGGGACAGTCTGGGTAAGTGACATGTGAGCTGTTGGAGTAGTAATTTTAGGTTAAGGGAGGCAGGCGACTGCCTTGCTAAACTTTTTCTGATTGTTTGGAGAACCGTCTACACTTACCAGATTCAATTGTTGAGAAACCCCAAAAGATCTTGGCTCTACTCCTCATTGGGTCAATCTTTTCCTGAGAATCCCTGGAAAAGCCGCTTTCCTTTGTGAATCTCAGTTTCCCTAGCTGTGAAATGGGCACACTGGCCCTGCTAAGAGGTCCTGAATGAGCTGCCCCAAGGACAGATCTAGCCTGAAGAAACATTGCTCTTGCCATTAGTTCAATTAATGGCCAGCATTTAAAATTGCGGTTTTTTTCCTTGAAAAAATATTTTAAAATGAGCTATTTCTAATAAAAATTCAGGTCTCCAGCTTCTCTGAAAATATCAGCAGAAAGGGTGAGCCCAGGTCAGGACTCCCACACAGCCCTGTGACTGCACTGAGTGTTGGCTGCCTCCTTCTTCAGTCTCATCCGGGTCAGCAGAGTCACACATGGCCCAAGTCAACCTGTGCCAGACCAAGTGAGTTTGCCATCCCTGAGTCAGAGGGCCTCTGAGGTTCCTGGTAGCTTTAGCAATCTTGGGTGTCTATAGATTTCCTCTGTTAGAGCCAAAGAAATTCTCTCTGTGTGTGTGTGTGTGTGTGTGCATGTACATGAAAGTGTGAGTTGTGTGTTTGTGTATGCATGTGTGTATTTGAGTGTAAGAGTGTGAGTGTGTGTTTGAGTATGTGTGTGTCAGTGCCTCAGTGCATGTGAGTGTCTGGCTGTGTGTGTGCATGAACATGTGAGTGAGTAGCATGTACGTGTGGCATGTGTGCATGTATACAGGTGTGAATGTACGTGTTAGGGCATGCATGTGATGGGTGTCTGAGTGGGTATGTGTTTTAGGGAGGAAGGTATCCACTAAAGTTGGAGGTTGCAAACCAAGACTATGGCTGATTGACTCAGAATAAAAACATTCATTTTTGAGACCCAGAGCAGGGGCAAGAAACACTACACCTCTTTTCCTCTAGTTCCTTAATCAAGCCTTTTAACCCATGTAAGCTTATCCCCTATCTTGCAAATCGTAATCCTGACTCATTAAACCTCAGAACTGAATAGGGAATGGAAGTAGAAGGCATTTCTCTTTGAAAGGACTGAAGTGATAGCAGGTCTGTCTCAGGGGAGGGGCAAGGATGGAGAAAGAGACAAGTCCCAGCTGATGAAAGAGGCCAGGCGTAGCCACCCTCCCCCTCACAACTGTGTCTCCAGGGAGCTCCTGGAGCAGGAATTAGGCAAACAGGTTTGGATGAGCCTGCCGGCCTCCAGGTCTGCACTGCTTCAGGGCAGCGCTCCTCACTCCAGCCCTCCCCAGAGCTCCTGGGCCTGGTCACTATAAACCCCACTGCTGCTGCTGGATGAGAGACCCCAGGAGTTGCAGAGGGTGGTCGCAGGCCTTGGAGAGCAGCCTAAGTCACATAATCCTCTGACGCCAGCCTTGGCGTGAGTCCCTCCCTCCTCCTGTACCCGAGAGCTCAAAGACTCAGGCCTGGGGCCTGGAAGTGGGAGTGACAGAGGGCATTGCAGGCTGCCCATTTTGGGGGCTTCAAGGGACACCCTGCCCTACCCCAAAGGAAGGAAATCAAGCTTCGAACGCGGCCACTGACAGAGCCGCCTTGCCCAGATTCCAGGCCTGTGGTTTTTTCTTCCTATTTGTAAGCATTTTGATGAGGTCAGAATTAAAATCAGTTTCCATGGTGAGGAAGGAGGGAGAGACTTAGAAACAGGGACACAGACAGGCACAAAGAGAGAAACAAGAAAAGGGACAGCTGGGAGGGAGGGAGAGAGACAGAGAGACAGAGGGAGAAGAGAGAGGAGAGAAAGGCGGAGAGGCTGGGCCAGGGTAGGAGGCTGTGTCCACCTGCACACATCTCCCACAGTTGGTTTTAGCAAATATGTTGACATGACCCAGATGAAAAGATATCAGGAAGCAGTGGAGATCGAGGCTCTGGGTCCACCTGTGAGAAAGTGAGCAAGGGAGAGGCCTTTGCTCCCACGTGCCCGCCCCAGCTCCCGGCTGTGTGTGTCCCTGAGAGAGGGTGGGGCAGGAAGGGAGAGAGGAAAATGTGGAGAGCAGAAACAAGGGAACGGAAAGATGGGGGAAAAGGGAGCCGAGACCAGACAGAAAAAAAGGCAAAAGGGCAAAAGGGGCTGGAGAGCAAAGCTCTCGAAGATGATGGTGAGGCATGAGCCAGTGGCCACAGTCTCAGCCAGGAGAGGACTCCCCGCCCGCCCCTGGCTGTGCAGCCTGCACCTGGGCCTCAGGACACCTTGCTGGAAATCGGAAGGAGCCTGTCTGTGCAGTGGGGATGGCAATAGGGCTGATGTGGGTGGCGGGTTTGAGGATGCCTCCCCACAAGTCTCAGGAACTTCTCCAGCTCAACCCCTTCCCTGTGAAAGCCCCTCTTGGGGGCACTCAGCTCTAACCTGAATGAACCCACTGAGCGTTTACAGCCACACTCTGAAGGAGCTTGGTTCAGTTACCTGCCATTTTGGATGTGTGACCCAGAGAGGTTGAGAAACTGACCCAGCGTCACACAGCCAACCGGTGTTAGAGCCAAGAGTCAAGCAAGAGCTCCACTCTGAGAAGACAGAGCCCTTTCCCCTGGCCCTGGCCCTGCCCCACCTTGTCCTTCTGGAGCCCCTGCCAGGACAGGACAGTCCAACGCCAAGGGAGCCATAGCTGTCGAAGGGCTCTGTAGGTTCTGCTGAGCTGCCTTCTCAGACTTCAGAAAGCATCCAGTTGCTTGGGGGTCTTACTAAAATGCACATTCCATTTCAGGGGTCTGGGAGGGGCCCCAGGATTCTAGCCATTCCTGGCCAATTGCCAGGTAAGGCTGATGATGCTGGTTTGGGGACTACAGTTTGAGCAGAGAGGGACCAAGCCATCGGACGAGTGGAGTTATTCAGGTCTACGCACTGATTTTTCAAGTCGTGCAGACACTAAAGTGTGGGGGTGGGGAGGGGGCCCTGAGAAATACCCAGCAGAGCAGGGAGGGGTGGAAATGAGGAGGAAGAGGGTCTCAGGATCAGGGGAGGTTGTTAGCTACCGTCACCCCAGGAGCATGCACTGTTGGGACACAGGCATGTCCATTTGGGATCCTGGTGCCCCCTTGATGCTGAGTGACCTGGGGGAAGGCAGTTAACCTGTCTGAGCCTCAGCCTTCTCATCTGTTTAATGGGGACCCATATACCCTCCTTACAGCATTCCTCAGGGACTAAAACAAAATCTGAATTCATTTCCTAGGGATGACATAACAAAGTATCACACATGGGCAGGCTTCAAACAACACAAATTTACTCTCATAGTCCTGGAGGCCAGAAGTCCAAGACCAAGGTGCTGATGGGGCCCTGATCTCTCTGAAGGCTTGAGGGGAGGATCCAGCCCGGGCCTTTTTTCCTGGCCTCGGTGCTGCTGCAGTCTTTGGCATCCTGTGGCTCGTAGCTGCGACCCTCCAATCTCTGCCTGTCGTCACATGACCTTCTCCCTGTGTCGCTGGTCCACAGTGGGGACTCAGAAACAGTCGTTCCCTCCCTTCCTCCCCAGGCGTCTGGTATCAGTTAACTACACATCTCCCTGGCCCTAGCCCTACTGAGGGCAGCAGCATGCCCTGTCCGTCTCTCTAGGGGAAGGCAGATCTAAGTGAACAGGAATGAACCAAATACAACGTGGAGGATCACCAACTGCATGAGTCCCCACCAGGGTCCTCCCCTTGGGGCTGCATTTCCTTCCTTGAACCCCAGATGCACCTCAGGGAGGGAGTGGGGGACTCTGCTGCTCTGTGGGCATCTGGAGCTGCAGCCCCCAGCCCCTTGGCTGCAGAACACATACTTCTTTCGGGCCAGGTCTTCCCTGTCAGAAGCATACTCATGGCCTCATCATCTCAGCATAGAAGAAGGGACCCCGGAGTCCCCGTGTGCCTCGCTTTGCCAACTGCTACACCCACATTATCTCCTGTACTGCTCTCAGCAATGCTCCAGGGCAGTGGATTGCAACCTTGAGTGTGCATGGAAATCTCCAGGAGGGCTCCCTCAGCACAGGCTGCTGGCTCCATCCTAGGGTTCTGGATTCAGCAGGTCAGGGGTGGACCCAGTGATTTGTGTCCCTCTCAAGTTGGCAGGTGATGCCCATGCTGCTGGCCCAGTAAGGTGGGTGCTATTATCTCATGGTAGAAATAAATGGGGAATAGCAGGCTCGAAGAAGTCAGGCGATTTGCCCAAAGCCACCTGGTTGCTAAACGCTGCGTTCACGTGTGGGGTCATCTCGCTTGGATTATGGACCAATCCCCAGCTGATCTTCCTGTTGGCCTATGAGGTCCAATACATCATCTAACCACTCCCCACCCCACACCCTCCCTAGTACCGGGTATCATCCCCCACTTCCTGGCCTCTGTGCTCAGAGACCACGGAGCCTCTGCCCTAAAGGAGAAGGAACAGACTGACAGTGAACACAGCCACTCCAGTGCCAGGCGAGCAGGGCGGGTGCTGCAGACATAGGCACCAGCCAAGAGCTCTGGACACACCTGGGAAAGGGACTACTTCCAGATAGGAAAGAGCAGAATTAAGGAGGGCTTCCCAGAGCAGAGTGGATTCCACATAATATTTGCCTCCACTGCAGCACACTGCGTTCTAGGTCCAGCCTCCTCCCCGTCCCACTAACCTGGATAGTCTAGCTTGAGTGCCCAGTCTTAACCAGTTCTCTCAAGGCCCCCAGGCACAGAAAGGAGGGAGGGAGAAATGAAAGGAGGGTAGGCTGAGGTGGGTGGAGCATCTGAGTTCAGAAGTTCAAGACCAGCCTGGCCAATATGGTGAAACCCTGTCTCTACTGAAAATACAAAAATTAGCCAGGCGTAGTGGTGGGCGCCTGTCCTGTAATCCCACCTACTCAGGAGGCTGAGGCATGAGAATTGCTTAACCCAGGAGGCAGAGGTTGCAGTGATCTAACATCGCGCCACTGCACTCTAGCCTGGGTGACGGAGAAAGACTCAGTCTCAAAAAAAAAAAAAAAAAAAAAAGAAAGAAAGAAAGGAAGGAGAGGCTCTGTTTCTGGGGTGAGAGCCACTCAAGGGTGCTGCTGCAGGGCAGAGCTCTGGTGCGCAGTGACTTTGCAGCCACCCTGGGAGCCACTGTTGGTTTGCAGGACTAGTGGAGGTTAAACACAGCCTCAAGTTGGAAAGCCATTCTTCAATTTCTAATAAAAACCCTGAAGTAGGGATGACGCACAATAAATCAGCCTCCAAGAGTTCCATCTCAGGGTAATCTTTTCAATTATCTGCTTGTGAGGTATGCAGCTCCTGAGATGATCAGAAGTGTGCAGCAAGGATGCCAGCCCTGGCCAGGAGACACCGAGCCTGAACCATGTTTGGCTGAGGGGCCCAGCTGCGGAGCCAAGGGGCCAGAGTTAAAAGGTAGATGAGTGGTAAGGGCAGATCAGACCTCCAAGGAGACGGCTACCAGGAATGGAAAGAAGGTTGGGGACCAGGTAACAGTCCTTTGGGTCAGAACAGGGACTGGTGCATCCACAGCATCTCAGAAAGATGTCTTTGAGCACCCACTAGTTTCCAGGGGCGAGGCACAGAGCAGAGGCAAGGCAAGGCCACCCCCACCCCCCGCCATCGTGGAGCCGGCCTTCCAGCAGTGGAGAGGCACAAAAGACACAGGACAGGGAGCGACCGAAAATAGGCCAAGTGAGATACACAGAAGTGGTCCAGGAAGGCCTTTGTGAAGATCAACATTCGAGCTTCTCCAATCAGCGCTACCACTTATGAGCTGGGTGACTTGGAGGAAGTTAGTTAACCTCTCTGAACCCATGTGAGGGCTCTGCAAAGGAGAGGAGACATCAGGATGTGGTGAGGGCTGTGGAAGACAAGGGTGTTTCCCAGTTGCTTCTTCGCTCACTTCTTGTGCCCAAATCCTCCTCCTTCAAAGAGAGGTCGCTGTCTGCTCTGGCTTCCCCTGATTTCTGAATGGAACATAATTTCTCCTTCTTCTGCCATGTCCCGTTCTCCGAGACAGCCTGTGAGTTCTACTGTGCATCACACGGATTTGGGTTCATGCCCCCACACCTCTACAAGGCTGAGTGAGAACTAGTTTGGACCAAGATCCCAGTGTGACTTGGCCCTGTTGGCCTAGCACAGGATGTGGCTCAGAGACACTCAGCCACTGTCTGCTGCCTGGATGGGTGGGTGGAGAGACGGGTGGATGGTGGGTGGGTGAATGAAAGCCAGGACTTGGGAAAATAAGATCAGAATTAAGGACATGGGGAAAGAGTAGCTTTGCAAGAGAGAAAGAATATTTCTTCCTCAATGACAGAAGAAATTTACTCCAAGGAATAGAGGGGGAATGTGAGCAAACACCTTCATTCATCTTTTCCTTTACTTCAACATGCATTTGGGCTGTATGCTGAGCTTTGGGCATCTAAAGAGACAGGTTTCACGGCTGAATAGGAAATACAACAACTGAATAGACAGTGACTATGTGCTGTGGTCAACACTATTTAGTGCAGAAAGTTTAGGAGACTCGGAGGAGGATCTGCTGATCCCCCCACTAATTAGTAAAAAGAAGGCTGCAGACAAGGCCCCCCCATCACCAGGTGACCCCGCATTCCCAGCACCTCAGTCCCGGCAGCAAGGTGACTTGGCACCATTGCTTTGCCACCTTTGGGCAAGCCTGCCCATGCCCGGGCCTCAGCTCTTGAGCTAATGCCTGCCTGGGGTTCCCAGGGAACTGCCATGAGGCAGATGCTTGCAGATACGTGGGATTTTCTCTGGCTCTGCCATTTGATCCACAGGGGGATGGAATGACTCCCACATCTCAGAGATGAGGCCAAGAAGCTCAGAAGGTGAACTGTTTTACCCACAGTTACCCAGCTGCAGGGCCAAAGAGCCAAATTTTTTATCCAGGACAGGTGATGCTGAACCCCAAGCCCTTCTCACCAGGCTGGGACGCTGCACTGCGTGGATGTTCCGTCTCCGTTGCTAGGGTAACCTCCCTCCCGGCCCAGCAGCCACCCCTCCTGGAGCGTGATTCTTGCACCTGACAGCATAATCTTCTGTGACATCTTAATCAGCACCCCGGCAACCGACAGAACCCGGACACCAGCATCACACTCAGCGCTCCGGGAGCCAGCAGGGCCTGGAGGGCCCACCTCCTCCTCAGCCTTAACCCTTGCCTGCCCACCCCAACCCCTCGTGGAATGGGGGGATGGTGGTTGGTTTTGAAGTCAAACAGATATTGTTTCAGCTTTAAGCTTTACCATGCCACATTTCTAAACTTCGGTTTCCTAATCTGTACAGTGGGGATAATGATGCCCGTCCGGCTAGTGTACAAAATTGGATGAGGGCATTGCAAAAGGACGTGAATGGGCCACAACATCTAAAGGAACTGGGGCACCTGGGAGTTTTCATTTCCATTATTTCACTTGGAGCCAGTGGTTTTCAGAGCGGGGGGCCAGTGGCACCACAGAGCTGCCTGTGAGTAGAAGGGGAGATGCATCTGTCCTGTTGTGGGTTAAATTGTGGCCCCCCCAACCCTCCCCTGCCACAAAAGATATATGAGAGTCCTAACCCCTGGGAACAGTGACCTTATTTGGAAATGGAGTCTTTGCCGAAGTAATCAAATTCAGATAAGGTCCTATTGGAGTAGGTGGACGCTTCATCCAATATGACTGCTGTCCTTCAAGAAGACAGAAATGTGGAAACAGACACACAGAGGGATCGCCATGTGGGATGCACAAGGGAACACCATGAGAGACTGAGTCAGACACTGGAGTGAGCAGCTACAACCCAGGGAACCCCAAGGAATTGCTGGCCACCACCAAAGCCCAGAGAAGCAGGGCAAGCCTCTACCCAGGGTTTCAGAGGGAGACGGCCTTGCCAGTCTCTTGGTTTCAGACTTCCAGCCCTCAGATTGTGGGAAAACACATTACTGCTGTTTTCAGCCATACAATTTGTGGTACTTTGTTAGGACCACCTTAGGAAATGAATATGCATCCTAACAGGACAACTTCGATTCCAAGTCTCGTGTGGTGGGGCCAAAGAGCCCTTGCCCTGGAGTCACACAGACCCTGATGTGCAGTGGGGATCCCACCATGCTGAACGACTTGCCCCATTCTCCCAGAGCTACGGGACCACGATGCCCCCCGTCACAGGTTGGAGGGAAAGAGTGAACGAGGTCCGGGCACGGTGTCTCTCGCCTGTAATCTCAACACTTTGGAAGGCCAAGATGCGTGGATCACTTGAGGTCAGGAGTTTGAGACCAGCCTGGCCAATATGGTGAAACCTCGTCGCTACTAAAAATACAAAAATTAGCCAGGTGTGGTGGTGCAGGCCTGTAGTCCCAGCTACTCGGGAGGCTGAGGCAGGAGAATCGCTTGAACCTGGGAGGCGGGGGTTGCAGTGAGCTGAGATCATCACACCACTGCACTCCAGCCTGGGTGACAGAGCAAGACTCCATCTCAAAATAAATAAATAAATAAATAAATAAAGTGAATGGCATCAAGTCAGTGAAGCACTGGCCCACTTGGCAAGATTGTTAATTATACGACATTATCACAATCGCTGATTTATTTTTCTTTTTGAGGTGCAGTCTTGCTCTGTCGCCCAGGCTGGAGTGCAGTGGTGTGATCTCAACTCACTGCAACCTCCGCCTTCCTGGTTCAAGCGATTCTCCCGCCTCAGCCTCCTGAGTAGTTGGGACTACAGGCGTGTGCCACCATGCCCTGCTAATTTTTGTATTTTTAGTAGAGACAGGGTCTCACCATGTTAGCCAGGCTGGTCTCAATCTCCTGACCTCAGATGATCCGCCCCCCTTGGCCTCCCAAAGTGCTGAGATTACAGGTGTGAGCCACCGCACCTAGCCACAAGCGCTGATTTTTTAAAAGCCCTCATTGGGAGGCCCTGAATGCCCCATCTTAGGGCCTTGCATTCAGTAGCAGTAGGCTGAGCGCCTCAAGGGTTCCTCTTTGAAGGTGGCAACCCCACCTAGGCCCCCACCCCACTAGGGCACAGCAGACCCCGGTGGATCCAGGAGGCGGGTGGCTTTGATGCGCCTTCATTTCCTCCTCTTCCTGCTCCATCTTCCTCCCTCTCTCTCCCTTTCATCCCGGCTCCCTCCCTAGGGGAGACCCAGCCCCTGGCTTGGGATTTCAGAGCAATTCTGTCCCGCCTTTGATATCTTTGCACATGTGGAGAGGGGGCAATCCCAGGGGGCTTTTCCTGCCAGGGAAAAAGGCAACAAAAATGTTTGTTTCCTTTCATTGTACTTTCACAAGCCTGCCTAGTCTTCCCTACAAAGGGGCAGCTTCCTCTTGGAGGAGACTCTTTCAGAGGCTAAAGTCCTCCCTTCTCTTCCAGTAGTTGAATGACCTTGGATGAGCGACTATTCACCCCCATTATATTCTCCATCTGTCAGATGGAGACTGTGATGTAAACCCCATGTGGCTGGGAGGACTAACCAAGGTAATGTGTGTAAAGAGCCTGCCCCTAGTAGGTGTTTGGAAGCTTCATGGTGGTAATCATTATGCCATTAATTTTCTCCACGTTCCTCACATGCGAGAAGCAAACACCATTCAGGAGGACTCTTGCCATAGACCACAGACTCTTGTGCCTCTGTTTTCTCATCTATTGAATGGGTTCATAGTGCCTGGGTATCAGGGTTGCTGGACACATTCAATGAGATACTAACAGTGCCTCACACTGAGCCAGCATCACACCTCTGCTTTCCCTTCTCACCACCTGTCTTTGAATTGTGAAGGCAAAGCCTAAATGTCAGCCCAAATTTGCCTTTCAAGACAGAAACTCCACAACACCCCCCACCCCCACCACAGGCAACCGGGGGCTACCAAGATCACTGCCATCCCCAGGAGAGTCCCAGGGAGGGTTTGCTGTCTGCACCCAGAGTGCAGAACTGGCACTCCTGCCTAGGAAACGGGGAGGGGCGTGCTGGGCTTACTTCTGTTTTCTGGAAAGCTTGTAAACAGGAAAATGAAGGCTTGAGCAGGCAGCTGCAACGACTATCATTACAGGGGAGATGGAGTCCATGGAAGCCCATAACGGCCCCCTGACCTCCTCTGACCAAAGGCTGAGTTGGTAGAAGTGTCAGAAGCAGGGAGGGTTGCCGGAGCCTTGGGGTCACTCACACCCTGCATATCCTGCACCCTCCACCCCCCTGCCTTTGTCCTTTCACCTGCACCTGCTTAGCCCCCTCCACTCAGCTTGGCCAAATCCCGACCCTTCCTCCAGGTCCACATCTCCAGGGCCGCTCTTAGCTCAGAGTCTTTCTGAGGGAAACTGCCTGGCACCAGTCCGTGTTGAAGGTGTCAGCCTATTGGAACCTGCCCTCTCAGATAGGTAAGATCCAAAGATGTCAGCCGCAAGCTTCCAGTCCCTGGATGAGAACTTAGAGTAGGGCCAAGAGAGCTCTCTCAGGTATGTGAAAGAGCTGCTTAGCTGTGTGACCTCTGGGTTAGTGTGTTGACCTCTCTGGGCCTTGTCCTTCCACTTACAAAAAGACCTAAACATCTCCTGGCCAGCTCATAGAGTCACTGAAAGGCTCAGATAAAATACAGGATGGGAAGTGGCTTTATCTTCTGGAGTGAATGATAAAAACCTGGAATTAAGGTTGACCCTGCTGCACTAACTCCACTCAAGAGCAGAAAACTTCTGGAAAGTCCACTCACCTTTTTTAGTCAGAAAAAAAAAAAACAACAAAAAAACAGTTCTGCAGGTTTCCTTGGTGCCAGGCACTGCACCATGCACTTCCCATGCTTTCTGTAGTTTATTCCTCACAACAATATAAGATGCACAGACTTATTAGGCCCATTTTACAGATGACAAAACTGAGGCTATAGAGGCCATGAAGTTACAGTGCGTATGTGAGACATTTATTCAGTCATTCAAAAATATTTATTGGGCCAGTTGCGGTGGCTCACGCCTGTAATCCCAGCACTTTGAGAGGTCAAGGCGGGAGGATCGCTTGAGCCCAGGAGTTTGAGACCAGCCTGGGCAACATAGCGAGACCCAGTCTCTTTTTAAAATTTTTTATTAATTATTTACTATGTGCTGGGCTCTGTGCTGACTACTGGGGAGACAGCCATGAGCAAAACATAGTACCTGTCCACATGTGGCTGAAGTTCTAATGGGGAGAGACAGATAAGCAACTAACCAGAGATAATAATAAAATGTTGGATGGCAATGCATACTCTGGAGAAAGTTAAAGCAGGATTTTGGAAAAGATTGCCTGGCTGGGGAGAGGGTTGTCTAGTATTTTAGTGAAGGTGGTCAGGGAAGCATTCTCTGAGGACATACCCACTAAGCAGAAACCCTGAAGGGAGGGATCAGGAGGATATCTGTGGGAACAGCATGTCAGGCAGAGGGAACAGCCACACGGGAGTCCTGAGGCAGGAGTGTGCTTGGCATGTGGGTCTAACTGCAATCCAAGAGTGTGACTGTTGGATTGAGCCAGACATGGTGGTGGAGGTGGCAGGGAACGGGAGATGCGGAGAAGGGAGGACGGCTCCTGTAGAGACCTGAGGCCCAGGACTTCGGGACTGGGAGGAGGAAGAGGCCAAGGACTTACATCCCCAGATGCGCTGTGCTCTGCCGCTGCCTACACTGGGCAGGTGCTGGATCCTGACTCAGATCCTGAGTTAAGAGCTATTCAGTGGCCTGGTGGGATAGAAAGAACACCTGCCTGGGGCCACAAGCCTGGGTGGGGACACAGTCTCCAGACATTGGCCAATCTCAGTCATTGGACCTCTCTGGCCCCTGGCTTTCTCGCCTGTAGGGCAGCACAGGAGTAACCACATTCCGGGGCTGTTGTGATGGCAAAAAGGACTTGCTGGGCACCTGGATTTTCAGATCACTGAGCCCTGAGTCTGTGCCCACACAGCTCCAAGAACTTTAGAAGTGTTCATGTTCATTGAATCCTCACCATAATGGCAAACCAAGGCCCAAAGAACGTCAGTAATTTGTCCAAGGCCACAAAGCTGAAAGGGGTGGGGGCAGGATTTGAACCCATGGAGCAAGCTCCAGAGACTCCTCTGTGTTCTAAGAGTGGATTCACCCTGCTCTCCCCACACCACCTTTGCCTCCTCTGTGCTCTTGGCTGCCCCACCCACCATCTGAACCGCTGTGCCTTACCTGGCAACTGCCCTCCAGGCTGGCTCAGGTTACTGAAGGCCCTGAGGGGTCTGTTTAAACAAGTGTGTCTGAGCAGGAAAGTCAAAGAGACAGGGACCCTCCGGGCGCTGAGGGGACCACCCCAGGGACTACAGCCTGAATCTGATAAGGCTGGATCTATTTTCACTTAATTGGACTGTGGCCAAGGGTCCAGCATTTGATCAGATAGGGGGTCTCCCCAGGGATGGAATCTTCCATCAGATGGGGTGGTCCTACACCCTGGCTGGGACAGGAGAAGCTAGAGGGGGTTGGGAGAACCCTAGACTGGGGAGAGGCTGTCAGGAGAATAATTCTCTCTCCTCCACCAGAAAACCCAGGGAGGGAAACCTGGCCTTCCTGGAAAGACGGGGCCACTGGATGACAGACGCTGCCACATCTTCCTAGGGGATGCTCAGCCCACCTTCCACTCCCACAGCCCAGCTCTGGACACTGGCGAGGAAGCAAGCGGCTGTGGGAGGTGCCTTGGGCAGGGGAAGGCTGCCTTGTGGGGACAGCCACTGGGCTTGGAGGTCACACAGATCATTCTGTGTGACACCAAGCATGTTGCCTGACCTTTCTGGGCCTCAGCTTCCTTTTCAGTGGAGGAAGGGGTAGCTAGACCCATCTTCAAGTGCAAAGGAGATTTAGGCCAGGCTCAGGGGCTCCCACCTGTAATCCCAGCACTTAGGGAGGCCAAGGTGGGAGAATCGCTTGAGCCC
This sequence comes from Homo sapiens, assembly GCF_000001405.40. Lineage (NCBI taxonomy): Eukaryota > Metazoa > Chordata > Mammalia > Primates > Hominidae > Homo > Homo sapiens. The sequence goes on from NC_000004.12 coordinate 4,849,960, forward strand.
AGGAGTCTGCGACCAGCCTGGACAACATAGTGAGACCCAGGCTCTACCGAATACTTTTAAAAATTAGCCAGGTATGGTGGTTCGAGCCTGTGGTTCCAGCTACTCAGGAGGCTGAGGTGTGAGGGTCGCTTGAGTCCAAGAGGTTGAGGATGCAGTGAGCTGAGATTGTGCCACTGCACTCCAGCCTGGCCAACAGAGTGAGACCCTGTCTGGAAAAAAAAAAAAAAAAAGGAAATTTAAACACAGGAGAATAAGCTACCGAAGAGGGGTGACTTCAGCTTTCTTTTTAAAATGTCATTCAAGAAACCTGGGACCAACACTCCAATGGATTGTCCCCAACCCTAACCCCCAGGCTCTGCCCTCAGGCCTTACCCACCACCCGGGTGCAGCTGCCCATATGTTTGGGGTGCTCTGGGTTAGGAGCCCAGCCTGGTTGATGAAGGGTTGACTGCCTGGTAGTCAGCCATTCATCCCCCTCTGAGGTCCCCTCTTTATGTCAGGCTTTGTACTGGTCTCAGGGACCCATATGGGCTCACTCTGAGGAGCCACCCCATGGCCACACACAGGGATTGGCACTGGGGCAGCGAGAAGCAGCCTTCCCTGCCTTTCCTCATCAGGAAGTCCACAGCAGGGAGTCTCCGAAGTGGGACTCATCCCTGAAAATCCCGAGCGCCAGGAGACGTCTTGTTTTATGCTCCTTTTTGCTCGTATAAACTGTTTAACTCCAGTTTCTCCTGCATAACCTAGGGATAAAAATAGAGTTGCTGTGAAGATGAAGTAAATGAAGACATGCTGAGAACTCAGAACAACGCTTGGCAACAGTAATTGTTTAATACGTGCTATTATTAACAAGTAATAGTCTTTCCCATCCTGGTATTCAGCTCCTTGATTTTCCAGACTCCTCGGACTCAGATCCTCCTCACCCAACTTCAAGGAGGAAGACAGAATGGGGCTTAGCAGGTCCATTACACAGATGCAGCAACTGGGATCTGGGGATGGTCACTAGCTGAGGTCAGAGGTGGAGGCTGGCACCCCCACCCCCTCCCGCAGAGCCCAGTGGGGTGAGGTGGAGGGTAGGGCTTCTCAGGGAATCACTGTCCTGCCCCTTCTGCGTGCCCAGGGGACCTGCGAACACTCTAGACCTGGGGGGCCCAAGAAGTTCAAACCTCCCTGACCTTCGTGGTACAGGGAAAACCAAAGTCTGAGACGTTTGCAGGCCCCAGGGCCAACCCACCTCATGCAGAGGCTAGAAGGCCTACAACCAGAGCCCCCCTCCAGCCCGTGGTATACGGGAAACCACGCAATGGCACCTATGGGTTCCAGTCCTGGTGGTCCCTATGCACAGCTGCGCTGCCAGGACCTCGCCACTTCAACTCCCGGGGTGTCCACTTTCTCATCTGAAAAGTGGGGTGGTCACCTCTGGACTGTCATGAGAATTAACTTTGGCGGTGCATGTGAAGCACCCAGCAAGTAAGAGGAGCACGTAGTCAAAGTAGGTTTTCTCCAGGCGCCCCCTGCTCCAAGAACTGAACTCGGGCGCCTCCTCCCACACCAGAGAGCAGAAGAGATGCTCTCTGAACCTACCGGGCCAGAGTGCTGCAGGGTGCCCCACACTTTACAGCCTTTTGCACCCCAGTCCTCACGAATGGGCATGGCCCTCTGCGAGGTCGCGAAGGTGCAGGCCACATGGCACAGGTGGCTTCTGCTTAGAGAGGCTGGGGAATGCCCCAGGTATCTTGACCTTCCTGGGGACGGGGAAGGATAAGCACCAAGTGGGGGCTGCAAAACCTGCACTTAGTATCAGTTCTGCCAGTTTCTGGCTCAGAGACCTCCGGGAAAATGACTCCCGTTTGGGCCTCAGTGTCCCTTTCTATGGAGGATGGATGTTGCGCCAAATGTCTAGTTTCTTGCAACCCCGGTGTTTTTTTTGTTTTGTTTTGTGTTTGTTTTGTTTTGTTCTCCTGGGCCTAAAGGAAGGCCTGCGGAGGAGTGAGCATGAACATCCCGCCCCTCCCCTCCCCTCCCCAGTCCCTCAGCTTGGTCTCAGCTGTGTCAGTGACCCTGGCTCAGAAAAGTGCAAGGACCAAAAAGGGTCACACAGCACCCACACCCCACCCCGGGGTGGGGAAGGACTGCCCTATTCTCCATAGCAAACCCAGGTTGGGGTGGGGGCTGTGGTGAGCAAGAGGCGGTGGCTGGGGGAAAGAGGCAAGGGAGGAAGAACCTTGTCCAGGTGTCACCGAGGTCACAGGGACCCTGGGTCATTGGTTCTCCACCTCCCCAACTTTCCCCACTGAAAGGCAAACTCAATGGACTCTCCCCTTCCTCTCTTCGTACTCAGCGAGCACTGATTGAGCACTTACTGCATGTGGGAGGCTTCCCAGTCACCGTCTCCTCTGGACCTCTGTTCTCTACCCAGAAAGGCCCTCCGGTAAGGTGAACACCCCTCCATCTCACTCAAGGGCGAGGAAAGTCAGGCCCAAAGATACAGGGCGTAGGCCTGCTGCTGCCTATCCTGGGCCGGCTGAGGTCTGGGCGGTAAGCGCAAGAGGGAAGAGGGCAGAAACTCCAGGTGGCAGGGGCTGTGGCTCTTCCAGCCCTGAAGACAGGGAGCCAGCAGCCAAAAGAGAACGTGCTGGGGTCCAGCCTGGGTGCCCTGAGCTGTGCCAGCTGCCCCTCCAGAAAACAGACGCTGCCTGCTGCCTCCAGCGGTGGGCTGCCTGCGGGTTCCCGGTGACCCTTTCCCCCTCCTGGAGATGCTCTGCATTGCCCCGCTCGCACACTCCAGTTCCCATCCTCGTGTTCTAGGACGGCAGGGATGAATCACTATAGGCTGGCTCTCTCTAGCTCAGCCCGGCCTGCTGCGGCCTGGGGCCACTGCTCCTGGGTCCTCAGGACTGCCTGGGGGAAGGTAGTGCATTGTGCAGCGCGCGGTCCAGAAGTGAAAAGGGAGGCGCGGAGATAAGCTGCCGGCGGAAGTTCCCTCTCCTGCCTGGGCCGACCCGGCGCTTTACTGCTTCTCACGAAGGTGCGCCGGCTGCTCCAGAAATCGCAGACTGCCTCCAGGAAGAACTTGCTGGAGTCACAGCAGCTTCTCAGCGACTTGACAGCAGTGATTCAGACTTCAACTTGGGCGGAGGGGCGGGGGAGGAGAAAGAGATTTCCAGAGAAAACGACTGAGCGGTAGGGAGGGGAAGAGAGACCGAGCCACGCGCCTCGAGAAGCAGTGCAGAGAGCGGAAGAGACAGAGGCTGCGAGACCTACCCACAGAGACCAAGAGAGACGCTCGGAGGGGAGACCGCCTTAGGCGCAGAGATTCAGAGGCAGACAGACAGGCAGACAGAAGGATACAGGAAAGGAATGTCGCCGAAAGGCAGGGACAAACCTGAGTCCCAGAAAAATAAGAGACAACTCCCACACACCAGGCTGTCCGCGGGCCGCCTTGTCACAGAAAGGCAGCTCCCCAGCCCCGCAGAGTCCCGACAGCTGCCCCCGCGAAGGTGGGGCGAGGGGCGGCTTTTCCGGGGGAAACTCTCTCCCTGGACGCCCCTCCTTTCCAGCCTCAGCTCTGGCCTTTCTCGGCATCCCCAGCTTGCCTTCAGTTTCACTCCATATCTGGGTCTCTCAGAGGCCTCGGGAGGTCTTCCGTTCTCTCTGTCGCCGTGTCCACGGAAGGAGCCTCCCCAACCCTCTGTGGCTCCGCGCCTCTTGGGCCGGAGCATCTCTGTCTTCCGGAGTCTCTTGATCATTGCTCCTGCCCGTCCTCGCCCATTTCAAAGACGACCAACAGAGGCTTAGAAAAATTGGCCCTCCACCCTCGGCTGGTTACCTGGCTCGTAGCCCTGGGTCTGTTTTCTTCTCAGAGAGACCTGAGATCCTCGACATTTCCTAAATTCATGGAAAACCTCGACAGTGTTCAGGACTCCCAAAGAAGGTGGTGGGCGGGAGGGGGAGGAGCATAAGAGAAAAGTAGTGAGTACGGGCCCAAAGACCCATTTCGTGGATTGGGGGAGGGACGGGGAGGCTGTTCCACGAAAATACTGAGAGCATGAGAGCATCCTATGTTTTTTTTTTTTTTTTTTTTTTGAGATAGGGTCTTGCTTTGTCACCTAGGCTGGAGCAGTGGAGCGATCGCGGCTCACTGCAGCCTTGACCTCCTGGGCTCAAAAGATCCTCCCGCTTCAGCCTCCCCAGTAGCCGGGACCACTGGCGCGCGCCACCACGCCTGGCCTTTATTTTATTTTATTTATTATTATTATTTTTTGGTACAGGCGAGGTCCCTCTATTTTGCCCAAGCTGGTATTGAACTCCTGGGCTCAAGCGATCTTCCCGACTTTCAAAGTACTGGGATTACAGGCGTAAGCCATCGTCCCTACTCGCTATATTTTAGTGCATTTCCTCTTTTGAAAGCGCCCCGAGAGAGGCTGCACCCAGGAATGAAGGGAGTGGATTCCAGGCGTTCAGACCCACCTGCGAACAGATCCTGATGCCACTACTAACTAGCTGTGTGACCCTGAGCAAGACACTTAACCTCTCTGATTCTGTTCTTTCATCTGAGGGGGAGCGGGGGGAAATCTGACAATAATACCTACCTCCCAGAGTACAGAGTAGAGAGGATTATAAAGAGATAAAGTTTGTGAAACCTCTGACAAGGGGCCTGACACCCAACTCAATACAAGTCAGTTATCTTCCTCGCATTCCCTCCCACCCCCTGCCGGAACTGAGATGGGGCCCACGGCGGGCTGCGCAGGGCAGAGCTGGAGGGGAGAAGGGCCAGCCTTCCTCCGCCGGGGTGGGCAGAGCCAGAATGGAAGACGTTTGGTCGACCCTGGAGCCTCGGGGTCTGCCTGACATCTCCGGGCTTAAATAACCGTGCGCCTTTGTTATTCGTCAGCAGCAAAGTGGTTCGTTACGCCTGATTGGTCTAATTGCTTTGAAATGGGATATATTATCTATAATTATAGAGCTCTAGGAGAGCCGGCCGGCCTCTCCTTTCATCTTCCCAAGTGCACCCTCACGTCGCGATCACATTAATTTGGGCCATTTGAAAGCGAGGGGGGAGGCTGGGGCTCTCTTCTCCTGCTGATCCTGGTCCTGCTCACCCCCTTCCAAATTTAAAGACACAAGGAAGCCCGGGCCTGGGACGGTAGGGAGAGCAGACAGTGGGGGAAGGGGGGGGGGGTGGGGGCAGAAGCCGGGAGTGGGGCTTGTCAATTTCGCCTTGGCGCCGGGTGAAATCCACTCCACGCGGACTGTACCACCGCACAAGTTGCACCCACTTTGAGGAGGATTTAGCAAGAAGGAGGAAACATTTTCACAAAGAGTTTGTATTTTGACTTCGCTGTTAAAAGGAGGTACCAAAACTCCTGAAAAGCGCAAGTTCTGCCTAGGTCTCCGGAAAGCAGAACGCTGTTTTTCTCCAGGTCTGTGTCGTGGATCTTCAACCAGTAGCTGAAGACTCCCTGGAGTTCTCAGGGCTCGGAGTTTTTCTCTGGAACGCTGTGAAGTCCTCCCGAAGTTAGTGACTCCCAGTTTGCTGAACCTGACTCCCAGCCCCTCACTTCTAGGCGACAGAGGCCAAAAGAGTGGAGATGGCTGGGTCGGGAGGCCCCCTTCGCAGATTGGGAGACCCCGTGACAGTGCTTTCTGTCTGCCCGTCAACCCCCACCCCCTCCCCGGGACAAAATACCTCCTCTCTCTCCCCCTCCGTCGCCCTCCTGGCGATTGGTGAATTCCCACCAAAATAAATCGTTCCGGGTAATCGGTTTTCATAGCACATTCATTCTATTAAAGAGGACTGTTTGGGGCTCGCTAATTGCCGGGGGATCCCACTGAGCTGCACATTTTTAAAAAATGCACGCGGGATTCCTGGGCCGAGGTCACAAAATGCAGTGGAAAGAGAGGGAGGGAGCATAAACAAAAACCCGACGGAGGCGACAACAAATGCCGAAGTGAGAAGTCAGCCTCCAGGCTCTTCCAACCGGTGCAGCAATACCCAGATAGGGATAACCGTCTTTAGGACGGGGTCCTTCTAAAAATTAATCTTTGCACGGGAGTGGTGTATACTTAGCAACACCACCATCCCTGCCTCCATCCCCCCAACCCCCGCAAAATTTTGGGGGAAAAAAAAAACCAGCTAAACCCACCACCAGTTTAGTTGCCCAGAAAGTAGACGAAGGATAATCCATCTTCAGGATCCGAAATGCAGAGGCCCTCTACTTGGGGGCGGGGAGTGCTTTAGGATGCCTGAAAATGAGGGGAGATGGAGCGAGAGGGGAGGGGAGAGAAGTCTAGAGGATGGAAGCGGAGCGCCAGTCCCCGAGCTTTATCTGCTGGGGCCAGCCCTGCCCTTGCCAGGCATGAATTACTGCCCGGCTTTCTCGGCTGCAGCGGCAGCGCAGAGAAATGCCGGGGGTACAAACGCCTCGAGGTTAGAGCTGGCGGCGAGATAACAGGCTCAGCCCCAGGGCCTGCCTGCTCGCTGAACCCCTGGGCCGGGAAATCGGTAAAGTCCTAGACAAAAAATAACTCAGAGAAGTCTCCCTCTCACTGCCCCTGTAACTCGTGGCTTTCCTCCCGCGGGAACAAACAACGCCCTGGGAAACAGGCAGACATTTTATTTCTTTTATCTGACTCCTTTCTCTTGAGACTGCCGGCACCTTTCTTTCTCTCGCAATCCAGGGGCAGAGCAATGGGAAAGCCCCGCGCTTTTCTGACACGGAATTGAGTCTGAACCCCCTTCTCTGCCGATGCACTCTTCTCGCCTAGCAACGTTTACACGCGGTTAACCTGCCGCGCGGGGCGACAGCAGACACGAACCCAGGCCGAACCTATAAAGAAGACACCGTGGCGTTCAGACCCGGCTCGGGAAGCCGAGGGGCTGGCTGCGGGGCCGGTGCTGCGGGGCCAGGCGATTTGCTCCCCGGAGGCAGGGGCGCGACTTCAAGGGCCCGTGCGCCGGGTGCAGCCTTTGATCCGGCCGCCGCTGGCGCCTTAAAACAACATCCTAGTCTGCCTATTAGGCGCGCTGAGGAATCGTGACACATTGTTTATCCCCGCAATTAGCGATGCGGCCCTTTTCAGGCCGCCCGCCCCCGGGCCCCCCGCCCCCCCCCCCCCCCCCGCGGCGGAGTCCAGGCCTTGCTGCGCTCCTCAACTGCGACCGCCGCAAGTTCCACACTAGCCCCCGCTGCACCATGCGGCTTCGCTCTCTGAGTTCAAGCCCCCGCTCAGCCCTAAAGCAGGGGTTCTTAACTGGAGGACTCCACTTGGGACCAGAGCCCCCGAAGTTGTCTGCCCCGTTGCTTGTAATGTGTTTTTGTAGGTGTGCATTTTTCTAGGGAAGAAGTTCTTGGCTGTATCAGATTCTTAAAGAGACCTGGGAGCAAAACATTTGCAGAAGGAGGGCGAGGGCGGAACTAAGCAAAGACTCGAAAAGGCACACTGCTCGCTTTTTAAATGGCCCCAAAAGCAGATAGGCCTCTGTTTCCTCTCCCCCTTTAACCTGGCCACAAAGGGAGATTCTGGCTGGGTGCGGAGGGGGTTGTTCTGACGAGAGTTTGATTAGAACGGGAGCAATAGAAGTTCGCCGTCCTGGAATCGCTTGAACCTGGGAGGCGGAGGTTGGAGTGAACTGAGATCGCGCCATTGCACTCCAGCCTGGGCGACAAGAGCAAAACTCCGTCTCAAAGAAGAGGAAGAGGAAGAAGAAGGAGGAGGAGGAGGAGGAGATGAGGAGGAGAGGAGGAAGAGGAGGATGAGGAGGAGGAGAAAAGAGGAAGAAAAAGAGGAAGAGGAAGAAGAAGAAGAAGAGGAAGAAGAGGAAGATGCTGTTGTTCGCTGTCCTGGCTGGGCTACCAGCAAGGTATTTGCCCTACAGCCTTGCTCAGCCTCAGCGAGCTGAGCTTCAAAATTGGGTCTTAAGGTCTTCTATCCTTGTACCCTCTCGGGCAAACCTCCGGAGGCCCCGGTGCACCGCGCGTCCAGCCGGCCCAACTCGAGCTAGAAGCCCCAACCACTGCCCAGTGCCTGAGTTGCAGTCTTGGGTCCTTTAGAAACCTGGAGATGTGCGTAAAATTCAGATGCCGGTATTCCCGAACTTCCCCAGGCCTCAGCATATCTCGGCGGCCTGTGGACAGATGGGAGGCTACCAATCGCTCCGGCGTCCGCAGCCCGACCCCTGCCGCCAGACCCCGGACGTCTTCCGGATAATAAAGTTCCCGCTCTAATTCATTTTCCCTAATCTGGACGCCCCTAATCTACAGCTTTTATTGCGCCCAGTTAAAAGTCGAGGGAATTCGCTGTCCCTCCGCGCTCGGATAATTACCCCTAAATGGCCACGGCAGCCCCTTGTGTTTCCTGGAGATTAGAACCCCGCAGTCATCAATGGCAGGGCCGAGTGAGCCGCCAATCACCTCCGCTCACTCCCTGAGAGCCGCTGGCCTGGGCCGCAGGAGGAGAGGCCATAAAGCGACAGGCGCAGAAAATGGCCAAGCCCCGACCCCGCTTCAGGCAGATCTTGCATCTCCCCTGACCCCAACTCATTTTTTCTGTCTTTATTATTATTATTATTATTAACAGCAAACATTAAATCACGTTTTCTCCGAAATTGGCAAAAGAAGAGTTCTCAAGTCCCACACTAGAGTCCACCTCCAGGAACTTTCCTCTTTTCCCAGCCCCCTCCCCCAAATGTGCCTCTCCCCTCCAGGATCAGCGGCCCAGAGATAGGGACATGTCATTGTTTCCGAGGACGCGTTGTTTGAGGTCACCTTAAGGCCAGATCGGTGTTTCATTGACGATTCTGTTGGTTTTATTTCAGTAAGTTCTATATCAAAAGGATCTGGCAGCTCCTTTCCCCGCCCGGGCGCTATAGGTGTTGTGACCCTTGGGACAGAAGTTCAGAGCGAGGGTGGGGGGGGGGGAATACACATCGTGTATGAAAACCGACTGCAGATTCTAGATAATCTTACGTATTCTCACATCCTTGGCACTACAGGAAGCTAGCTTCTTCCCGCAAGGTTTACTCCAGCTCTAAGTTAGAGACAAAGGCCCACTTTTACCTCGAGGTAAAGTTTACAAGATTTCAGAACAGGAAGAAAATGAAGGTTTGGTTTTGTTTCGTTTCTTGAAAAGAAGTTAATAGTATGTCTTTCTCCTAGGATAAATAGCCATGCGTATTTTAAAAACTATATATAAAAGGAATGTGTAAGAAATAACCTCAACTCAAATTATTGTGGTAGAAGAAGAGGGGGGGTCAGACAGTGGAGGGGGGCACAGGGAAACCCAGCCACAGACTAAAGAGAAAGGTAAAAGAAGCAGTAGAGGAGAGAAACAAGGACGGGGAAAAAAAGAGGAGCGGAAAAGAGGGCTGAGGAGGGGAGGGGAGGGGAGGAGAGGAGGGCAGAAGAGAAGGAACGAGAACAAGGGAAAATCCCCCGGGAACACAGAAAGATAGAGACCCAGGGGACTCCCGCAGAGAGGGCCTCTTGGGCTTCAGCGCAGAGGAAAGTTTCCCGGGCACCCCCTCTCCTCCCCTGCCCTCCGCCGCCTGGGCCCTGCCCTGCGTGCCCCCAGGCCCAGCGCGCCTCCGGGCGAGTCCCCAGGAGCGCGGCCCAATGGATCGCTCCGGGCCCGCCCCCTCGCGCGCTGATTGGCCGCCGCCCCGCTGGCCTCGCCTTATTAGCAAGTTCTCTGGGGAGCCGCGGTAGGGCCCGGAGCCGGCGAGTGCTCCCGGGAACTCTGCCTGCGCGGCGGCAGCGACCGGAGGCCAGGCCCAGCACGCCGGAGCTGGCCTGCTGGGGAGGGGCGGGAGGCGCGCGCGGGAGGGTCCGCCCGGCCAGGGCCCCGGGCGCTCGCAGAGGCCGGCCGCGCTCCCAGCCCGCCCGGAGCCCATGCCCGGCGGCTGGCCAGTGCTGCGGCAGAAGGGGGGGCCCGGCTCTGCATGGCCCCGGCTGCTGACATGACTTCTTTGCCACTCGGTGTCAAAGTGGAGGACTCCGCCTTCGGCAAGCCGGCGGGGGGAGGCGCGGGCCAGGCCCCCAGCGCCGCCGCGGCCACGGCAGCCGCCATGGGCGCGGACGAGGAGGGGGCCAAGCCCAAAGTGTCCCCTTCGCTCCTGCCCTTCAGCGTGGAGGCGCTCATGGCCGACCACAGGAAGCCGGGGGCCAAGGAGAGCGCCCTGGCGCCCTCCGAGGGCGTGCAGGCGGCGGGTGGCTCGGCGCAGCCACTGGGCGTCCCGCCGGGGTCGCTGGGAGCCCCGGACGCGCCCTCTTCGCCGCGGCCGCTCGGCCATTTCTCGGTGGGGGGACTCCTCAAGCTGCCAGAAGATGCGCTCGTCAAAGCCGAGAGCCCCGAGAAGCCCGAGAGGACCCCGTGGATGCAGAGCCCCCGCTTCTCCCCGCCGCCGGCCAGTGAGTAGCCAGAACCCAGGCGCAGAGGGAGGGGGCCGGGTGGGGGCCGGGTGGGGTGTGGGACCCGAGGGCTCCTGGTGGCCTCCGGCGCCTGCGTACCTGCAGCCGGTGCTAGGGAGCCGTGGGCTGCAAGGCCGGGTCTTGCGCCTCCCTCCACTCCCACCCAGGAAGAAGGTTCCAGACCTCCTCGCCTTGGCCCAGAGACGCTGCGGGTGGGAGTTAACGGATAGGACACCGATGTCTGGGCACCCTGTCCTCCTGCCCCCACCAAACGACCTCAGGGGTCCATGATCCCTCATCTGATCCCAAACTCTGTTTCATCGGCTTCACCCCAGCGGATGAATGTGTGTGGTGCGGTATCTTCCCTGCACCCGGAGTTTCACTTTCTCGCAGTAGGAGCTGGTGTCCCCCAGCCCCTCTTCCCTTTCAAGTACCTCTTTGCCTAGAGGTTCCGAAGCTCCTACAGAATTCTACCTCCCCATGCCCTTTGAGTTTGAGGCAGATAGTTGGTGCTTTGGGCGGATGGATGATTCAGGGGTGGGGACATTCAGGTTCCAGTGGAGGGGGCGGGGCACCAAGTCAATTAGGGGAAGGCGCCCCCGCTAATCCTATGGGAAGCTCCCAAACGTCTAGGACTGAGCCATTAAAGTGGACTCCAGGTGCCCAAGGCGGTTCGCTCCAAGGCCTCACGGCCCCCTGGCTGCTCTACTCAGAGAACACGCTCGGAGATATTTCAGGAGCACGGGAAATTCCCAAGTTTTCCTCGTTTCCTCCGATTATTTTGCTCGGCATAATAGCAGCCAGATTTCAATGGCGTGATGCTGAGGAATGATTTTTATCTGGGGATTAAACGTCTTTGAAAGGCCAGTCCCTCCCTAAGCCTAATGGCCGGAGAAGGTGGCCCCGCTCTGGGTTGTCGCCGCTGAAGGGAGTGACGTTTCTCTCGGCGCCCGCCCCTCGGGCGGCCCGGCGGAAAGCTAGTTGGGGGCCAAGCGCTTCCCGGACTCCCGGTGGCCTCCAGCAGGGAAGAAGCGGGGTGTTAACACGAGATTTCGTTTGACTCACATCCTGGTGGTCTGAAAGTCCAAAGGATCGTTGTGTTTTCTTTGTTTTGTTTTGTTTTTTCTGTTTGTTTGTGGTTGTTTTTTAGAGAGGTGTGAAAAAATGCATACTTAGGCAAAACCCGCGTGGTGAAACATCTTCGATTTGAATTCACTTTCTGCCGGGAAAGCTGCTGCATAGGCAAAGTGTCCTTTCCAACGCTTAGGGCCTTGGGCCCCAAGACCCCGAAGTCAAAGCGATCCCGGCTGTGTTGGGATAATTTGTTCCACATTTTATCCGGGGGCAGTCCCCAGCAGACCCCATCCCCGACCTGCACTAGTCCTGCGCTCTGATGCTTCTTCACTGTCCACCCTTGAGGTTTATTTTGAAGCCAAAAGAAAAAGACAGCTGGGCATGTTGATGTCTGCTGACTATGCCACAGGTTGAGGGGAGAGGCGATCTCAACACTCCCCCCGCAACAACATCAACACACACACACACACACACACACAAACGTTTGAGTGGGGCCAGAGGGCCCTGGCGCCAGGGGTGAACGCGATCCAACAGAGGACTGAGACAATCTAAAGAAAAAGCCCATTAGAATAAAGCAGCCCCTCGTTCTCCGCTCCAGATGACACTTTCTGTTTCTAAGAGGGCTGGCCACAGTGCACCCTCCATGATGGTCTGCGCTGCTCCATCTCTGGTCTGCGGGAACTACTCCTAGAATCCCGTAGGAGCGAAGTGTTCCGGGGAAAGTGTAGAATTTGATTTGGATTCTATGCCACAAAACTGCCTAGCCCCACACTGAAGCACTCCGTGGGCACTGATAAATGTTTGGCCAACGCGTAAAACTAAATGTGCCCTTGGGCTGGGCGCAGGGCCTCTTTCTGCATGTTCGTCAACTGTATTAACATCCACCTTTCCTCTGGATGGCCCTGGGAGGAGGCCCGCCATGAAGGCCTTCCTAAGCCGCCGGGCAGCACAAAGGTGATTTCACATCTTCCCAGCTGTTTAGGCCTAAGATGTGGACATCGAGCCTTCAACGTGGGTATTTTTCTCCTGGAATCTTAGTTTCTTCATTTGCAAAAAGTAGACAGGAACTTCTCCCCTGCGGGGTTGCAATGGGAATTGGAGAAAATATATTTCAAGTGCCTTGCGCGATGCCCGGCACCGAGGCACTTGGCGGCACTCAATATCTGGTATTGTTTGGCTATTATTACTACTTCTTGGGCTGATCATGCTCCAATGCTTCTCTCTTAACCCCTTGCTTTTTTTTTCTTTCGGCCCTCAGGGCGGCTGAGCCCCCCAGCCTGCACCCTCCGCAAACACAAGACGAACCGTAAGCCGCGGACGCCCTTCACCACCGCGCAGCTGCTGGCGCTGGAGCGCAAGTTCCGCCAGAAGCAGTACCTGTCCATCGCCGAGCGCGCGGAGTTCTCCAGCTCGCTCAGCCTCACTGAGACGCAGGTGAAGATATGGTTCCAGAACCGCCGCGCCAAGGCAAAGAGACTACAAGAGGCAGAGCTGGAGAAGCTGAAGATGGCCGCCAAGCCCATGCTGCCACCGGCTGCCTTCGGCCTCTCCTTCCCTCTCGGCGGCCCCGCAGCTGTAGCGGCCGCGGCGGGTGCCTCGCTCTACGGTGCCTCTGGCCCCTTCCAGCGCGCCGCGCTGCCTGTGGCGCCCGTGGGACTCTACACGGCCCATGTGGGCTACAGCATGTACCACCTGACATAGAGGGTCCCAGGTCGCCCACCTGTGGGCCAGCCGATTCCTCCAGCCCTGGTGCTGTACCCCCGACGTGCTCCCCTGCTCGGCACCGCCAGCCGCCTTCCCTTTAACCCTCACACTGCTCCAGTTTCACCTCTTTGCTCCCTGAGTTCACTCTCCGAAGTCTGATCCCTGCCAAAAAGTGGCTGGAAGAGTCCCTTAGTACTCTTCTAGCATTTAGATCTACACTCTCGAGTTAAAGATGGGGAAACTGAGGGCAGAGAGGTTAACAGATTTATCTAAGGTCCCCAGCAGAATTGACAGTTGAACAGAGCTAGAGGCCATGTCTCCTGCATAGCTTTTCCCTGTCCTGACACCAGGCAAGAAAAGCGCAGAGAAATCGGTGTCTGACGATTTTGGAAATGAGAACAATCTCAAAAAAAAAAAAAAAAAAAAAAAAAAAAAAAAAAAAGAAAAGAGAAAAAAAAGACTAGCCAGCCAGGAAGATGAATCCTAGCTTCTTCCATTGGAAAATTTAAGACAAGTTCAACAACAAAACATTTGCTCTGGGGGGCAGGGAAAACACAGATGTGTTGCAAAGGTAGGTTGAAGGGACCTCTCTCTTACCAGTACCAGAAACACAATTGTAAAATTAAAAAAAAAAAAAAACTCTTTCTATTTAACAGTACATTTGTGTGGCTCTCAAACATCCCTTTGGAAGGGATTGTGTGTACTATGTAATATACTGTATATTTGAAATTTTATTATCATTTATATTATAGCTATATTTGTTAAATAAATTAATTTTAAGCTACAAAAATTATCTCTTTACTGATTGAGTCTTTTATTTTAATTTTGCTTCTTGCTATCTCTTTATGTGTACAGTTGCTTTTCAGTTTGACGGTACTTTTACGACAGCAACTTTGAAAGGTGATAACAGGGTATGCAGGGATAGAGGGGGGTGTCTTTTTGAACACCCACGACAGATCTGCATTAGGAAAGTCAAGTGGAGAGTTGAAGTAATTACCTAGGATAATTAGGCTCAATTTTCCAATTCACTTTAAGCTGAAATCGACACTTACTCGGGCAACCTATAACCAACTCTTGCTTTCTTTCTCTCCTTTTAACCTGTCTATGAAAACAAAGCAAATCGCCCAAATGGTTTGATGAGTGTGGACAGCTAATCCAGACAATTCCCACCTCCGCAAATCTGTTTTTCCCACGGGAGGCCAGGTGGGGGATGGAAGCGATTGCGTTGCCTCTCTAAATTACCCCCACTGTAGACGCGGTTTGTGGAACTAATTTTGAGCTGCCAGAATATAAGAACCTTCTCACCCCCTATTCTGGCCGCTAAAAACACAACACAACCTAACAAAGTTTACAGAAAACCCAGGGCCACCTTCCACTCTCGCCTGGAAAGTCCTCTGCAGGAGCCCTGTTTCCAAACCCTCACAAACTCGGTTTTTCTTAAGATCAGTCTTCCAGGAGAATATATTTGCACACGCGCCAAGTTTAGCTTTCCGGGGAATTCTGCAAGGACGCCGAATGCAGAAAATTACCCCCTGATTAAATAAAGCCTATTAAGCTCCAGGCACCGCTCTGTTGTCTTTCGTGTTCGGGCGGCGGCAGACCTGCGCATCCCTCTCCTCCTTCAGCCTCTGTCCCGCGGTGACCCGCTCCTCCAAATTCCACGCAGGATAGCGCCGGACAGTCTGCAGTAAGCCGTTAAGCCGGAGGTCAGTAGACTAAAGATGGTTCGAAACCTGGGTACCTGGCGTTGGACTTGAACAGGGGTGAACAGCTTCACAGATAGAGACGTTAAAAACAGAGCCCCAAGGGCAGCGCGCGGTTTCTAGCCCCAGGACCCTTAGGTCGGTCTAGGAATTCCCAGCGAGCCCAGGGT
Organism: Homo sapiens; assembly: GCF_000001405.40. Lineage (NCBI taxonomy): Eukaryota > Metazoa > Chordata > Mammalia > Primates > Hominidae > Homo > Homo sapiens. The sequence goes on from NC_000004.12 coordinate 4,865,020, forward strand.
TGCGGGAACGCGCCCTGGGCAGGTTCTGCACGGGCGCCGGGCACATTCCGGGGCGTCCTGGGCTTCGGATCCTCCAGCCTCTGCAGCTCGGGCAAAGGTTCTGTCTTCCCTGGCTGGAGCTGCAGTATGAACTTGTTACAACCCCGCTCCTTAAGAAGAAAAGCTTGCTGTGGAGGGCAGTTTCGCTCCTGGGGAGCCCCGGAGCTGTTGCCCTCGGCCTGGGAACTTCTAGAAAAGCACCAGAGCCCGGGTCTGGGCCTTTTCGCCCCCCAAAGGGGAGCTATGCATAACAAGGTCTCAGACTCCCACACCACGCAGCTCTCTAAAGGTGCTTTAGGGCTGAAGTGCCTCGCCGCGTTTTTTTTCTTTTTTCTTTCCTCTATAAATTAAGTAACCCTCGAATGACGGCGCGCAGGACGCCCGGCTCTGGCAAATCTGGGTTCTTTTCTGGAACACGCTAGAGACGTCCTCGTCGTGGGGTTAGTATTGAACTTGGAGTCAGAGAGCCAATGTGGTTCAGTGTGGATCAAGCCCGCCACTTACTATAAAAGATCATATCATCTCTCTGCACCGCCTTTTTCTCGTCTGTGAAATGGGCCTTGGACTCTTCCCCCTACACCCCAGGATTTGGGGGAAGTGTCGACAAGCCCCCGCGCGGGAGGGCACCCAGGGAATACCGGGTGCATCTGACTTTTCTTGGCTTACTGCGCGCCCGCAGCACTGAAGTTTTTTTCCGCGCGTTCGTGATAGGGAAATGGCAGGGCAGGATCGGGTGTCTCCCCCGGCCCCGGCTCCAGGACCTCCTGGCTCCTTGGAGTTTGGCAATTTAGGGTAGAGGCAAATTTAGAGCAACATAATTGCGGTAATGAGCAACGGCTCACCCTCTGCAGACGCGTCGCGGCTCCAGCGAGGCGGTAGCTGCAGGCGAGGCGGGCGCGCCTCCCCGCCCCCTCCCTGCGCCGCAGCCCGGGTGCGAGGGCCCGGCCTCCCTGGGACCCCGGCCCGCGCGCGCCTCCGCCTCTGGCTGCTGGCCTTGGCTAGGGGCTTCCTTCCACTTCTGGGCCTCCGAATCTCCCCATTTTTGTTTCTGTCCGTCTAGCCCATTCTTTGCCCCCCTTTTGTTTCCGCATTCCCTCTCTGAACAGGGTGTGCACACAGAAGGTGCTCGATAATTGTTTGCTAGATCGGAGCGGCACGCTGGTGTGGGGAGAACACCCAGAGCCACAGTCAGCCGGGTCCGGCCGGAAATCGCGGCTGCGCTTCCGGCACTGCTTCTCGTCCATCCCAGTCCTTCGAACTGTGTTCCCTGGTTTATCAACCGAGGGCGGAGTGGGCAGGGGTTTCCTGGGTCTGTTCCTTTACGGACCAATTTCCTTCTCTGGCAAGAAACATGGGATCTACCAGGCGGAGAGGTCGGCCACCTTCCGCGCTGGGAGGTAGTGATGGAGCAGTCTGCACTCACAGCCTACTGTGTGCCGGGAGTTCCCGCTCACGCTGACTCCCAACACACCTAGGAGATTTTTATAGCGCAAAGGACTGCAGCTCAGAGAGGTGACATGGTTTTCCCAAGGTTACACAGTTAATGAAGGACATAGCAGGAATTCCAACACGGATTCCACTCGAGGATCCGGTTTTTCCCGCATTGCCCATCTCCATCTGGTTGAGGGTCACCTGGTGCCTGAGCAGCTCTCCTGCGAAGTGCGCGTCGCGCTGGAAAACGGAGCGCAGAATCCGGGAACTAGTTCTGAATTTAACTCCTTGCGCTCTAACCACGAACAGGCACTGTCCCTTGAGGAATGATAGGGGCGTCTCACCGGCCCTGCACGCTGTGAAAGCGTTTTCGTTTTGTTGGGGAGGAGACGGAAGCCTCATTTTGCAAATTCAGCTTCTGACCACGCAGTCAAGACCAAAGCAGTCCGTGGCGTGGAAGCGGGGCAGAAATGAGGTTACCTGGCGGCAAGGGACCTGGGGCGCCTCGAGCTTTGAGCATAGGTCCGCAGGGCCGGGGCGGTTGGGGACCGGGAGGCTGGGGTGGGGCTGAAGACCTCGCGCTAAGAGCGCCTTACTTTAAGGTTAGTTTCTCGGATCGCTGAACCCGGGGCTGAAGGACCAGATTGAGCAGGAGGCCCAGTGAGGACAGTTACTGGTGAGGCAGGGGCCCCGAGTGCGAATCCTACCGCTGCGCCCTCCTTAGTGACCCAAGGCCGGGAGGTGAGCCCAGCCGGGTCCAGGCCTGCGCCCCGCCTAGAGCCCTCGGGGGCGCAATAGGAAGCGGCGAGGAGAGGCCGCGGCCGCCTTTCAACTCTGCGGCTGGCGCCGGCCTGGCCGGGCCCCCGAGGCCGCGCGGCCTCCAAGGTTCCGTCCCGCCCTCCCAGACGCTCAGCTCGCATCGCCCCACAGTGGAACAGTCCCCCGGCCCCGACGCCGGACTCCCTGGGAAGCCCCCGACCCCCAAGTGCCACCACCAAGTGCCCACTCTCCAGAGCACTCCCAGGCCCCCACTCCAGACTTGCGGAATTTGTTCCGCTCCACTCAACAGCTCCCACGCCTGCCGCGCACTCCGCCCCCTTCCCAGGCCCAGGGGGACCCTGCCTCCACCCCGCCTGCCTCCCCCACAGCGCCCTCCCGCGGCCCTCAGCTCACAGCCAGCTCTCCCAGCGCCTGCTCACTGTAGTTCCGGTGCTGGACGCTGGCCTTGGCTCCCTGCGTTACAAGTAGATCCTCAAGTGCGCACACGCACACGACCAACACACGTCATCCACACGACATACCAACACACACCGAAACAGACACACATGACACTCACATGCAACACACATGTATAACCCATATGCAGACACCAACACACGCGGTACACACAAACGAATCAACACACATCACCCACCACACATACCCAGCACATACACACAAGGCTGACAAACACAAACACAACGCATAAATCAACACGTATCACCAACACACCCAGCCACGCACAACTAATACATGCTAGACACAAAACCAACACACACCCAACACCCACAATCAACTCTCACATCCCACACCCACAAGCCCTAGTTATAGAGGCAACCATACACACTCAAGGCCACTCTCTAACATCTTCCACAGGGGTTCTGGTGACACAGACACATATAATATTGGGAGAAAGGGGGAGGGAGACCCCAGAGATAGACATAGATGGGAGAGAGAAACCAAGGAGGTGCTGTATTGAGAGGCGTTCAGACTCAGGGACTCCAGGGAGGAGGAGCAAAGCCACGCGAGACCTGAGCGGCAGAAGCTCAATACAGCAAGCCAGAAGCTCAGCTCAGAGCACAAGGCGTGAGAGCGCTGGGTGCTCTGCTGTGCTGACACCAGAGGGTAAGCGCGGATTCTGGCTCCACGCACGTGGGGTCAATCCCCGGACACAGACCTTTTACTGGAAGGCCTGGAGAATCGCCTGAGGGAACGCTGGGAGTTCCCCCCCCCACCCGCCCCCGCGCAAGAACAGCCAGTGACTTCAGCTCTCCTTTCTCCCCCTGGGTCCCCTCCTCTGGGACCCCCTTCGGCCCCACCTCGTCCTGTACACCCACCTTCTCCCATCTAGGCAGAGGGTTTCAGAATGCCTTGATCAGACCCAACACCCTACTCATTCTCCACGGACCAAAGCCAGAGATCAGGAATGCCCATCCCACCTCCCCTGGACAGAGAAGGCGGTACTTCAAGAAGCAGTCGCAGACCCTGGTTAGGGCGGGTGTCGAGTCGCCGACCTGGAGTCAGATCATCTACTTATAAATTTTGGTTTTGGTACTTACTGTGTGACTTCGGGCAAGTTCCTTAACTTCACTGAGCCTCACTTTTTCCATATAAAGTGTGGAATCGTCACAATTGCTTCTATTGTTAAGGGAATAAAATGAAACGCTCTGTGAGATGCTTGGCCCCGACAGCAATTAACATTGATTATGAATTCTGCACTTAGACACTTAGATCAATTTCAAAGGCGGGAGGGTTATGTCTGTACCTCCCTGGAAACTCCCAAAGAGTAAGGCCGGCCATTGACTCAGACATGGGGCTCGAATCTAGGTTTCCCCCTCAGGATGAATCTCTGCCCCTAATGCCAGGCTCGCAGGGGCTAGCGCACCAGCGGGGTGCAATAAAGATCGGCCTTTGTGTGTGTGTGGTGGGGGGGAGGAGTGGGGGGTAGGTAGTTAAAAGCGAATTCAAAAGCCCGCCCTCAATTTGGGGCCTGATTAGGGGCAGATGGAAGGAAGGGTCCCCGACCCTACGTGGCAGCCTTTGTTGCACATTTTACAGGCGAGGAGACAGTGGTGGGATCCAAGCCCGCTGCTGTGGGACCTCAGGAGTTGCTTTCTCCTTCACCAGCTGGGTGCAGATTTTGATGATGCACAGGGCGCGGCCTGACAGTGCGTGTGTGCGCCCACCGGGCGCTGCTGCCAGAGTTTGCGGGGTTCAGGGAGCGGGAGGAGGGTCTGAGAGACCCCAAAGCCTCCCCTTTGCGAGACCACTCCTTGCTTCCCCCGCCTGGCGCTTTCCATAACCCTCTGCGGCGCCCTGCCTCTTTGTTGCCCCTTAGATGAGCTGCCCCAAGGGCGGGCTGGACTCTAGTGCTTTGAGTCGCTGTTTCTCTGACGATGCTGCTTTTAAAAAGAAAACCCCGTTCCCTCTCTGATGACTCTCGTGGCACCCGGGTGGCAGCAGGGGCTTCTCCACCGGAGAAACAGCCACATCGACTAAAAGGGAATGTGTGAGGCAGGCTGAGACCTTGGGTGGGGCCCCCCACCTCTCGAGTTTTCCAAGACTCAGGTTCCATCTCTGTTAAATGGACACAATCCTGACCCCTGGCAGGTCCTGAAAGAGTAGAAGGGAAGGGGTTCTCCACGGGCTGTACCATCACTTGCGTCCCCAGTTCGGTGATGGTGGTGAGGTCATCACAGTTGTTCCGCCTGCGGTGACTGCAGCTGACATGTATGCGCGCTTGCCTATGGATCACAACCCTTAGAATCTAAGTTTTCCACGCGGGTTATCCCAACGAATCCTCACTACCAGGTGGGCACGTGCCATTGTGACCCGTGTCATAGACTGAAGCATAGAGAGTTGAATGACTCAGACAAGATCACACAGCTAGTGAGAGTGAAACAGAGCTTCCAACTCAGACAGCCGGTGCCACCATCTGGCGCCCCTAAATCTCAGTTCCCTGGTCCGCGGAATGGGAACACTTTCGGGCTGGTGCAGAGGAAACTATGGGTGACTCCAAAGGCAGCGCGCGGTAAGAACTCCGGGTGAGAAGGGGAGCGCGCGAGGAGAGCGCCAAGCGTAGCGCGGAGCATAGAGGCAGGATGGTGACCTGAGCGCTCTTTGCTGGCCGGCTCTGCTCTCCGCAGCGCCATTGGAATTCCTTACTCTCCAGTCCCCCGAGGGTGTGTGTGGGTGAGGGGAGGTCCCTGAGGCGGAAGGGATGAGCGGAGTGGAAGCGGAGGAGAGTGTTCTTGCTCTTGGAAAGTGTCAGAAAGTGCCTGTGCGCCACTCTGGACCCGGAATTAAGACACCTTCACCTCTTTTAATCTTCTCCCTATGACGCAGGCACTCTTATTAATCTGTTTCAAGTGAGAAAACCGAGGCACAGAGAGCGTATGTGACTTGCCAAATGTCACATAGGTGTCTAAGACCCGGCCTGTATTTCCCACCAACCTCTGCCGCTGCTTCTGGCATGAATGCAGAAAGCAGCCAACAGCCGACCGGCAACTGGGAAGCAAGCGCCCAGGCCAGAGCCGGTTCCTATACTTGGCAGAATTCCCCTTTGGCCATGGTCAAAGTTGACCAAGTTTGCCTCACTCTAGATGCTGGCTGAATCCCTAAACCCACACTGGACTGGGAGAAACTGCTCTGAGCGTTACCTGAGTGATGCTCCATTGTCACCAATGGGCCAACATCTTTCTTTACGGATGACATACTGAGGCTCAAAGGGGGTTCGTGATTTGGCCGAGATCCGGCAGAAAGGCTGGACAGACCCGGCATCCCCAATTTTAGTCCAGCTTCCTTAAATTAATTCATTCGGCGGGGTTGAACAAGACCAGCACACTAAGAAATAACGAATTCGGGTAGAGCTGAATGCTTCTAAGGGGAAAAGTAACAAGACGGGGGCAGGAAGCACAGTCGGAGCCTATTTTTGGCGGAGCGGTCAAGGCAGGCCTCTCGGCGGAGGCGACTTAAGGGTTGAGACTTGAAGGGTGAGGTGGAGCCGTAGTTTGAAGAAGGAATCTCCCATTGAGAGGGGTCGGCAAATGCAAAAGCCCCAAGGAGAGCTGAGGCCGGCGCGGCTGGAACCGGCCTTAGGCGAGTTTGGAGTAGGCTTAGCGTTTTGTGATGCTCTGGCGGCCACTTGGAGGAGAAAGATGGGGGCGAGGTAGAAGGGGCCGCGTGCCCTTGTAGGAGAGGGAAGTGTCAATGGCCGGGACCAGGGGTGGCTGCCTGAGACGTGCCTCGTCTTTGGTGATTCCCCTACCCCCAAATCAGAGAGGGTTCCGGAAGAAACTTCGCAGCCTTGCAGAGTGAAGCATCGCCGGGACCCAAGGATGTTTCTCTTCCCTACGGAGCTCACCCGGATTCCTTGGCGCCCAGCTGCGGCCCCGGAGTCCCCGAACTCGGCTGTGCCAGCCCGGGGCGGGGCCAGCTGAACCTCAGTTGTGGGGCGGAGTCCGTTGCGGACACCCTCACCCCCCGGGCAACCGCAGCTCCCAACTCCGCTGGCTTTCCCCTCCCTCTGACACCCTGCGCGGCTCCTGCGACCCAGGTGCGTGCCAGCTGTAGGAGCCTGCTCCGCCTGCCCTCCTGGAACGCAGTCATCCTCCAGGCCCTGCCCGCGCCCATTTCGCGGCCCAGGAAACTGAGGTGTGGAAGCCTGTGAAGGGAGGGACTGCTACCTATCGATTCGTACCGGATCCAGACCCTGTGCTAAACGCTCGGCGTGCATGGTGCCCCTTAATCCTCACAAAAGTCGAGCGACTTAGGGAGGAATATTATCCCATTGCACACACGAGCACACTGCTGCGCAGAGGCACGAAGGTACCTGCCCAGGGTCTCAGCTAGTCCCATTTCCAACCCAGGAAGGCAAGGGAGCAACCCGGGAAGCAAAATGTAAGGAGACACTTTCAGGGTTGTGCAAGTGTGGGGTGGGCACCCGGGGAGAAGGGAGGAGGGATGAACTATCCAGAGAGGAAGGCACGCCCGGCCCCGACTTATCGGAATAATTGTCTCCATTCCGCTTCGGCGGTGTCTGTTGTGTCCATTGAACAGAAGCAGAACGTGAGTCCGTATCTGCCCCTCGCCACCGCCACCAGCACCTGGGATTTGACTCACACTTCAATTCCTGCCCTAGGAATTGATGCCAGCGCCCAGTATGGCCCCGCGTGGGGAATCGAGCGCCCCATCCCTCGGTGAGGGCTTACTCTGAGCCTGAGTCTGTGGCAGGCCCCCCCATAGCTACTGTCTGCCTTAATCCACGCCAAGGCCTCTAAAGGAAAACATTGCCTTGGTTCTTTTTCACAGACGTGTCAACTGTGGACCAGAGATGTCAAGCCACGTGCCCAAGGTCACCAAGCAGTTTCTGGGTGAGCCCTCAGGGAATCCTAAATCCCGACCCAAACCCGGGATTTCCCCTCGCCCTCGGGGCCTCCAAGGGGAGCTGCGAGAGGCGGGGACGCAAGGAGGCGCTGGGACCAGTTTGCTCTGAGTGCTCCTGCTCCGGACTGCTCCTTGGAGAGGCGGGGCCTTGGGCAGCAGAATCCCAAGCTCCTCCCGGTGGGAAATCCGGCAGCTCCCGTCTGAGGGTAGGGCCAGCAGACCACCTGGCCCAGTAAACTCCACCGGCTTCGGGGGTGGGGAGTTGGGGCAGGTGCGCCCCAGGGGCTCGGTATACAAAGCCATGCCTGAGCCACGTCCTTAATTTCCAGGAGGAGAGCCCTGGATTTCCTGACAGCCGGGCTGGGGGAGGCAGGGGAAGCAGGCGGAGACCCCTAAGAGTACTTCTTCCTGCCCCTCCATTTCTTCCCTAAGTTTATTCTTCCTTTATTGTCTGTCTTTTCCCTCATTTTATTTTAATACAATGACTATAATTTCTTATATTAAAAGGTGTGGCGTGGGCAGTGGTTCCCGGGACTCTGGCTCATTCAGCCACTCCTCCACATGCAGGGTCAGGGTGAGGTGCTGAGGCCCCTGCTGTGCTGGGAAAGGGTCCCTGCCCCGCAGCAGCGCAGGATCTGAGTGGAAACTGGTGGCACTAAGAAGGAACGGAAAAATAACACTACCAAGCCAGGCAGTACATAAAACAGAGCGGCGAGATAGCGATCGGGGTGGGGGTTTTCCCGAAGAGGGAACATGGGGGACATTTGAATGGAATAAAGGAAGTCCAGGCCACGGGACCAGCAAATGCAAGGTTCCCCAAGTCAACGAGTGGGCAACATTGTGAGGCTGTGACCAGTCTTCAACCTTCAGATGACCCTGGCATGATTTGCCTCGCTGAAGGGACTCTGTGCTGTTCATGTGAATTCACAGACCTTGTCTCCTCTGGCCTTCATCATCTAGCAGGCAGCAGGGACGGGTTCTCACTGTGCCCATTTTCTAGATAAGTGAAGTGAGGCTCTGTGACCTGTCCGTGAGTGAGGAGGTCAATCTGGGATGAGAAAGCAGGCCTTGGTCATTCCAGGACACCCAGCTGACTCCAGGCAAACAGGTTTAGGAGAGCGCTGAGGTCTATGGCTGCATCTCACCAGCACCTTCATTCCAGGAGGAACAGGGCGGTGGTTTGGATGAGCCGCAAGAAATGTTCCAGAGCATGGCGCACACAGAACACATCACCCTCTTGCTGAGAGAGAGGCCCCTGGAGGAGATCAGGAACTGTTGGTTTCTGCGGGATCATGAGCTGTTGGTTTCGGAAGGGCGTTGATCTCAGGGGGTCTTTCTTTTTCCTGTATATGGTCTGCCCTACCTGGGTGGGGTTCCAAAGATGTTTGGGTCCTCGTTCCTTCTGGGAGAAAGCACCTGCCTCTGGGGTCCATTCACAGTCAGGTGGGACCAGCGTGCACCTGGCCAGGCTCACCGGGATTGTGTGGGGTCTCTGAAGTCATTTACCTGAATGAACCCCTGACCACTGCTTGGGGAGTGGAAGGGCCCAGTCTGATTTCATTCCCGCATGCTGGCTTCATGGGCGTGGGGCCTGCACTCAGAAGGGTGCCACGCTTGGGGTGTAGTGCTGCAGTCACTATCTTGGAGTTCTTAGTGATTTTTATCTTTGAATTTATGCATTATAAGTGATGTTTGATGGGACAATGGAGTGTGTTCTGGGCACTTAGACCTGCCTCAAATGCCTCCCTGGGACAATTCTTGGCTGCTTGCTTTCCACTCCCTGGGAAGCCACCCCCTGCCCAGCCTCCAGCTCCCTGTCCCCAGTGTGACTGCTGCTGCCTTCCACCTGGCAGGGGCCTGGGTGCCAGTGTGAGGAGAGTCAGGGCTCAATGTTCATACCCCTGGCATCACCAGGTGAGGCATGGTGGGCACTGACCGTTCTTGCCCTGGGCTGGCAGTGACATATGTTTCATTGGCAACGTGGGTAAGGGTGAACCTTTCACCCAGCCCTGATCCAGGTACCGAGCATATCCTAGCACTGAAATTGCAATGCCTTTGGAGGTTACCCATCTGCCATGGTTTGGGGCAGTGGCCTGAGGGAAGAGGAGGTAGATGCTTGACTTGACTTCTTCACCCTGGGTCAAATTTGTCAGCTGGTGGAGAGCCCTGTGCTCCCATGCCAAGTCACTGTTTGGGGCCCCTAGGTGCCTGCAACAGTCTGCACTCCCTTGCGAATATCCCTGAGAATGCATGAGTGAGTGTGGCGTTAAATAGGAAATTTAAAAACAACAACAACAAAAATCATGACAGGTCAAGAGCAAGACCACAAAGAAAGGAAAAAGCTTTACATGAGAATACTTTTAGCAATGCTTCCCCCCACTACTTTAAAACAGAAGACCTGCATTTTCCTATTGTAGTGGACCCTACTGATTATGTAGCTGAATCCTGCCCCCACGTACTGGGTGTCTTGAACTGGTCAGCAGGGCTGAGCCACGAGAGGTCTGGGTACAGGCAAGAGCAACCTCTCAGCCAATAAACATGTCTTCATAAAATAGGATGCCTCCCTTCCTCTGGGACCCTAGCTTTACAAGGAGACACACTTGGCAGCATGCCAGCAGGAAATGCTGCCTGGTCAGGGCTGACATACCTGCAGCAGGGACTCTGGAAGTCCCAGGCTCGGAATCAGAGAGCTGGCAGGGCATGAAAACAGCCATGGGTACATGTCTTGAGGGGCCACCGGAGGACTCTGAGGTTAAGAGGAGTTGGTGACAGCATTACACAAGGAGGTGGAGCTGAGTGGGATAGGGCACTCACGTGGTCTGGTCCAATTTCAGCCTCTTGCTTCACAAATCTACCCAGAGAAGGGACGGCACCCCAACCCCAGTTCCTTCTGAAGTCATCGAGGGAGGAAAGCATCTTCTAGCTGGAAGCGATTCTCAAATCCCCCAACTTGAAGAATCCAAGCGCCTCTTTATTTGCACCTTTTCCAAGATCACATGGGGTCCTCTGTAGCTCCCGGCGTTACTTCTCTTACTCCTAGCACTCATCATCCCTAGACGTCATCTATTGTTTCCTGTCTCTTTTAGCCCCACTGGAATGTGCAGGGGCTTCCCAGTTTCACTCATTGCTGTGACCCTGTGAGTCCTTAGGGCTGGTACATGGGGCAGCCCAGCAATGTTTGTTGAGTGAATAAGTGAAACCAATCTCTGCTCTGATGCTTTCTTGTACGTTTCCGGGTATGGGGCACTCACCACCTTGGGGAAACAGTTAATTTTTCTGTCTATCTATCCACCTATTCAGTTAGCATTTATCTTACCCATAATGAGCACCAACCACTTATTGAGCACCAACTATGTACCCAGGACCTGGGCTAGTGCTGGGGACACACTGGCAAAGAGGGACAAAAGCAAGGTCTCTGCCCTTATGGAGGCTGGAGCTTAGGTGAGACAGATATTAACTAAAGATTATGAAAATACACTTCAAATGTTCGTCTTCGTAAGTGACACTGTGCTGGGAGAAAACTCAACATATATTATATTATTTAATAATCACCTTGGACATGAGGTCACCACAGTACATGAAGACATTCTTACCCCTGTTTTATGAGAAGGAACACCAAGGCCAGAGAGGAGGAAACTGAAGTTCAGAGAAGGCAGGTCACACAGAGGGAGCTGAGCTGCAGAAGCTTCTTTTTTTATTACAAATTTTTATTTTACTTTAAGTTCCGGGATACATGTGCAGAACGTGCAGGTTTGTTACCTAGGTATATGTGTGCCACGGTGGTTTGCTGCATTTATCAGCCCATCGCCTAGGTGTTAAGCCTCACATACATTAGTTATTTGTCCTGGTACTTTCCCTTCCCGGGCTGCCCCCCTGCCATCGAATCTTCTTGATGACTTATTTTATTTTTTGAGACGGAGTCTCGCTCTGTCACCCAGGCTAGAGTTCAGTGGCGCCATCTCTGTTCACTGCAACCTCTGCCTCCCGGGTTCAAGTGATTCTCTTGCCTCAGCCTCCCCAGTAGCTGGGATTACCGGCGCCCACCACCACGCCCATCTAATTTTTTTTTTTTTTTTTTTTTTGCATTTTTAGTAGAGACAGGATTTCTCCACGTTGGCCAGGCTGGTCTCGAACTCCTGACCTCAAGTGATCCTCCCGCCTCGGCCTCCTAAAGTGCTGGAATTACAGGCATGAGCCATCATGCCCAGCCAATGACTCATTTTGTAGATGGGGAAACAGAGGCTCAGAAAGCTTAGAGAACTTTTCTGAGGTCACACAGCTATTGAATATAACAGCCATAGTCTGAACCTTGTCTGGTTGACTTTGAGGCCTGGCTCTATACTATCCCTTGTCCTCCTAAGTCTTTTCTTTTGCTAAATGTTCCCCTTCCTCCAGTGTCCCTTACCCTGGCCCGCAAGTCCCTACAGGATGTAGCTCCCCTGCCTCTTGTGACTTCAATGACTGATGCCATTGAGTGATTCTGGCTGTCTCTCCAGCACAGTGCACACATCCCTGCCGCAGGGCCTTTGAACTTGCTGTTCCCTCTTCCTGGAACGCTGTGCCCTGGTTATTTGTGTGATTCTTTCTGTCCCTTTTTTACCTGGCTCAAGTACCTGCTCGGTGGCTCAGAGAAGCCTTTCCTGACCCCTTGCCTAAAATTGTGCTGTTGTGAGTCTTTACGATCCCTCCTCACCTTGCTTTGTTTTTCTCCATTTAAACCACTCCATGGCAGCAGAGGTCATGCTTACACGTTTGTTTATTCTTTATCTGTCCCTCACTAGGCTCTGGGCTCCGTGAGGGCAGTGGCTTCATCTGTGTAATTCCCTGATCTTCCCAGCACCAGGAACAGCGCCCAGCACGCAGTAGGACTTTGATATTTGTTAAGTGAATGAAGGATTTTTTTTTTTTTTTTTTGAGACAGAATCTTGCTCTGTCACCCAAGCTAGAGTGCAGTGGCGTGATCCCGGCTCACTGCAACCTGTGCCTCCCGGATAGGGTTCAAGCAATTCTCCTGCTTCAGCTTCCCAAGTAGCTGGGATCACAAGCACATGACACCGGGCCCAGCTAATTTTTTTATTTTTTAGTAGAGACGAGATTTCACCATGTTGTTCAGGCTGGTCTCGAACTCCTGGCCTACGTCAAGTAGGTCTGCCTGCCTCAGCCTCCCAAAGTGTTGGGATTACAGGTGTGAGCCACTGCTCCTGGCCTGAAGGATTTCTGTCCTTGTTCTGCACAATAGGAGCCTGAGGCTTGGAGGAGCCTCAGGATGGCAAACTGGGCCCTGCTGAGCTCTGAGCCCAGCTCTAGGGCCTGTCCTTCCTGCCATCAATACTCGGAGGAGGCCCCACGGAACCCAGGGAGGCCCAGGAGGCATGGAGGTGGGTGCCGAGAAGTCAGCAGCCTCACCCTTGACAGCTGGCCATGGCAGTCAAGTCCCTGGAACCTGGATTTGGGGGAAAATGATAAAGGTGAAAAAGTTGGCCCTCATTTCCATGTAGGCCTGCCAGCTCCACGAATATCTTGCTACTTACCTGTCCCGACCAGACACAGGACACTTCAAGATTCCAAGAGATGGACCGGCTCAGGGTGATGGGGCTTCCGGGGCTGGTGCTGAAGGGAAGTGCCAATCTCTGAGGACTTCCATAAGCCAGAATGTTTATTTTCTAGTTCAATCCCCACAGTGATCCAAGAAGTTGGAATCAATACCACCTCCCCTTGGCTCTGAGATGGTGTGTGAGGACCCACAATTCCCCTTCTTTTCCTTCCATTTGGGAAACTTCTCTCAATTTTCCTAAAGGTTTACGTTTTATGGTGTGAGAGGAAGTATGAACACAGGAACTGGCTGAGTCTGGGGGCTCAGGAGCCAGGAAGCTTGAGTTCAAATCCTGGCCCCTCACTCCCTGGCTGTGTGACCTTTGGTGGATTTCTGAACCCCGTTAAGTGATCACGATCAGTTTTTTCATCTGGATGATGGGCTGTAATAACTCCTGCCTCTTAGGATTGTTCTGAGGATCAAATGAGTTGATGCACGTGATGTGCTTAGAACAGTGCCAGGGACTTAGTGAGGCTGAGATAAGCTGTCTCTCGTGGGATTCAGAAGCCGGAAGCCCTGAGGGTTCTTTCCTGTCCTCCCACCCTACAGAGCCAGGGTAGGAGCAGAAAAGAGGAGGCAAGGAAACACTGGAAGAAAAGATATACAGATAGTACCCTCACCTGCTCCCTCACCTTGTAAACCTCGTCACAAACCAGTGAGCTTGACAAGGCAGGGGTGTGATTCCCTTTAGCCAGATGAGGAAGCCACAGCCCGGAAAGATGGAAGGATTTGTCCAAGATTGCACGTGAGGGATAGGCCAGAATCGGAATCAGACATTTGGATTCCGGGGCCAGTGCTATATTCTGGTCACATTTGCACATGGCACCGCTTTTCCTTGGATCTGCCTTCTGAATGGCAATGGACTGATCATGACTCAGATGAGCTAGAACCTGAAGACACGATAGGGAGTTGGACCCTGTTTTACTGCTAATCCTAGGTCAGAGCACAGCCACTGAACTCCAAGGCTTTTCTAGAAGCTTTCAGCAGGCACTATCAGTCTGTAATAGCCGTGAGATATGTATGGACAAGGAGTTCCAAGAAATCCTCAAAATGTAGGTGGACGGATGAAATTCCACTTGGACACAATTGTGGTAAAAGTCATTTAAGTAATTAGCGTCTGAGTACTTTTCTGTATATGTGGATGGGGGAAAGGAAGAGTAATTTCTGTTTGCTAAGTAACTAGCAGGTTCTCCAAGTCTGTTCCTTAATCAATTAATTAATTTTTTTTGAGACACGGTCTTGCCCTGTCGCCCAGTCTGGAGTGTGGTAGCACAATCATGGCTCACTGCAGCCTGGACTTCCCAGGCTCAGGTGATTCTCCCATCTCAGCCTCCCGAGTAGCTGAGACTACAGGCACGTGCCACCACACCTGGCTAATTGTTGTATTTTTATGTAGAGACAAGGCTTCATCATGTTACCCAGGCTGATCTTGAACTCCTGGGCTCAAGCAATCCCTCCGCCTTGGCCTCCCAAAGTGCTGGGATTACAGGCATGAGCCACTGCACCCAGCCTTGTTCCTTAATTTACTACTCACATCAATAGCTAGGGAAATGAATGTCTGGTTCCAGTTTTTCAGGGAATCCTGCAGCCCAGTGAGAATGAGTCAGTTGCTCAGGATCACACAGTTAATAAACCAGTATCTGGAATTCAAATTAAGTTCTGTGTGTCTCTAAAGCACATGCCGTTTCAATCCACTCACGCTGAGGGACCTACGCTTGCATAAGTGCCTTTTTAACACATAAATAAGCTCTAAAGGCAGTGTGGAAAGTGGTTGCAAAAATATAAATCAAATAATATGCTTAGAGGAAGAACAAAGAATGTTAACTGAAAAAAATAGCAAACAATGAACAAACTCTGAACCCTCTCTTGGTGTTGATGACTTTCACTGGAGATCATAAGGAAATAGAAACTCTTAAAACCAGTCATCGGACTTGTTAATAATGGGCTCGTAGGAGAATGCTAATGAAATGTGATGAGTTTTTTTCTTGTTAAAATCTCATTTCAAATAACTCCGTTCGTCATCCATTTTTTACAAGGAACGAAAACAAATGTTTTCCAAAGCTTCAAACCAAAATCTCTGTGTGGGTTTCTTGTTTTGAGCCAAATATTCTGTGTCTTTTCCCAGCTGGGAATTCCCTCCCCATCTTTGTTGGTCCAAGTCCTATGTGTCCTGTGGGTCCAACTCCTCCCTCCACCGTCCTCTGACAGAGAGTCAAAGTCCTGGGTTCAAATCCAGTATCCACCCCCCCTTTTTTTAATTAAAATTTATTTTTTGTTTTAATATAAACAGTTTTTAAATATATTTCCCCTGTAAAGGGATACATATGTTTATAAAGCCTGTTTCCACTTCTCCCTAGAGGTTATTTTTAAAAGTTGTTTGTAAAATTAATTTTGATTTTTTTAATTAAAGAAGTCATATATCATTTTAAAGGTCAAATGGTTTTCAACAGCATATAATGAAAAAGAGCAGCGCCACCCTGTGCCTGCCCAGACCAAATATTTTCCCCAGATGGAGCATTTTCAACCTTTAGTTATTTCTTCTGGCATTTTCTTACCTCTTTCTAAATCACCTCTCTGCACTGATAATCCTTGATTTTTTAGTATTAAATATTATTGATGGACTTTCTGTTACGAAGATGAAGATTAGCTCTTATGCTGCTTTCCCAAGTACCCTCTCACCATTCTCATAAGGGTATCATTTTTTGTTAGATCAATATTCTGTGGTTACTATTATGACCACATAAATAGTGTCCGTAGTTATGCCACATAATATGCTTTAATTACATTTCCTGTCTTGTATAACCTTTCTTTCTGGAAGTTGATAATTGCCTTTATGCTTTCTTTAGTTACCTATGTGCTTGTCATTAATTTCACCTCTTCACTCTCTCAGAAATGGAGAACTATTCTGAGCAAATTTACACACGCCAGGTAACATCCCCATTCCCTTTCTCCTCTCGGAGACACTTCTCTTGGAGAACGTTGCCCTCCTACCACTGGTTGTCCTGGAAGCCATCAAACAGCTGTCAACCCTGGACTTCCCTGCTCCGTCATCTGAGAAGTCCCCTTTGCCCATTTCCTGAGTTGGAGCCCTGATTTCCTGGGTTTCAGGCCTTCCTTTTGCTTCATTGATTTCCTTTCTTGGAGCATCTCCTTCAGTAGCTTCCTGAGAGAAGCTGCATGGAAGGTAACATTTTCAAAGTTTTGCATGTCTGAGATTGTCTTTATTCTCCTCTTACATTTCAGTGATAGTTTGCTTGGATGTAGCATTGTACCTCCTCCAACCGTGGAACCATTTCTCTGTGATCTTGTTTCCAGCTATTGATAGTCTGATGTCATTCTAATTCTTATTTTCTTTCCCTGTGGGGTTTTGGATTCTTTTCCTTATCTCTGTTGCTTGGGAATTTCATCATCCTGTGCCTTGGTGTGGTTTTATTTTGTTGTTTGTGCTGGGCCCAAGTGAATCCTTTCAATCTGGAAACCTGTGGCCTTCAGTTGCAAGAAAGTACAGGTTAAGCATCCCTAATCTTAAAATCTGAAATCGGAAATGCTCCAAGATCTGAAATGTCTTGAGAGTGGACATGATGTCACAAGTGGAAAATTCCACATCTGATCTCATGTGACATGTCACAGTCAAAATACTGGTGCACAACACATCGTTTATTTCATATCCCCAAAGGAAAAAAAGGCCTTCTCAGCCCGCTTCAGCAGTGATGTATCTTTTCCACGCACATCCAGGTTCCCTCTGCCCCTCAAGCACTCACACAGAGAATAAAATAGCACTTTCACAGGCTGAGGCACCAGTAACACATTCCCCACTATGCCCCACATGAAGCCAAGATCTACCTGCATTACTCACTTGGTTCTTTTTCTTATTCTCTGCTGTGTGGTGTAAAGTTATTGATTAAGGCCAGGAGCGGTGGCTCACACCTGTAATCCCAGCACTTTGGGAGGCTGAGGCGGGTGGATCACCTGAGGTCAGGAGGCCGAGACCAGCCTGGCCAACATGGTGGAATCTCATCTCTATTAAAAATACAAAAATTAGCTGAGTGTGGTTGCGGGCACCAGTAATCCCAGCTACTCTGGAGGCTGAGGCAGGAGAATTGCTTGAGCCTGTGAGGCGGAGGTTGCAGTGAGCCGAGATAGTGCCACTGCACTCCAGCCTGGGCAACAAGAGTGAGACTCCATCTGAAAAATAAATAAATTAATTACATTAAATAAAAATAAATAAATAAATAAAGTTATTGATTAAAATTTTAAAGGCCTGCTGATACTCCCATGGGCTAAAAAAAAAAAAAAAAAAAAGAAGTGATAAGAAAAAAAGGAAGCATTTGTGTTTATCTATAACATGGAAAGTCAAGCTGTTGGAGAAGCCGGACAGTGCTGCAGATGTAAAACATCAGATGGAAGAGCTCAGTGTTGGAATGACCATGGCACATGACCTGAAGAAACAGAAGGATGAACTGTCAAAGTACTATGCCGCAAGAAACGAACAGAAGTTAATGAAACTAGAAAAAAACTGCGTAAAGCTAAAAATGAAGATCTCAGCTGTGTACTGAGAGTGACCCCGTCAGTGTTGTATGATGGTACCCTGATCATTAAATAAGCAAGGATCAGTCAAGCTGAACAAAAAATTGAAGGAAACTGTGAATATTCAACAGGCTGGATGCAGAAATTTAAGAAAAGACAACATTAAGCTGAGCTCAGTGGCTCATGCCTGTAATCCTAACACTTTGAGAAGCTGAGGAGAAAGTGTTGCTTGAGCTCAGGAGTGTGAGTCAGCCTGGGCAACATAGTGAGACCTCGTCTATACAAAACATGTTTTTCTAAGATTTTTTATTTCCACTGTATTTTTATTTCACATCATCCCAGATTCTTTTTATCTCCTTAAAACACTGACTTACAAGATAATTTAAATATTTTTGTTAAAGCAGTTACGGTCAATGCCCCACTGTGTCTGCAATGAAAAAATACATATCCTGAATATTTGGGGATGAGATTTCTGTTTTGATTTTACTCCAGAAAAACCAATTACTATACAAAACTTTTTAAAAATTAGCCAGGTATGGTATGTGCCTATAGTCCTAGCTACTTAGGAGGCTGAGGTGGAAGGAAGGCTTGAGCCCAGCAGGTTGAAGCTGCAGTCAACCATGATTGCACCACTACAATCCAGGCCAGGTGAGAGAGTGAGACCCTGCCTGTCTCAAAGAAGAAAAGAAAAAATACCAAAATTAGCTGGGCGTAGTGGCTCTCACCTGTCGTCCTAGCTACTCAGGTGGCTGAGGCAGGAGAATCACTTAAACCTGAGAGGCGGAGGTTGCAGTGAGCCCAGATCACGCCACTGCACTTCAGCCTGGAGACAGAGCGTGACTCCTTCTGGAAAAAAACAAAAACAAACAAACAAACAAAAAAAAAAAGGAAAGAAAATAAAAGAAAATTAAAGACAGCATTAAATTCTTAAAGATTTGTGGTGATAAAACATTTGCTGATCAAGAAGCAGTGAGGAAATTCATTAATGAGTTTGCCAAGTTCATCACTGATAAAACTCTACAGACACAAGAGCAACTCTACGACACTGATGAAACATCACTGTTTTGCTGAGCTTGCCCCAGAAAGACACTGACTACAGCTGATGAGACAGCCCCTGTGGGAATGAAGGATGTCAGGGGCAGAACGACGGTGCTGGGATGTGCTAATGCAGCAGGCACGCATAAGTTTGAGCTTGCTGTGATGGGCAAACACTTGCACCCTCACTGTTTTCATGGAGTAAATTTCTTACCAGTCTAATTGTTATACTAACAAAAATGCATGCAGTACCAATTCTGATTGATTTCACAAACATTTTGTTTTTTAAAAACTCGATTTAATTTAGTTTAAAAAAATAGAGACAGGGTCTCATTATGTTGCTCAGGCTCGTCTTGAACTCCTGGGTTCAAGCAATCCTCCTGCCTCAACCTCCCAAAATGTTGAGATTACAGGTGTGAGCCACTGTGCCCGGCCTATTTCACAAACATTTTGTACCAGTGACTTGTGCTCAGGGAAGCTGAGCTAGATATGACTGCAAGATTTTCTTATTCCTTTTATTTTATTTTATTTTAATTTTTTAGAGACAAGGTGTCTCTCTGTCACCCGTGCTGAAGTGCAGTGGTGTTATCCTAGCTCACTGCAGTCTTGAACTCCTAGACTCAAGTGATCCTTCCACCTCAGCTTCTCAAGTAGCTAGGGCTACAGCTAATTTTTAAGTTTTTTGTAAAGACAAGATCTCATTATGTTGCCCAGGCTGATCTCAAACTCCTGGGCTCAAGCACTTCTCCCGCCTTGGCCTTCCAAAGTGCTGGAATTACAGGCATGAGGCACAAAACCTGGCCAGGTTTTGTTATTCCTTGACAACAGTTCTGCTCATCTTTCAGCTGAGATTCTCATAAAAAATGCTTATGCCATGTACTTTCCCCAAATGTGACTTCATTAATTCAGTCATGTGACCAGGTTATCCTTAGATCAATGAAGAGTAAATATAAAAACCCTCTCTTGAACAGCGCGCTAGCAGCAGTGAACAGTGGTGTGCGTGTGGGAGATTTTCAAGAGGAGTTGAGCGCAAAGGAGGCTGTAAACACTGTTGCCAATGCTGAGAACACAGTGACTAAAGACACAGCTGTGCATGCCTGGCACAACCTCTGGCCTGTGACTGTATTCAGTGATGATAATAAACAAGCTGGTGACTTTCAAGGATTCCATAAGTCAAGTGAGAAAAAAAAATCATGTCTGACCTTATATGTGCAAAATATAGACCTTCAGACTTTATCAGTAAGCTGGAAAAAGTGAATATAGAAGTTTTTAACATTGAGAATGGGCTCCAATTGTTAATTTATTGACTGATGGCAAAATAGCTGAAATGTTTCTGAATCAAGGTGATGGTGATAATAGTGATGATAAAGATGATGTTAGCACTGCAGAAAGAGTGTCTACACATGACATGATGAAAATGCAGGATGGGCTTATTGAAGGGCTAGAGTGCTGCACATTCACAACAGAACAAAAAAATCATGTCCTTTGATAAAATCAAAGAGAGACTCTCAGAAAAAAAACCTTATTAAGGAGGCAGAGGACTCTGCAGGAAATGTTTAAAAAGCCATCTCGCGGAATGCCTCCTCATTCTGCCTGGAGGACTCACTTTCTTGTTCCTCAACTGCTTCTCATGTTTTTCTTCGCCCAAAACAAACCAAAGCAAAAAAAACAACAAAAAACAGTTACTAGGCCAGGCACTGTGGCTCACGCCTGTAATCCCAGCACTTTGGGAGGCCAAGATGGGTGGATCACCTGAGATCAGGAGTTTGAGACCAGCCTGGCCAACATGGTGAAACCCCATCTCTATCCCAGCTACTAGGGAGGCTGAGGCAGGAGAATCGCTTGAACCTGGGAGTCGGAGGTTGCAGCGAGCCGAGATCACGCCATTACACTCCAGCCTGGGTGACAGAGCAAGACTGTCTCAAAACAAACAAACAAACAGACAAAACCAGTTATTAGTAACCTTTTAATCAGGCAACGCGTTGCTAGTGAAGTCGAACGCCGCCTTTGCTGGCTGCTGCTGGTTAGCGGTGATGCAGGAGTTCTCGTGATGCTGCCGCATGGGTGCCCTGAACACATGATTTTTCACTGTATTAATGGCATATCTTTTTTTTTTTTTACTGTTAAAGTACTCATGTGAATAAGTGTAAGAAAATGGTTATTTATTGGTAGAATATAAATTCAGAGTCAGGAATGTTGGTGATGCCAACCAACCACAGATTGTCCACATTGGTGGCTGAGATAATTACACTGTTGCTTTCTTTCTTTGTTTATTTCTTTGTTTATTTATTTATTTGAGATGGAATCTTGCTCTGTCGCCCAGGCTGGAGTGCAGTGGCACGATCTCAGCTCACTGCAACCTCTGCCTCCCGGGTTCAAGCGATTCTTCTGCCTCAGCCTCCCGAGTAGCTGGAATAATAGGTGTGCACCACACCAGGCTAATTTTTGTATTTTTAGTAGAGACAGGGTTTTGCCATGTTGGCCAGGCTGGTCTTGAATTCTTGACCTCAGGTGATCTTCCCTCCTCGGCCTCCCAAAGTGCTGGGACCACAGGTGAGCCACTGTGCCCATTCCCTGCACCTTTGCTTTCTGATGTTTTAGTGTACACAAACTTTGTTTTCAGCCCAAGATTATTAAAATTATTGCATAAAATTACCTGCAAGCTATGTGTATGAGGTTTATATAAAACATAAATGAATTTATTGTTTAGACTTGGGTCCCACCCCCAAGATATCTCATTATATGTATGTAAATATTCCAAAATCTGATAAAAAGTCTAATATGGTTTAGCTCTGTGTCCCCACTCAAATCTCATCTTGAATTGTAATCCCTACATGTTGAGGGAGGGATGTGGTGGGAGGTGATGGGGTCATGGGGGCTGTTTCCTTCACGCTGTTCTCATGATAGCGAGTGAGTTCTCACGAGATCTGATGGTTTTATAAGTGGTAGTTTCCCCTGTTCCTTTCCTCTTCTGCCACCATGTAAGACATGCCTTGCTTTTCCTTCGGCTTCTGCTGTGATTGTAAGTTTCCTGAGGCTTCCCCAGCCATATGGAACTGTGAGTCAAACCTCTTTCCTTCATGAATTACCCAGTCTCAGGTATTCTTTATAGCACTGTGAAAATGGACTAATACAAATCCTAAATGCAGAGCACTCCTTGTTTCAAGCATTTCAGATAAGGGATACTCAACCTGTACCCTTAATTGCTAATCATTTCTCTTCCCAGAATTCCTATTACTTCCTATTGTTTGGATGTTTTGCTGATTAGATCAATCCTTTAATTTTAAAAAATCTTTTAAAATCTCTCCTATGTTCCATTCTGAAGATTTTCTGCATTTTATCATTCATTCATTTCCTTGATGGTTTCATTTCTGCTGTCATATTCGTAGTGTTTAAGAGCTCTTCCATATTCTCTGAATGTCACCTTTATTATAGCATCCTGTTCTTGTTTCACAGATGCAATATTTATCTCTCCGAGGCTTGGAATTACAGATTTTTAAAAAAATAAGTTTATTCTGCTTGCTGCATTTTCTCTCTTTTCTCTGAGTTCCTTCTCTCTCTCTCCCTTTCTGCTTTCATCTTCCTCTTTTATATCAAGAGATGCTTCCCAAATGACTGGTGACATTTGCCCAAAAACATGAAATAAGAGCTCTGTGGGCATAATCTGGGTTTGTGGGCAAGTCAGGCAATGAAGCAGCGATCCGTCATTTCACTGGTGCTGCCGAAATGGCAGTTTGTGTAGGTCTTTCCCCTTATGCCAGTGGGTTTCCCTAGAGGGGGATCCTTCAGTTTCTTCCCAGGGGAGGGCAGCAAGGGCACAGCCTGGCTGCCAGGTTTCTGGGAGCCAAGTTGAGAAAGGTGCCCAGATATCTCACCATTGTGAGTGCAGAATTCCTCCACATGTTCTGGGATTAGCCAGGTGTCAGGACACCTCCTTCAGATGTGTTGGTGTTCCTGAAGCCAAAGCCTGTTTGGGGCAATTCCTCCAGAGAGGAAACCAGAGAGGTGGCTCATGAGGACGGGTGGTACTCATCTCGCTGCCTGTGATGAGGACCTTCCCACCAGGCCTGTGTGCTCCCCATTCATTTCCTGCCCCTGGACCTCTCATTCCTGGGCTATTATTCCTGGATCTAGCCATAAGTGGCTTACTTGTGGTCACTCCCCTCAAAGGCTGGGATGGAACTGTGAGAGAATACATTTACCATGTTAAAAGACACCCAGCTTGTGGTTAATTGGTCACAGCAGCCTCAGGGAACTAATGATGCATTTGGGAAAAGTTTTCACAACAAAGGTATGAGTGTAGAACATCTCAGGATTCTCCCACACATGACCAACTGGATACCTGCTGAACTATGACCTGGTTTCTAAAGATCCAGGGCAGCAATCTCAGGCTGATGTTTCTTTCCAGCTTAGGCTTGGTTAATTTATTGCAGGCTCTGCAGTTTTCAATGCAGGGTGTATGTGGAAACCACCTGGTTTCCATCCCAGAAGCTACCTGGTCTCCATCCCAGGGCATTTTAAAAGAGGTTCTGTATGTGCTTCAGGTTACACGGTCCTGGTGAAGAGTCACGGCTCTGAAACCAGCATTGGCCCCCAACATAGAGGATAGAGGAGAGCAGACCCAGAGGGAGTCTCCTGGCCTGTTCTTGAACTAGGGAGACCTCTGGGAGTGTCAGGGAGGAGTAGTGCTTTGGGACCCAACCTTGTGATTGAGAAACAGAGGCCCAGAAAAAGCAAATGACTTGCTAAACTCATGAAGCTGGCAAGTGATGAAGCTGGAATTTGAACCAAGCTAGAAGTTAGGTCTCTTGACTCCAACCTCTGGTTTTCGTTTCCTTTGGGCATGTATCTCTGAGACTGGAAAATGTAACCTAATGGATCTATTCATGGTCTGGGGCCATGTGGCCAAATCCCACGTAGGTCCCCTCCCACAGAGCCCCAAGGTAAAGAATAAGGCAGAATAAAATGAACTAACTTTAATCAAAAGGAAATGCTCCTTGTGCCTCCTCTATGCCTGGCCGACACTGGGTGCCGGGACTAGGGAGTGAGGTGGTCCTTGCTGTCAAGGATGGAGGGAAGGAACTCCCTAACAGCAGCCTGTGCTGAGCCCATGACACGTGCACCAGACACAGACTCAGGGCCACTCAACTAGCAGCAGGTGTCGCCACTGAACAGGTAGGAAAGCCAAGGCTCAAAGGGTAACAGATCCTAGCAAGGGTCACCCAGGTTTAAGGTGGGGTTATGGGTCAAGTGCCTGTCCATATTCATATGCTGAAATCCACAACATTATAAAAATCCCAGTTCCCAGGTCAAGAGATGCCTACATAGCCCACCAACAAGCTCAAATTCATGTGCTGAAATCTAACCCCCTATGTGACAGCATTTGGAGGTGAGGCCTTTGGGAGGTGATGAGGTGTTGAGGGCTGAGCCCTCATGATGGAATTCGTGCCTTATGAGAAGGGACCAGAGAGCCAGTGTCCCCTCTTTCCACCATGTGAGGATCCAAGGAGAAGTCAGGATTCTGCAACCCAGAAGGGGGCCCTCGCCAGACCTTGGCCATGCTGGAGCCTTGATCTTGGACTGGCGGCCTCCAGAATTGTGAGAAATAGGCATCCATTGTGGATAAGCCACCCACTGTGGTACTTTGTTATAGCAGCTGGAGCTAAGACAAATGGTGAAGCCAGGTTAGAACTCAGCTCTCTCCGATTTACAACTTGTTGGGGCAGAGGGAATGAGAACAGGTCATTGCAGCCTTCCCCAAGATGTACTATCTCAGGTGGTCCTTCTTCCCCAGGAATTCTGCCCGTCGCTAGCCCCAGGGGCTAGGATTGAAGGAGTGGAGGGGAAGAATGATGTGCCCTCTGAAAAGGCATCTTCCCATGCCTGTGGGCAAAGGTAGAGCCTGTGTTGAGTTACAGGTCTTTGGCATAAGGTGTCACAGAACTGGGCTGTGTTTATGAACTACCTAGGGATCTCCTGACCTGGGAAGCAGGGTTGTTATAATGCTAAGCCTGGGGAAGGCAAGGGGAACAGGGGTGATCAGAGGACACCTTGGTGGGTCTGACTCAGTCTTCCATGTCTGTTTCTCAGACCTACTGAGTTCGCTGAGAAGACCCTTGAGTGAGCGGATGGCAGGCAGGTTGCTTCCTCACAACGAGGAGTAAGCCAGCCCCAGCTGCGGCAGGCCCTGCCCACCTGCCCTCAGCGGGTGAGCAGAGGAGCCCGGCGCTGTCCCGAAGGAGGGCATCTCAGACGTAAGGGCAGGCACACCTAGCTTCTGGGCTGCCCTGTGTGCTCCTCCACTTCTCTGAGCCTCAGTTTCCTCATCTCCAACATGGGATGACTCTGATGATAACACAGTAATGCCTACCTTACAAGGTTTTTTTTTTTTTTTTAAAAGATTAAGAACTGCAGTGGGGGAGCATGTTTTGTAAAAACATCAAATCCAAATAAACATCAGATTTCCCTGTCTTGTGCACTCCCATGGCCCCTTCAATAGCACTGAAGTCTGCTACGTCACTGTCAATTTTACTGCATGTCTCCACGGTGAGGATGAAAGCTCTCTGCCAGCAGGCACCCAGGCTACTCTGCCCATTGTCAAATTCTTGCCTGATGCTTAGGTGCTTAATAAATATTGGCTAAATGACTATATGCAAATGTTATTGTTAATATGATTGCACTCTGATAGGATTAATACATCTTTTGTCTTATGAATAGAGCATTCTATACTAGATTTTGTCTTCTAGGATATACATAGGGACTCCTCGACAGTCAATATTTCTCTCTTTCTTTCTCACCCTCTCCAAATTCCACCTCTGTCCATCTATCTGTCATCCCTGAGTCCAACCCAGCACAGATCCTTCTTCCTCAGCCCTCCCAGGCAGCTCCTGTCCTTTCCCACAGGGAATTTCCAGGCCCAGGCCTGGCAGAGGTCAAACTATCTGGACCTGGGACCCTCTTGAGCCTGGCAGAGGTCAAACTATCTGGACCTGGGACCCTCTTGAGTCCAAAGGCAGGCTCTGGTCTGACCCAGTACCGGTCTCAGTGATGGACTGAAGCCATTATAGGCTGTGGCTGGGCACAAACCTCCTGATCAACATGAAAAAGACGTCAAGTATCTGAAAAAATCTATGTTTTGGCTGCAGGCTCGCCTTAACCCCTCATGAGCTGCCTCTGTTGAAAGGCTTTTCTTTTTTTTTTAATTTTGTTTTGTTTTGCGTGCAGATTATCTGAGAACTGCTTGGCACTTGGGAATTTTCCACTGGCGCGAGCTAAGCCTGCTAATGCCAAGAAAGGAGAGAAGAAAAATCAGACAAAATGGGTCCCGCTCTCCTGCCAGTCTCAATTTGGGAGACTTTTTCCATCCTTGGGGCCATTTGTGAAAAATCAAGCTCTGAGGCCTTCTAGGGAAAATCTCTGGGCTTTTGATTCTCCAGTGTGGAAATTCTCTGCATTTGAATATTAAGTAGTGAAATGAGAAGGGTGTGGGTTACTGATGCCAAAACAGTTGTGTGCACTTATTTATTTATTTTTTTCCTTTATCATGGGGAGGCAGCGTGGTTTCTGTAGTCTGAGAAAGCTTAATCAAACTGTGGCTTCGTTAGTTACTGCGTGGGTTGGAGAAATTACGTTGTTTCCCGAGCCTCAGTTTACTGCTCTGTAAAAAGAGCTAATGGTACTCATTTTGATGAGTTATTCGGAGGAGTTACTGTGTGGATTCTGTGTGTGTTCTGTGGTCTTCTTCTTCCTAGGGTGTGTGTGTGTGTGTGTGTGTGTGTTTGTCTTTTATGAATGAGGGGCTAGGTGGAGATGGTGTTTTCCTGTAGGGGTTTCTGAGCCCCACTACCTAATTATCTCTAAAAGGCCCTTCCAGTGTTAATCAAATGAAGAGCTGTATCTTCAGCTGGGAAGCTGAATCTTGGAGGGTGGGCCCTGGGCTGGTAGCGGGGGACTTGCATGAATCACTACAGATTATCATTCCTCAAGGGCAGGTGTGTCTGGCAGGGTGGTCTTTCGGGCAGTGGGTGCTAAGATGGTAAGCAGAGCAGGTCAGAAGCCAGGATGACATAGCCTGCTGAGATGATGCTGTTTTATGTTCCTCTCCATATTTATTTTGGACTTTAGGGAAAAAAATCTTGATAAAATAGAACCTTTTATTCATGTCTCAACTGTGCTATGGGATTTTAAAGGGAAGAATCTCTGTAAAGACAGCGAAAATGTGTAGGGGCCCTGAGCAAGCAAAGAGTTTGTCCTCCAAACTCATGTTCCCTAAATGTTGCCTTCATATTCATCTGGGGGTAGGAGTGGCAGATATGGGGAAGTAGGAACCCTGATTCTATATCTCTTTTGCTGTCAGAACAGTTCTGCTCTGGCCCAAATTTGCAGGCTTTACAGAATAAAATAAAACTATAATTAACTCAGGCCCCTCTAATAAGATTAGATCAACCATCTGTTGATCATCAAGCCTGCCTTTGGGGGTCTTATTTTTCAATCCAGGAGGCCCCTCAAAGAATTCTTTCCTGTCACACTGCCCTTGAGATAATTTTGCTAAATATAATTCCCTCCATCTTACTCTCCCTGGAATGATCTGGTCCCTCTCATAGATGGCTTCAGAGACATGCTCAGCTGTTGGTTCTTTTTTCTCTCTTTCCTTTTATAGACAGGGTCTTGCTCTGATACTGAGACTGGAGTGCAGTGGGGCAACCGTAGCTTAGCTGAGACCACAGGTTCATGCCACCATGCCTGGCTAATGTTTTTTTTATCTTTGTAGAGGTGAGGTCTCACTGTTTCCCAGGCTGGTCTTGAACTCCTGGGCTCAACTGATGCTCTCACTTCTGCCTTCCAAAGTGCTGGGATGACAGGCATGAGCTATCATGCCTGGCCTTGTTGGTTCTTAATCTGGCTCTGTGAGGCTGTCTAAGGGGGACAACCCATCTCCCCTAGGCCAGAGAGGTGGATCATGGTAGCAGAAACCAGCATCATCCATGAAGTCAAGAGGATTGGGACTGTGAGGTCCCAAACCCCTTCCTTGATGGAGATTCTGTGTTGCAAACTTGAAAGTTAAGGGTTTCTTTAAATTAAGGAAACTGCTAGCTTATTATAGTTTATAAAAGAGCACAGGACTGGCATGTAGTAGGCATTACATATGAGACAACATGGTGCAGTGTTTATAGGAGGGGGTTTTAGACCAAAACTCTCTGGTTTCAAATATAATCACTATCAGCCATGTGACTTTGGGAAAATTACATAAGCGCCATGTACCCCATTTCCCCATCTGCAAAATAGGGATGATGACAGTACTACTTTACGTGGTTGTTCTGATGACTAAATGAGATAATACTTTAAAAATGCTATCAGTGGGTGTGACATGCTGCGGTAGGCAGAATAATGGCTCCCAAAGATGTCCACTTCCTGATCTCCTGGACCTGTGACTACATTAGGTTCATGGCAAAGGGGAATTAGGGCAGCAGGTGAAATTGAGCTTGCTCATCAGCCATCCCTGAGATGCGGAGCTCATCTGGGATGATCTCGGTAGCCTGATGTAATCGACAGGGTCCTTATAGGTGGAGGGGGGAGGCAGAAGAGAGAGAACCAGACCCATTGTAACCTG
Source organism: Homo sapiens (assembly GCF_000001405.40). Taxonomy (NCBI): domain Eukaryota; kingdom Metazoa; phylum Chordata; class Mammalia; order Primates; family Hominidae; genus Homo; species Homo sapiens. The sequence goes on from NC_000004.12 coordinate 4,893,399, forward strand.
AGAAGATTGTGGCCCACAATTGGTGGTTTTGATATGGAAGAGGAGGTCATAAACAAAAAAATGGAGGTGACTTCTGGAAGCTGGAAAAGGCAAGGAAACAGATTGACCCCTGGAGCCTCCAAAAAGGAACATAGTCCTGCTGGAACCTTGATTTAGACCCGTGCTGGATATTTGACCTACAAAACTATAAGAATATCTATTGTGTTGTTTTATTTTTATTTTTTTTCACTGTTCAAGGTTTATTGGGGGTTTTAGTTGGTATGACACTTGGATAGTTGGTTGCATTGTTTATATGTAGATGTTTCTTTTTGCACTATACGGCAATGTGTACGACTGATATATATCGTCCACAGAATAAGATCCTTTGGAACAATTATGCACAAGACATGCAATATTGGATTTATACACTGGATCCTAAGATGTGACTGATTGGAAAAAAATGTTGGACTAGGCATGTTCGGTGAAGGAGCCAGGAAGTTATATAACACACAGTAAACATCCATCTGGCTCAAGGGGTAACTGCAGCATTTGCAGCATTGGCAGTGGTGCCTCAAAGGTGGTAGACTTATAGGACTATGCGAGATTAGTACCATGAAGCATCAGGATATAGCTGTAGGATTTTACAAACCATGCCTCTTTCTAACTTTAGGAATTGATGCTTTTCCAAGTCTGTCTTAATATTACTGCTTTAATCACAGATCAGATAAAAAGGACAACATGCACAACCTCCAACTAAAATCCTGTTGTAGCCTAGACAGTGAAGTGGTGTGATCTCAGAAAACTTTAAAATTGCAGCTCTTTTTGGATCCCCCAAAGTATCTGCACTCTTATTCAAACAGGCCTCTTCCTCAGGAGTCAGAGTCACCTTCACAAGGTCTGAGATTCCATTCTGTCCCAAGATGCAAGGAACACTAAGGAAGACATCATCCTTTATTCCATAGAGACCCTTAATCATGATGGAAATTGGGTGTCCCACCTAAGATTCATCATACTCTCTGCCAAATCTGCCACAGAGAGTCCAAAGGCCCAGGAAGTGTAGCCTTTCAGTTTAATCACCTCATAAGCATTCTTGACCACCTGCTTTTGAACCTCTTTCCACCATTCCTTATCTGTATCAGTCCCTAAATCTGGATGCAGAGTCCTCAGGGAGACACCAGCAACGTTCACTCCACTCCATACAGACACAGTAGAGTATCCATGTTCCCCAAGAACTCACCTATGACAGCTTAATGGGTGAACACCCAGCCTTTCCTCCATCAGGTAACGGAATTGGGCTGAATCCAGACTGCAGCCACTTCCAATAACACGGCTTTTGGGAAAGCCACTTATCTTCCAAGCCACACAGGTCAAGATATCCACTGGATTTAAAACAATAAGCAACTTGCAGTTGGGCTGTATTTTACAACATTAGAAATGATGAATTTAAAGATGTTTACATTACACTGGACCCAATTAAGAGAGCTTTCTCCTTCTTGCTGATGTGCCCCAGCTGTGATAATGACCAGCTTGGAATTTGCAGTTACATTATAGTCTTTGCCAGAGACAATCTTTGGCATTCCAAGGAAAAGGCTGCCATGTTGGAGATTCATCATCTCTCCCTTCAATTTGTCCTCCATGACATCAACAAGAGCAAGTTCATCTGCCAAGTCCTTCACTAAGATACTGATGGCACAGGCCATGTGAACAGCACCAACCTCAACAACTATAATCATATTCTGGGGGGTCTGTTCTTCCTTTAGAAGATTATGAATCAGCTGATCCTTGAGAATTGCCATATTGGACTTCAAACCAAAAGGAATCGGGAATGCACATCGGGTGGCCATCGGGGGCACATGGCAAGGAGATCTGGACTTGGTGGCAGCAGCTCCAGACATTGTGTTGTTTTAAGCCACAAGTTCTTTGTAATACGTTACAGGATCAATAGAAAACTAATCACATATGGTAGGCATTGAAGAAATATAAACTTTCAATTTCCTTTTACAACGGTTCAGATGTTTCTTTTCTCACCCCCTAGAGAGCAGACATCGTAAATTTATTTGCAATGACCAGAACCACGCCAGGCATACAGGAGGCACTCTAGAATAGATGAAAAAACAAACTAATGAATATGGGTGTCTTGGTAACTAGCATTGGTTGTGTTCCTAAGGTGTGATGATGTGGTAGGCTGAATAATGGCCTCCATACATGTTCACGTCCTAATCCCAAGAACTGGTGAGTATGTTACCTTATAGGCAAAGGGAATTCGCACCTGTGATGAAATTAAGGTTTTGAGATAGCATGATGGTTAATTTTATGTGTCAACTGACGGGGTCAAGTGATACTCAGATAGCTGGTAAAACATTTCTGAGTATGTCTGTGAGGGCCTTTCTGGAAGGGATTAGCACTGAATCAATAGACTGAGTAAAGAAACTCTGCCTTCACCAGTGTGTGCGGGCATCAAACAATCTATTGAGGGCCAGGTAGAACAAAATAAGTGGAGGAAGAACGAATTTGCTCTGTCTTCTTGAGCTGGAACATCCATCTTCTGCCCTTGGACATTGAAGCTCTTGGTTCTCGGGCCTTTGGATTCCAGGACTTGCTGGGAGTTACACCATCAACTTCCCCTGGATGGGGGTGGTCCCGGTGGTATAAGTCCTGGAGCCAATTCCCATAATAAACCTCCTTTTCTATCTCTCTAAATATCCTACTGGTCTGTTTCTCTGGAGAACTTTGACTAGTACACACAGTATTAGTTTTCTGTTGCTGTGTAACAATGTTACCGCAAATTTAGCAGCTTAAGAGGGCACACATTTACGAACTATCCTGGATTATCTGGGTTGACCTAATGTAATCATAAGTGTTTTTATAAAGGGACACAGAAGACTCAGAAAAGTGATGTGATGATGGAAGGAGGGGTTTGAAAAAGCTACACTGCTCGTTTTGAAGATGAAGGAAGGGGCCATGAGCCAGGGAATAAAAATGGAATTTAGAAGCTGCAAAAGATAAGAAAATAATTCTGCCTTAGAGCCTCCCCAGGAGTAATCAGCCCTGCCAATGCCTCGATTTTAGCCCAGTGAGACTGATTTCAGAATTCTGACCTCTAGGACTGCAAGCAAGTATATTTGTGTTGTTTTAAGCCACTAAGCTTGTGGTACTCTATGACAGCATCTATAGAAAACTAGTACAGCTGAGTATAGGAGAATGGCTTCCTTCCCACTGGCTGAGTGTACATCTGAAAGGTGGTGTATTTTGCCCATTTTCAGAGTGGGAAACTAAGACTGTATTAGTTATGTATGATGGTGTTACAATGTTACTATAAACTTAGCAGCTTAAGCCACTTCACATTTATTATCTCATAATTCTACGGGTCAGGAGTCTGGGCACAGAATGGCTGGGTCCTCTGCTCTATGCCTTCACAAAACTGCAATCAAGATATTGGCTGGGGCTGTGATCTCATCTGAGGTTTGACTGGGAAGATGATCTTCTGTGCTCATAGGTTTTGGCAGTTCCTTGTAGGCTGCTGGACTGAGGGCCTCACTATCTTTTTTGGATGGAGGCTGGAGCTGCCCTTAGTTCACTGCCATGTGGCCCTCTCCATAGGACATCTTACAACATGGCAGCTTGCTTCTTCACACCCAGCAAGAGAGGTTACAATCTTTTGTATCGTAATAATGTGCATCTCGTCACAAATCATAGGCCCCACTGACACTCAGGGCAGGGGATCACACAAGAGTATAAATGTATTAGTTGTTTTCACACTGCTATAAAGATACTACTTGTGACTGGGTAATTTGTAAACAAAAGAGGCTTAATTGACTCACAGTTCCACATGGCTGGGGAGGTCTCAGGAAACTTACAATAATGGCGGAAGGTGAAGGAGAAACAAGGGCTTTCTTCACATGGTGGCAGGAGAGAGAGTGAGAGGGGGGAAATGCCACAGACTTTTAAACCATCAGATCTTATGAGAACCCACTCACTATCACGAGAACAGGAAGGGGGAAATCCACACCCATGATCCAATTACCTCCCACCAGGCCCCTCCCCTGACATGTGGGGTTTACAATTCAACATGAGATTTGGGTGGTGACACAGAGCCAAACCATATCAATAAACATGAGCTTATGGGGCCACCCCAGAGATTGTCGACCATAATGACCCAGAGAGGGTCATTATGAGTTGGAAGAGTTGGAAGCAGGAAGTTAGTGGCTCTCAAAGGGAGGCAGTGTGATAAGGGAGTCAAGAATATTTGCCCAAGGAGACTGTGTTATATCAAATTCCAACTATGGCACTTCTTGACCTTGAGAACATTACTTATTCTGAGCCTCAGTTTCCTCATCCGTAAAATGGGAATGATAGAGCACAGGCCTCGTAGGACAGCTCTGAGGTTACTAGTTGATCTGAATGTAAAGGACTCTGCTCCTTGGAGGCCCTGAATCAATGCCACTCATGTTCACTATATTTCCTCCAAATTGGTTTGTTTTGCATGGTAGGGTGTCTGTAGTTGTAGATTCCTGAAAGCAGTTTGATTGGCAGCAGAGGATGCTCTTTTCTCCCAGTATCCATCAATCCAGTTTCCCTTTGATCATGGGATCCACCAGTTTGGGTTGGGTACGTGGCCATATAGCTGAAACCACTTTTCTTAACACCCCTTGCAGCAAGGGGTATGACCAAATTTTGATAACAAAATTTTGTGTACAAATTTCAGTCAAAGGGGTGTGAGCAGAGCCCATAAAAGGAGCACTCTTCCTCTCCTCTCTTCCTGCAGGTAGGAATGTGACAAGAGCACGCTTTGACACCAGTCATGGTGACAGCTGAGAATGAGCTAGAGTGCCCTGCTTCCCAGCTCCTCACCAGCCCTGGGCCATCTACTCAGACTCTACACAAGTGAAAAATAAACTCTTTCCTTTTGAAGTCACTGTACTCAAGGTTGCTTGTTAAAACAGCCTCATCTGGATCTTATTTAGTACATAGTTGTTCACTGGCTTTAGCTGTGAAGAACAATCACATGCAGCCAGATGGTATAGCCCCTGCTTTAGAATTATGTGTGAATCCTGCCTGAGCCTGGATTCTCCAAAAGCAGAGCTGGAGACAGAAGCTTTTGTTCGAGGACTGTTAGGCAGTGTGGTCCCAGGATCAGGTATGGGACAGCACGTGAGGCTGGGTGGAGGAGTGCCTTGGCTCCACCTTCTGTGACTTCCTGATCTCCTCCAATGATTCCACGAGAATAGTCTCAGAGCAATCATTCAAGGTAGAGAGAGTGCAGAAATTTTCCAATGACTTGAAACTCCTGTTGGTTAAAGGTTAGCCTATTTGATGTTTATTCCTCACTGTTCTAAATAGTGCATGTGCCCGGCCAAGGAGGCTTCCTGCTGTATCCTGAGCCCAGTATTAATAAACGCTGGGTGAGATGCTGTCAGGTCACTGTTGCAGGAAGCTGGGAAGAGCCTGTGCAGACCTGGCTGCCACAGCTGGGGCTATGATCATAGATAGATGAGGCCAAGAGGAGCTAAAGTGGGGCACAGGAGAGGGCCCTGGGAGTCATCAGAGGTGGTGGGTCAATGAGCCAAAAGCCATGCTCACTTCCCCCGAACTCAAGGTGTCAGCAGGGCTGTGTTCCCCCACTCCCAAAGGCTCTAGGGGAGGATCCTTACTGCTTCTTCTAGCTTTTGGTGGCTCTAGGTGTTCCATGGCCTGAGGCTGCAGCATTCCAATCTCTGCCTCCATACTTATATGGCCTCCGCTGTCTGTATCTCTCTCAATGTGGCTTCTCCTTTTCACTGTCTTATGAGGACTTGTCATTGGACTTATGACCTACCCTAATCCAGCATGAACTCACTTTGAGATTCTTACCATAATTACATCTGCAAATATGCTGATTCCAAATAAGTTCACATTCTGAGGTTCTGGGTGGAAATTTCCTTTGGAGGCCACCCCATTCAACCCATGATATACACATTTAAAAACCATCTGAAGGTTTTCCACTTTCTGTTTTAAGGGTCTGAAACCCAACTAATTTACATAAGACAAGGGCTGACATGAGACTGGGAAGGATGGGAGTGGACCTGACCTCAGACATGATCAGGCAACCTTTTTTTCTCTGTTTCTCTCCATTTCCTTCCTCTGTGCCTTGGCCCTGTCTTCTCCCTCTGACAGTGAGCCTTGTCCAAGCAGGAGGAGAAGCAGAGTCGCAGGCCACTCCGAGCTCCAGCCAAGCCAGACAGGAGAGACTTCCTTTCATGGTGACTATAATGAAGTCCCAGACAAGGATTCTCTTGGCCCAGCTTGGGTCACACTCCTGAAAGGAGAGGCATGCAAGGATGCTGCGGGCAGCAGGTGCCCACAACCTATCAACTTAGTGCTCTAGATGCCCAGTGTTTATCTCCTGACTCTCCCACTGCACCTAACAGTGTTCTTCCCAAATCCTCCACGCTGTCTCCCCACTGTTCCTGGCACATACTGTTTTCTCTGTGTGAGCAGTCTTCCTGGGGAAGTCTTACTACCCTGCCCCTGCCCGCAGCCCCCAGCCCTGGCTAAGCTGGGACTCTCCTCAGTGCTCCCTTGACCTGCTTTGTTTCCAGCAATCACCAAGCTTAACACGTGTGTCCCAATGATTTAGTGTCTCCCTCACTGCACCTGAGCTCACCGTGACCAGGCACCAGGTCGCAACATCCTAGCGAGCAGGAGCTTAGGGAATGTGCACTGAATGAATGGAGGCATGAGTGAAGGAAATCTTGGGAAAGCTGGGAGACGAGTCATGGCTGGAGGTGTGGTGGGCAGTTCTGGGAGGCTGTATTAGTTTCCTGTGGCTGCTGTAACAAATGAGCAAAAACTGGTGGCTTCCGACAATAGCAATTTATTTGCTCACAGTTCTGGAAGCCAGAGGTCTGAAATCAAAGTGCCTTCGGGATTAGTTCCCTCCTGGAGGATCTGAGGGATAAATCATCCCATGCCTCTCTCCTGGCTTCCAGTGGTCATCAGTGATCCTTGGTACTTTCTGGCTCATAGACAAACCTCTCCAGTCTCCACTCCATCCTCACATGGCCTTCTCTCTGTGCTTTCACATGGCCTGCCAATAACAACATCAGCCATTGGATTCAGGGCCCACCTGAATCCAGTGTGTCTTCACGTTAATTTAAGTAATTACATCTACAAAGACTCTATTTCCAAATACGGTCATATTCTGAGGCTCCAGGTGGACACAAATTTTGGGGGAACATTATTCAATACAGTATAGAGACCTTCTATACACATTTCAGAAGGTTCTCTGAGGCCTGAAAGCACACCCTCCCCCACTTCCTCCTGCTTCCTGGGGTCACCTCCCAAACAAACTACCCACACCCAAGCTCTGTCTCAGGCTGTGCTTTGGGGGGCACCAAAACTAAGACGGGGTAGAATGCATACCAACTTCAGATCTCTTTTTAGTACTGGCTGTTGGGGCCACCTAGTTCCCCACCCTGCAGCTAAGTCGCCACAAACAGCCACAGACCAGAGACTCTATGATTACAGTTAAAGTCAATTGGAGACTTAGTATGTACAATTACTATTGTCCCCACTTTACAGGCAAGGATACTGTGGACCCGATCCATTCTATCACTTGCCCAAGGCCATATAGCCAAGGAGTGACAGAGCCAGGTTGAATCTAAGCCACTCACCTGCTGAGCACAGGTTCCTGCCCTCTGTGTCTCCAGGGATCCCATTGAGCACCTGATTCCCTGTGTCCTTGGGCCAGCCACATGACCCCTTGACCTGCTGCATGTGGCCATTCACATCTGCCTTGAATTTCGCAGAGGTCATGGCTGAAGACCAGGATTCTTGCTGATGTCCTCAACAGGGGAGGCTCAAGAAGGAAATTCGTGAGTTGTTTCCTTTTCACGCTTTTTTTTTGCAATTAAAATTGTTATTTACTTATTTAACTGACAAATAATAGTCATATATATTTATGGGTATGAAGTGATGTTTTTAATATATGCGTACACTGTAGGAAGTTTAAATCAAGCTAAATAACATATCCATCACCTCACTTATTTATTCTTTTCTCATAAAGTTTAAAATCTACTCTTTTAGTAATTATAAAATATACAATACATTATTACTAATTGTAGTCACCATGTTATGTGACAATCACAAAACCAACTCCTCCTGTCTAAGAGAAACTTTGTTTTGACCTACATCTCTCCTTTCCCCATTCATGACTCCCTCTCTAGCTTCTGGTAACCACCATTCCACTCTGTTTCTATGAGGTCACCTTTTTTTAGATTCTGCAGGTAAGTGAGCCCATACAGTATTTGTCTTTCTGTGTCTGGCTTATTTCACAGAGCAGAATGTCTTCCAGTCTCATCCATGTACTTCCATGCAAACAACAGGATTTCCTTCTCTTTTTAAGTCTGAATAGGATTCCACTGAGCATATATGCCACATTTTCTTTATGTATTTATTCATTAATGGACACTTTAGTTACTTCCATATCTTCACTGTTGTGAATAATACTGCAGGCGCACAGATACCTCTTTGACATATTGATTTTAATTCCCTTGGGTATATACTCATTACTAGTCCATTTTCATACTGATATAAAAAATTGCCTGAGGCTGGGTAATTTTTAAGGGAAAGAGGTTTAATTAACTGACAGTCCAACATGGCTGGGGAGGCCTCAGGAAACTTACAATCATAGCAGATGAGGAAGGGGAAGCAATGCGTCTTCTCCACAAGGTGGCAGGAAGGAGGTGTGCTGAGCGAAGGGGAAGGAGCCCCTTATAAAACCATCAGATCTTATAAGAACTCACTCACTATCATGAGAATAGCATGGGAGAAACTGCCTCCATGATTGTTACATCCACCTGGTCTCTCCCTTCACACATGAGGAATATGAGATTTGGGTGTGGACACAAAGATTTGGGTGTGGACACAAGATGAGATTTGGGTGTGGACACAAAGCCTAACCATATCAGCTCAGCAGTGGTATTGCTGGATCATATGGTAGTTCTATTTTTCAGTTTTCTGAGGCACTTCTGTTTTTCTTTTTTTTTTTTTTTTTGAGATGGAGTCTGGCTTTGTCATCCAGGCTGGAGTGCAGTGGCGCGATCTCAGCTCACTGCAAGCTCCGCCTTCTGGGTTCACGCCATACTCCTGCCTCAGCCTCCCGAGTAGCTGAGACTACAGGCACCTGCCACCATGCCCAGCTAATTTTTGTATTTTTAGTAGAGATGGGATTTCACCATGTTAGCCAGGATGGTCTCGATCTCCTGACCTCATGATCCGCCCGCCTCGGCCTCCCAAAGTGCTGGGATTACAGGTGTGAGCCACTGCGCCCGGCCAGTTTTCTGAGGCACTTCTATACTGTTTCCTTTAATGGCTGTACTAATTAAAATCCCAACAGTGTGCAAGTGTTTCCTTTTCTCTCCACCTTCACCAACACTTGCTGTTTTTTGTCTTCTTGATAATGGCCTTCACATTTTTTTTATAAGGTAAATGGTGGGTTTGAAAAGACGTTCTTGCCTTGATGAAGATCCTTTGTACCCAGAGCATGGCATAGGGATGAAATCTCAAATTACAGTCATGGGCACCCCTCCCTTCTGCCCTGTGCCTTCTCAGGATTCTCACTTGCTCTGGCACCTCTTAGGCTCTTGTTTTGCTGACCATGTTGAGGGGTGGAGAGGATGAGAAAAGGAGGAAAGACAAGAGGACTGATTGGGAGCTGGGGGATTGGGAAGGGGAGGAGAGAGAGAAAAAGATAATAGCAATTGTCATTAGACTTTGGGGACAGAGACAGCAAAGAGCATATCTTATTCTATTTGTGGAATAAACTCCCCTTTCATCGTTCTTTCAGAACCTCCTTTAGAAGAGGTTGACATTGCTGGCCAGTGGATTGGAGCCAGATTTCTGCTTCTCTTGGTGATGACATGTTGAGAAGGTCCTGCAGGAATTAAGACACAATATGCTGCAAACATCAGAAGGCTCATTCAAGGTGGCTTAACCTGTAAGGGTGGAACATATTGGCTCAAACACTGGGAAAGCTCACAGGTAGAGCAGGCTTCTGGGTGGGTCCACATATCATCAGATGGAAGCTTAGTTTCTGTATGATCCTCTTGGTTCTGCCAGTCTCTAGGTATCATTCATCAGGTTTGCTCTCAAGCTGGCTTCCTCCAGGGAAGCCAAGGGGTTGCTGGAGGCTCCCAGAGCTACATGCTTTCTCCTTCACTGGAGAAGAGAACAGGATTCTCTTCCCTTAGCCACCAAACAGAAGTTCCAAGCTTTATTCAGAATGGACTAACCCAGGTCACCCACCCATAGTCCGTAAGCATGGCTTGGAGGTTGTGGAAATTCTTCAGTTAGCTCAGTCTAATCCGGGCCCACCCTCAGACCTGGGTAGAATGGAGTGAGTCTTCATCAAACCACACAACTGCTATGCAGTGGGGTTTGAAAAGTTGGGCATTTATGGCTGCCTGAGCCCTTATGGTGCCTTTACGTATATTAGGAAAATGTGCCACAATTTGTCCTTTACTTTGGGGGGATGCCCCAGCATACCCTAGATCAGTGAACCTCTCAAAACTTCACCTTTATGGCAGTTCTCACCCTTTGAAGCCCATACATCTTAAGGAGGAGTCAGTGTGGTAGACCAATATGATATTCTGGGTTGAACCTAGATGGTCCAGGGTACTTCAGCCTTTCTGTTGCAATCGAAAGTAGGAAAATGAGACTACTCATGCAACAGAGAAAAGCTATGAATGTGTACTGATACCCATCCCTTGTGAATGCATGCTGTTTCCAGTACCTTTCCTAATGGATATAAAAAATAATGCATTCTGCACATTAATAGCCACATACCACATATTAGAAGCTGCATTAAATTTCTCTAGTAAAGATACAATGTCTGGCACTGTGGCTGCAGTTGGGTCATTAATTGGTGAAATTTGCCATAGTCCACTGCTGTCTGCCATGATCCATCCAATTTTTCCAGAGGTCGGGCTGCTGAATTAAATGAGGATATGATGACCATCTGTTTACTCTTAACGTTTTTGAGGGTGGTACTAATCTCGCTACATGTGAAATTGACTTTGGTTTACTATCTTCACCAAAGGCAGAGTTGTTTCAAAGGCTTTCCCTACTATAATGGTTTCCTCCCGGATTTTCCTACTACAATAACTTTTACTCCACAGGTAAAGGAACCAGTATGAGAGTTCTGGCAAATTGTCTATTCTGACTATACTTTTGGGAACTGGAGAAATGACCCAGTGGACATACTATGATATGAACCTGAGCCCTGAGTCCATTTATACCTGACTCTCACCTGTTTCTACCCTCATGGGGGAACCATGATGGCCCTTTGGCATTTTTCAGTGTCAACTTGGACCAGGTATCAAACAGTTCTCAAAAGACTTGGGCATTTCCTTTCCTTGGTGTAAGATCAGCCAAAATAATGTCCAGAGGCTTTTTTGGGAAGATATCAGGGAATCATTTCTGTATACTCTTCAGTGTTACATGGTCTCTCATCATGGAAACAGGACTCTTTTTTAATGAACAAATTCTAGAGAATCCATTCTTAAAAATGGGCAAAGGATTATGACTTTGCATGGGAATGGCTGGAATCAGAATTCTGCTCATTTATTTATTTATTTTTGTTGCTACATAGTAGATTTGCATATTTCATGGTGCATATGATAATTTAATACATTTGTATAATTTACAAAGATCAAATCAATGTAATTGGAATATCCATCACCTTAAATATTTGTCTTTATGCTAGAAACATTTGAATTATTCTCTTCTAGCTGTTTTGAAATATGCAATAGATTATTGTTAATTGTGGTCACTCTATTGATCCATCAAACACTACGTCATATTTCCTCTGTCAAACTGTATATTTGTACCCATTACTCAGCCTCTCTTCATCCTCCTTTCCTCACTACCCTTCCTAGCCTCTGGTAACCACCAATCTACTCTCTATCTTCATAAGATCCACTTTTCTTTAGCTCCCACATATGAATGAGAACTTGTAATATCTGTCTTTCTGTGCTTGGCTTATTTCACTTAACATAATGAACTCCAGTTTCATTCACATTGCTGGAAATGACAAGACTTCATTCTGTCTTATGACTGAATAATATTCCATTGTGTATATGTGCCACACTTTCTTTATCTGTTCATTTGTTCGTGAACACTTAGGCTGACTCCATATTTCAGCTACGGTGAATAGGGCTGCAATAAACATGGGAGTGCAGATATCTCTTCAATATATTGATTTTCTTTCTTTTGAATATATATCCAGTAGTATAATTGCTGGGCCATAAGGTAGTTCTATTTTTAGTTTTTTGAAGAGCCTCCATACAGTTTCCCACAGTGGCTGTACTAATTTACATTGCCACAGTAGTATATGAGGGTTTCCCTTTCTCTACATCCTCACCAGCATCTGTCTTTGATGACAAATGATAGAAGCCATTTTAACGAGAGTGATATCTCATTGTGGTTTTGACTTGCATTTCTCTGATGATTAAGGATATTTAGTATTTCTTAATATACCTGTTGGCCATTTGTATGTCTTCTTTGGAGCAATGTCTATTCAGATCTTTTGCCCATTTAAAATCAGGTTATTCTTCTTATTATTATTATCATTATTATTCTTTGCTATTGCATTGCTTGTGCTTTTTATATATTCTGGTTATTAACCCCTTGTCATATAGATGGTTTGCAAACATTTTCTGTCATCCAGTAGGTTGTCCCTTCACTTTGTTATTGTTTCCTTCACTGTGCAGAAGCTTTTTCGCTTGATGTAATCCTATTTGTCTATTTTTGTTCTGGTTGCCTGTGCTTTTGAGGTCTTACACAAAAATATCTTTGCCCAGACCAATGTACTGGACTATTTTTCCAATGTTTTCTTCTAGTAGTTTCATAGTTTCAGGTCTTAGATTTAAGCCTTTAACTCCTTTTGACTTGATTATTCTCCTGCATATGGTTATCCAGTTTTCTCAGAACTATTTATTGAAGAAACTGCCCTTTCCCCATTGTATGTTCTTGGCACCTTTGTTGAAAATGTGTTGGCTGTGAGTACATGGATTTATATCTGGCTTCTCTATTCTGTTCCACAAATAGATATAACTGACATTTGCAGAACATTTCACCCAGCCGCTACAGAATACATATTATTTCTATCAGCACATGGAACATTCTTCAGAATAGAACATATGTGAGGCCATAAAAGAAGTCAACAAATTTCTAAAAAGTAGAAATTATATCAAGTATTTTCTCTGGCCACAGTGGAATAAAACTAAACAAGAGGAACCTCAGAAAATACACCAACACATGGAAATTAAGCTACATGCTCCTAAACTACAAGATGTCAATAAAGAAATTAAGAAGGAGATTAAAAAACTCCTTGAAACAAATGAAAATGGAAATACAACATCCCAAAATCTATGGGATAGAGTAAAAGAAATACTAAGAGGAAGTTTATAGCAATAAATCCCTATATCAGAAAAGTAGAAAGATTTTAAATAAACAACCTAATAGTGCATCTGAAGGAACTGGAAATGCAGGAATAAACCAAACCCAAAATTGGTAGAAGGAAAGAAAGAATAAAGATCAGAGCAGATATAAATGCAACTGAAATTTTAAAAATACACAAGATCAATAAACAAAAAGTTGTTTTTTTGAAAAAATAAAATCAATAAACCTTTAGTTATACTAAGAGAAAATAAAAAGAAGACCCAACTAAATAAAATCAGAAACAAAAAGGGAGGCATAACAACTGAGACTACAGAAATACAAAGAATCGTTAGAGACGATTACAGACAACTATATGCTAACCAACTGGAAAATCTAGAAGAAATGGATAACTTCCTGGTTACATACAACTTACCAAGTCTGAACCATGAAGAAATGGAAAGCCACAACAAACTGATAACTGTAACAGGATAAAAGCCGAAGTCAAAAACTTTCTCATCAAAGAAAAGCCCAGGGCTTGACAGTTTCACTGCCAAATTCTACCAAATATTTAAAAAAGATCTAATGTCAATTCTATTCAAACTCTTCCGAAAAAATTGAAGAGGAGGGAATACCTCCAAACTCTTTCTACAAGGCCAGTATAACCTTGATACCGAAACCAGACAAGAACATAATGAAACAAGAAAACTACCAGCCAGTATCTCTGATGAATACAAATGAAAAAATCCTCAACAAAATACTAGCAAACTGAATTCAATAACACATTAAAAATATTTGTATCATGAAGTGGGATTCATCCCAGGAATGCAAGGATTGTTCAACATACGCTAATCAATAAACATGATACATCACATTAACAGAATCCAGAACAAAAAACAAATGATCATTTCAATAGATGATAAAAAATCATTTGATAAAATTCAACATTGCTTTATGGTAAAAACCCTCAACAAACTTGGCATAGAAGGAATATACCTCAAAATAATAAGGACATGTATGACAAACTCACAGCTAACATATTACTGAATAGGGAAAAATTGAAAGCCTTTCTTCTAAGATCTGAAACAAGACCAGGATGCCCACTTTCACCACTTTTATTCAATATAATACTAGAAGTCCAGACAGAGCAACTAGGCAAAGGAAAGAAATAAAGGGCATGTGGAATTGGAAGGAAGAAATCAAATTAGCCTTGTTCACAGATGATATAATCTTATATTTAGAAAAACCTGAAGACTCCATCAAAAAAAGGTTACAACTATTAAACAAATTCAGTAAAATTGCAGGATACAAAATCAACACACAAAAATAAGTAGCATTTATATATGCCAACAGCCAACAATCTGAAAGAGAAATCAAGCAAGCAATACCATTTACCATAGCTACAAAAGTTATAAAATACCTAGGAGTCAACTTAACCAAAGTAGTAAAAGATCTATGCAACAGAAACCACAAAACCCTGATAAAAGAAATAGAAGAGGACACCAAAAATATGGAAAGATAGTCTATTCTCGTGGATAGGAAGAATTAATATTGTTAAAATGACAATGCTACTCAAAGGAATTTACAGATTCAATGCAATCACTATCAAAATACCAATGACATTGTTCACAGAAATAGAAAAAATAATCTTAACATTTATATGGAAACACAAAAGACCCCGAATAGTCAGAGCAATCCTGAAGTAAAAGAACAAAGCTGAAAGTAGCCATATGTGGTGGTGCACACCTGTAATCCCAGCTATTCAGGAGGCTGAGGCAGGAGAATCACTTGAACCCAGGAGGTGGAGGTTGCAGTGAGCTGAGATCATGCCACTGCACTCCAGCCTGGGTGACAGAGTGAAACTCTGTCTCAAAAAACAAACAAACAAACACAAAACAAAACAAAACAAAAAAAACAAAGCTGGAAGTATCACACTACCTGATTTCAAAATAGACTACAAAGCTATAGTTACCAAATCAGCCTGGTACTGGCATGAAGACAGACACATAGACCAAGGGTCATTCATTCTTGTTCTCTTTTGATTATACATTGTGATACCTATTCTTGGTTTTCTAGCTATCTTACCTTAGGAATGCCACATTCTATTAACTGTGTCTATAGGTATTTGTGGATTAGGGACCCCTGGTTTCCTATTTAGGGTAATTATCCTGACAATTAAGTGCTGCCCCTCTACTCTGCTATTCTGGGATCTTATCATCCCCATTGCTACTAAGTAGCCCAATTTATCATAGCATCTCTCACCATTGGCCCAGATTACAGAGGACAGTCACTAGGAGCTTAATGTTATTTCTGCTGCTCTTCCTAGAGCATTTAATGCAGTCTTGGTAAATGGAGCATCCTTCAAAGCCTTCCTGGAGAACAGAGTTAAAGCCAATAGGTTTTCTGGTTTGATATACATATCCATAAGGCATGGACACTTTTGTTAATCTTTTGATCCCTTCTTCTAGAACATCCTATCACAGTTCTGGCATCTCTAGTTCATATAATTAGGTCCATCACTTTTCCTGAGCACCTAAAAACAGCATGTTAGAAACTTCTCCTGGGCCGCTTGCCAAGATATTAAATGCTATAAAATGAGAGAGTGTCCCATGCCAATAAAATCCCCCGTACCCGGCTTTATATTCCAACTTTTCAATCCAGCACCTTCAGGGTCTGCTCCTGAGAAGATGCTCAACTTCCTGCTGGTATATATTAGCCAGTCCAGAAACTTCACTGGGACCTATTATCCTGGTCATCCTTTGGAATACTTACCACTTCCCTTCCTGGGTCACGCTGAGATTTGAGGCTACCTATTAGTCTGATGGCTAGAAGAGGAAATGAGGAAGATTCTGAGGAGGAAAAGTGCTGTCTTGTAGGGCATCCACCTCACTAGACCCATGTACGGTCTTCAAGCTGTGGACCCCCATTAACTTCCAACAAGGGGGATGGGCCACTCTTTAGGGTCAGAGGGCTCAAGGGAATTTCAAAGTTCTCGGTTACATCTATGCAAATATCTCTAATCCAGGTCTCAAGATTCTGCTCTGTGCTTCTGTTCCTCTATGTCACAGAAGACTCACCTAGGCTGAGCAATCAATCTTCCTTGAAGTTCTGCTATCTTCCAATTAAGTCCTGTGTCTGGTCTCCAGCTCAGTCCAACTCCAGCTGCAGAGAAAAAAGTCACTGAAACCTTGCCAAAGAGATCTTCTGATTCTCACACTCATCTTTTAATTGGTGATTTATCAATCTGAGCCTGTGGTTTTCTCCCTTCCATTCATCTGTGGCAGGGGTCCCCAATCTCTGGGCTGTGGACTGGTACCGATCCTTGGCCTGTTAGGAACTGGGCTACACAGCAGGTGAGTGGTGGGTGAGCGAACATTACTGCCTGAGCTCCCCTCCTGTCAGATCCACAGCGGCATCAGATTCTCATAGGAGCATGAACCCTACTGTGAAGTGTGCATGCGAGGGATCTAGGTTGTGCGTTCCTTATAAGAATCTAACTAATGAGGGATAATCTAAAGTTGAACAGTTTCATCCCAAAACCATCCCCTGCCACCACAGGCCTTGGAAAAATTGTCTTCTATGAAACTGGTTCCTGGTGACAAAAAGGTTGGGAACCTCTGATCTATGGTGTTTAGCAACAGCTTCTCAGTTCCACAGATCTTACCATTACTGTTTCTCCTATATCTCTTGTTTTAGTCAGTTTGGGCTGTTATAACAAAAATGCCATCTACTGCATGGCTTAAACAACAGAAATCTGGCTGGGTGTGGTGGCTCATGCCTGTAGTCCCAGCACTTTGGGATGCTGAGGCAGGTGGATCACCTGAGGCCAGGAGTTCGAGACCAGCCTGGCCAACATGGTGAAACCCCATCTCTACTAAGAATACAAAAATTAGCTGGGCATGGTGGTGCACTCAGGAGGCTGAGGCTGGAGAATCGCTTGAGCCTAGGAGGTGGAGGTTTCAGTGAGCCAAGATCGCACCATTGCACTCCAGTCTAGTTAAAATTTAGTTAGGAGAAAGAAAAAAGAAAGCCAGAAATCTATTTCTCACAGTTATAGAGGCTGGAAGTTCAAGGTCAAGGTGCCAGCTGATTTGGTTCCTGGTGAAGGCTCTCCTCCTGGTCTGCCGACAGATGCCCTCTGACTGTATCCTTACAAGGCAGAGAGAGATCATTTCCCTCATATTTCTTTTTTATAAGGGCACTAATTCCATCAAGACAGCCCCACCCTCATGACCTCATCTAAACCTAAGTATCTCCCCAAGGCCTCACCTCCTAATATTATCCCCCTGGGGATTCAGTCTTCAATGTATGAATTTGTACCGATACAAACATTCAGCCCATAGCACCTCTCAAACTTCAGAAACATTGCACAGGTAAGTGAATCGCCCTTTCACCTATATATTGCCCCAGTGAACACAGATAAGACTCTTAGCAATTGCACTGTTATAGCATGCCAGGGATGCCCCTGTTACCGGTGATGGGTTCCTCATGGCCATCGGGCTGGCGAGGGATCCAACTCCAGATTCCTGCCCTTAGGGTCTGTTTCCTAGAGCTGCTTCGCCAGGACCCAACCATGCCCACACCCGGATCTCAGCCTGCCAGCCCCCAGAATCGTGAAAAATGAATGTCTGCTGCTTATAGGTCAGCTCTAAGGTAGCTTGCTTAGCAGCCTGAACAGACTAAAGTGGATAGAGATCTACATTTGTTTGAGCACACGCTAGGCACCATCTTCCCATGGCATATTCCATATTGATTTCTTTGTTGCCCTGTCTATTTATCATCTAACAACCCATCGCCAACTTCATCCTCAGATAAACCAAAGTGACTTGTCATGTTCAAAATCCAATTTGGTTAAAAACAAAGCTGAGAGAAAAAAAACAGGTCAAAGAGGCAATGAGGGTGAGGAAAAACAAAGGCAAGCCAGGGTGAAATTGGTGTGTGAAATTTTGACAAAGAGGTCAGGAGACTTGGTAGAGCTGGGTCATAGATTTTGTGCTGACCTCTCTAGCAGCCAATGCTGAGAGCCATGTGATCAGGCACGTGATTGTGTCTGCAAGGTAGCACTAAATGGGTTGCTCAGAAGCCCATATGGTGCTAAGAGTAGCAAGATTATTTCTGGTACTAAAGCTGAGCCTGGTTGGGCACAGTAGTTCATGCCTATAATCTCAACACTTTGGGAGACTGAAGTAGGAGGATTGCATAAGCCTAGGAATTTGAGACCAGCCTGGGCAACATAGTGAGACCCCATCTCTACACACACACACACACACACACAAACACACACACACACACACACACACACACACACACACACACAATAGCTGGGCATGGTGATGCTTACCTGTGGTCCTAGCTGCTTGGGAGGCTAAGGTGAGAGGATCACTTGAGTCAGTCAGGTCAAGGCTGCAGTGAGCTAAGATTGTGCCACTGCTCTCTAGCCTGGGTGACAGTGAGACCTGTCTCAAAATAAGTAAATAGGTAAATGAAATACAGCTGAACCTTCTCCCACAAGTCTTCATGGATGACACATGGGAGGATGACACTGTGTGAAGCAGTGAGCAACGTCCTCAACAATGCCTGCCCAGTAACCACAGTGGGTGGTTTCTTAAAGCAGCTCAGTTGAGGCCCAGATAGAACAAAAAAGTGGAGGAAGAATGAATTTGCACTCTCTTCTACGTCCATCTTCTCCTGCCCTTGGACATTGGACCTCTTTGTTCTCTGGCCTTTGGACTCCAAAACTTACAGGAAGTTACACCATCAGCTTCCTGGTAGTATAAGTTCCGGAGCCAATTCCCCTAATAAGCCCTCTCTTATAGCTTTCTATATATCCTAACAATTCTGTTTCTGCTGTTCTTAGCACTGAATTTATCACACCAGAATGAAACATCATAACCTCTTTTTTAAGGGGGATTAGGTGGGATAAAATGTAGACTAGTTAGGAGAATGGGTAGACTCTAACTTCTCCATCAGTACTTTGTTTTCTTCTCAACTGAGCTTCTAACCCTGCTGCATGGTGGTCCCTGTAGTTCTATTTTTTGTTGCCAGTGAGGTGTTCACCTGTCCATTTGTACAGCCATCCACACCAATCTGCATTAACACTCTCTCCAACCCTGTGAATTAAGCCTTACTGTCTCCATTTTCAGTGGGGCCAAGAGGACTGAGTGACTTGCCCAAATTACCCAAGTAGTAAGTAGCAAACTTGGGTTCCAAACCCCCATCAGCCTGATTCCAAAGCTTGGATCTTTCCCTGCACCATACCAGTTGGATTCTTGTCCTCCAGGTGGCAGACCCAGGGAAAGTAAGAACTGAATGGTTTTACTAATCTTACAAAATGGCAGCCAAGCCATGTCCATTCAGATATCAACTTCCTCACTCTCCAGTAGTCCCCAGGAACCCATGGAACAGCCTGTTCTTTTGACTGGATGGCAACCAGGAGGAATTTCTGTGTTTTCTAACCAGGCCTCACCCTTCTCACACTTGCCTTTGTTTGCTGCTCTCTAGTTTCTCAAACACAACCCCCCTGATTGACTGTGGGTGGCTGCCAAACACATCTGGCCCAAAGGAAGTCCAGAATAGCAGTCAGTCATCCAGGTGTTGGGTAGACCTAGCCAATGGGTCATCTGCGGTCAACAGTGCCACCCCCTGATTGGCCTGGGTCTGGCCCTCCCCCCTCTTCTTTGGAGCCTTCCTTCTGAGGACAGGCCCTGGGGAAGGGGGAGGGAAAGGGACTGGGCCAAACATTTGGAAACGCTTGCCTTTCAAAGAGTCAGCCAAAAAAAGAGAGATTTAAACATTTCTTCTACCACACAATTGAGGAAAGCTTAGCTTGAAATTTCATAATTTTTATGCTTCATTAAGATAAAGTGTCATAGATAATGTGCAGAACTTTGGTTTGTCTGCAGAGGTAGAACCCACCATGGACCCCTAGCATGGGGAAGCTGCTGGGAACCCTGGAGGCTCCAGAGCAAACTCCTCTTATGTAGATGTGGAAATAGCCCAGAGAGGGAAAGGGACTTGTTACACTACAGGGTGGCCATGCTGGGATTTGACTCTGGGGATCAGGAAAACCAGTGCTGTTCTTTCCCTACTCCTGCCTCTCAGCCTCTCCAGCCTGTCCATCAAATGGAAGGGGTCTCCAGGCTGGGTGGTGCAGACTGAGCAGGAGGAGGGGCACAGAGTACCAAGGCCTTGTTCAGGAATGGGCAGTCACACTGTCTGAAGATCACTGGCCATGCATTTCCAGAAAATGCCATTGTTTTACAAATCCTACTGTTTAAGTTCAGGAATGGGCAGTCACACTGTCTGAAGATCACTGGCCATGCATTTCCAGAAAATGCCGTTGTTTTACAAATCCTACTGTTGTTTAAGTTCAGGCTCCAGGCAAGCCAGTTTGCTGAGCACCCTTGGCTAGGTGCTTGTGGGATTATCATGACTGACCCTGTCTGTTGGCTCTCTAAGGTTGCAGATGAGTAATCCAAGGCAGAGGGAGATGATGCAACCCAACAATGAGAGAAAAGCCAGGATTTGTACCCAGATGATTCATTCCTTCCTCTGGGCACCTGCAAGAGTTTTCAACAACAAAAAATAACATTGTATGTAGCCAAGGTTTTGTAGGAAGCAGAATCCCACCCAAAAGGGCCCATAGAGGCAAAATTTAATGAAGGAACCATTTACAGAACTGTGGGCAGGGTTAAGGAAGCTGGCAAGGGATGTAGAGGCTCTCGGTGCTGGTAACGCAGGAAGTCATCACCTCCTTTGGGTCTGAAGAGATGAGGGAGGAAGTAGTGGTATTGGCAGCCAGTAAGAACTATGGCAGGGACCAGGGGTTGCCCTGCTGCCAGCCGCTTCTGGGATTTGTCTGGCCCCTGAAATGGTTTAAGTTTACAACTTGGTCATCAGAAAGCAAATCCCCTCCCTCTCTCCTTCTCTCCCACCACCCCCAACACCTGTCAGTGTCCTCACTGGCTGACCCCACCTGGAAGGCAGGGTGCAGGGGACCCTGAGTGCTGCAGCCTATGGATTAGATCCCAAGGATACACCTGCTTTGAACCATATGGCATTTTCTACAAAAAACAGGCTTCATTGCCAACACTTAGAAGTTGGAGCCATCACATAAAATTCTGTATTTCTGGCTTCTTTTGAGGAAGAGAGAAGATTTGTTATCACTGGAACTGTGTTCCGTTTGGCAGAGGGAGGCTGAAGTTGAACCACTGCCCTGATTAGGGCTGCTGTGTTTGCCAGCCCCACTCCCTGTCCTCTCAAACCCTACCCCTTTTTGTCCATTGATGACTCCCGCCTGGGACCCAGAGTTGGTCATGTGCTTGGAGGGAAGGTAGAAAAGCAGGGCCAGGGAGGAGGAGTGACTCCGCCAGGGTCACCAGCACCAGGACTGGCACTCAGGTCCTCTCTCCTGCAGCCCCAGTTGAATGTTCTTTCAAGGCGTATGTTGCTGTCTTGTGGGGGCTTTGCCTACTGCTGTGATTCCCCCCAGTCCCAACTGGATCTGGGACTCTTCAGCCTGTGCCATGGGGGCACAGACCCCTGCAGAGCCCACCCTTTTCTGAGTTCATGTCAGAGGATTGGGTTTCATTTCAGGGTCAGCATCTCCCAGGCGTGCAGCTGGAGGAGGAAGCCACCAGCATACGGGCAGATCTGCAGGTGGCTGGGCTCCAGGTTTAACAATGATCCCTCCCATTTATCCTGGTGTTTCATACCTCACAGTACCCTCACAGCCAGTGTCCTGTGAGCTCTGGGATGGCCCCGCCAGATGAAGGAGGAGGGCTCCAAAGGGGGCTGCTGGGTCGGGGGGCAGGTGGCAGCGCTGGGGCTGAGCTGGGATTTGACTCCCTATGTAGGTCGTCTTGTCAGGAGCTCACTGCAGCAGTCTCCCTGGAACTGGGTCCAACTTGTTGTGAGGAGGGGTCACCAATTTAGCTTTGGATTTTTCTAGATTGGCTGCATGGTAGTCCCAGGTCAGGTCACTGAATGACAGGGCACAGGAGTCTACACCCAGACTCTTAGAGAAGCTGGGCTCACACTTTGGTGCCCTCTAATGCCACCACCCCTGCCCATCTATGGCCTACATTCTCAACTGAGGCAGCAATAATCCCAGCTCCAATCTGGACTCTGCTTCCTGGAGTGGCAGGGTCTGTCCTGCTCTGGCAGCACCTGCCCCTGCAACTTCATTCAGGGATCTCCTTCCTGCATTTCTTGTCCAAGGCTTGGACTCACTCCTGTCAGCTCCAAAAACCCATGTCTTCCTCATTTCCAAGGTGGAACAGGGGCTAAAATCTTTTAAGCCCACTCCCACAGAGTGAGGGCAGAAGAAGAGTGCTCATTCCATATCACAGGTTGTGGAGTCCCTGGAGAGTCAGATCTGCCCTCAGCCACTATGTAAAACCCACCTCCTGCACAGTTCCATTTGTCTTCAAAGCCTTTGTCATCATTTGCCACATGATACGTTAACTTGCTTGGTTTTCATTGTGTCTCCCTGTTCTCATGATAGTGAGTGAGTTCTCATGAGATCTGGGAAAAGCCACTCCCATGATTCAGTCTTCTCTACCTAGTCCTGCCCTTGACACATGAGGATTATTTAATTCAAGGTGAGATTTGAGTGGGGACACAGAGCCAAACCATATCATTCCACCCCGGCCCCTACCAAATCTCATGTCCTCGCATTTCAAAACACAATCATGTCCTTCCAACAGTCCCCCAAAGTCTTAACTCATTCCAGCAATAACCCAAAAGTGCAAGTCCAAAGTCTCATCTGAGACAAGTCCCCTCCACCTATGAGCCTGTAAAATCAAAAGCAAGTTGGTTACTTCCTAGGTACAATGGGGGTACAGGCTTTGGGTAAATACACCCATTCCAAATTGGAGAAATTGGCCAAAACAAAGGGGCTACAGGCCCCATGCAAGTGTGAACTCCAATAGGGCAATCATTAAACCTTAAATTTCCAAAATTATCTCCTTTGATTCCAGGTCTTACATCTAGGTCATGCTGATGCAAAAGGTGGGTTCCCATGGCCTTGGGCAGTTCTGCCCCTGTGGCTTTGCAGGGTACAGCCCTCCTTTCTGGCTGTTTTCACAAGCTGGCGCTGAGTGCCTATGGCTTTTCCAGGCACATGGTGAAAACTGTCAGTGAATCTACCATTCTGGGGTCTGGAGGATGGTGGTCCTCTTCTCACAGCTCCACTAGGCAGTGCCTTAGCAGGGACTCTGTGTGGAGGCTCCAACCCCACATTTCCCTTCCACACTACCCTAGCAGAGGTTCTCCATGACAGCCCCACTTCTGCAGCAGACTTCTGTCTGGACATGGAGGCATTTCCCTACATCCTCTGAAATCTAGGCGGAGGTTCTCAAACTTCAATTCTTGACTTCTGTGCACCTGCAGGCTCAACACCACATAGAAGCTGCCAAGGCTTGGGGCTTTCGCCCTCTGCAGCCATGTCCTGAGCTGTACCTTGGCCTCTTTTCACCATGGCTGGAGCTGCAGAGAGGCAGGGCACCAAGTCCCTAGGCTAAAGCATAACAAGAGTCACCTTTGCACCTAAGAAGTTCCCAATAAGTTCCTCATCTCCATCTGAGACCACCTCAGCTTGGACTTTATTGTCCATATCACTATCAGCATTTTGGTCAAAGCCATTCAACAAGTCTGTAGGATGTTTCAAACTTTCCCTCATCTTCCTGTCTTCTTCTGAGCTCTCCAAACTGTTCCAACCTCTGCCTGTTACCCAGTTCCAAAGTCACTTCCACATTTTCAGGTATCTTTATAGCAGCATCCCACTCCTGGTACCAATATACTGTATTAGTCCATTCTCATGCTGCCATAAAGAACTGCCCAAAACTGAGTAGTTTATAAAGAAAAGAGGTTTAATTGACTCGCAGTTCCGCATGGCTTGGGAGGCCTCAGGAAACTTATAATCATGGTGGAAGGTACCTCTTTACAGCACAGCAGGAGACAGAATGAGTGCCAAGCAAAGGGGGAAGCCCCTTATAAAACCATCAGATCTTGTGAGAGCTCACTCATTATCATGAGAACAGCATGGGCAAATTTGCTTCCACGGTTCAATTATCTCCATCTGGTCCCGCCTTTGACATGTGGGGATTATTACAATTCAAGGTGAGATTTGGGTGGGAACACAGAGCCAAACCATATCACTTCCCCTCTACATGATGTAAACTTTACAGGGGTGGGGACTGAACCTGTTAAGGTTCAGTGCTGTATCTTTTGTGCATGGAACAGTGTCTGGCATATCATAGGTGCTCCAAAGTATTTGTTAAATAAATAAATGCCCAAATATTGTTTGCCTCCTGTGGGGTGGGTGTCTGCCCCTCATCTCTCCCGTCTTTACCTGTCCCCACAGGTGCTGCCCCCACTCTGAGCTGTCAGCCCCACCCCCTGGCCACTCCAAACTAAACTATGATGCTGCTACCCCCATTGATTCTGGGGGATGCTACCTTGTATAACCCCTGACGTCATGCTCCCTGCTGGACTGGGCTAACATATGCCACAAAACCTAGATTAGTTAATAATGCAAGAAACACTTGCCCTGGGACCCCAGGGGGTAAGGCTTTGCCTTCTAAGTTTACAATCTAGGGGTTAGAGGGCAGAAAAACAAACAACAAACATGGCACCAGACATTGGGTGTGGCCTGGGGAGGACAACAATGTCACATCCTTCAAGGGCGGGATCTTGGTGAGTTGTTGGGTGTCTTCAGTTGCAGATGTCAGAAGCCAAATGTAACCAGCTTAAGTCCAGGAGGAACGTCTATTGGCTCAAGTCCTCAAAGATGGAAAAGGAGCCTGGACGTTGCAGAAAAGCCAGCTCAGCCGGAAACAGAGTGACATTTTCTCCACAAGAGTACCTGCTTCTGTTTGCACACTATGGCTTAGTTTTCTTCTGCTACAGTTAACTGGGGAGACATGCCCCTGGAGCGACATCTGACTCAAGAGGAAAGGGTCTTCTGTCTCCTGCTCCCCCCTGGAAAATCCTCTGGAAGGATGAGGTTGACTCCCCTGGGGTACGAGCTCCCCCTTGGGCCCAAGACTGTGGTCTAAGAGATGAGGCACCAGGCAGCCAGGAGGTCTCACACGCACCTCTGTGAGCAGAGAGACGGGGGCTGCTACCAGACAAGGAGGAAGAGGGCAGGGATTGCACAAAGGGCTCTCTCTAGGCACTCCCTGGGATCTGGGTCTGCAGCCATATCACACCTCCCTCTCCTTGGCCCACCTAGTTGGGCTTCTTCCTGCCTGGTGGCCCATGCTGCAGAAGACCTTCATGCCTTGCTGCTGAAACTGTACACGGTATCGCCCTGTGCCTAAGGCTACTGAGCTTCCACCCTGTCCCAGAGTCTAGATGCCCTCTGTCCTTACCTGCCCAACAGAATGGTCGCTGCTGCCTACCCACCAGCCTCTGCATATGCCCTCCCCACACCCCCGCCCCCACCCCCACAAAAGCAAACTCCTATTACCCTGTAACAGTCAGTGCAAGTGCCAGCTTCACCATTCTGAGCTATTCTTGGGGTCTCAATGCCCCAGGACCTCCTCAGGCTTCCTTAGGCCTCTGAGCCCAGCAGGCTGCAGAGCCAGGGACTGAGGGCTGGGCCATGATAGGTCCATGCCCTGGAGCGCGGATCTGCAGAGTGGCTCTTTTTGGCTGAGCAGGGGCCATCTTGGTTTAGTGCCTGGACTGGGATTATTTTCCTCTTTTCTCCCCTGGTGCATCTCTCCCTGCCTCCCTGTGCAGACGGGAACCCCGGGAAAGGCAACTGGAGCCCCACTTTAAGTGATGTGCAAAACATCCCAGGGGCCAGCAGGCTAGTGCAGTAAAGGAGAGGCTGTCGGGTGTGTGGGGGTAGGGAGGTGGGGGCTAGGTTCCCTTTACCTGGTTACCTTGGAGCCCATCTTACTAAAGAGGATGGCTTCATTAGCTAGGCCCTGGTGTCCCAGAGTTCTGGGTAAACAAATTATCTTGAGGATCCAACTTCCTGGGTGGCTTTGCCTGACTTCACTTCCTTGGAAGCAACCTTGAGTTCCTGGATACAGTTGTGCCTGCCACTTGCCACTCAGAGCTGTCCAGAGAGGACACACCAAGCACACCCAGAGTGGGAAGCTCTTGGAGGGCAGAAAGGCCCAGTGGTCAAAGTAAGCAGATGCAATAGAACAGGCTGAGGGAGCCCAGCAACAATAGCACCAAGAACCCACTGCAGGCCAGGCATCCAGAGAGCACGCTCTGTGCCCACATGCAGCTCACAGTCCAGTGGCTGGCTTGGCTGTGGGACGCCAGTGACTCACTCGGTACTGTTCAGTCCATGTGAATCATGGCGCCGCTGGTTGCCCAGGCCAGGCCCCCGGCCAACCTCTGCACAGCTGGGTAACATTAAGAACTTGGCGACGCCCGCAGCATGCAGCAGATCCTCTGGGCCCTCCTCTTGCTGTTGTTGTTGTCAGATGTTGATGAGAGTTTGGGAAGCAAGTAAGGAGCGTGTTCATTCTGGGCTGGGTCAAAACTGGGCCGGGCTGAAGGGCAGGGTGGGCCTGAGGTGACAGCCTGCAGGGCATCTGGCCCCTCTTTAGCTCAGTTGTCAGCTCTGAGCCGTGGCATCCTGGGTGCATTCATGATCTTCCCCATGCCCCAGGGTCCCCATCTATTAAAGGGGACATTGGGGGACCCTGGGAGGACTGGGTGAGAGTGT
Organism: Homo sapiens; assembly: GCF_000001405.40. Classification (NCBI taxonomy): domain Eukaryota; kingdom Metazoa; phylum Chordata; class Mammalia; order Primates; family Hominidae; genus Homo; species Homo sapiens. The sequence continues at coordinate 4,920,490 of NC_000004.12, forward strand.
ATATAGAGAATACCCAGAACAGTGCTGGTACATACCAGCTGCCCCACACACCTTGGCCATCCTGGGTGCCTCAGTCTCTCCTGTGTCCCTTTCTTCTCCCCCACCCTTCCCCGTCTGCCACCCCATTCACACATTCACACCAGCTACAGTTGGCGGGCATCCACGTTCTCTTGAGGGTCCACCTGCTTTTTCCCATCCTCTTTGTCTCCTCCCTCACCAAGCTTTTCTTAATATTTTAAGCTCTAGAGCCCTAGAATGTTCCAATTTCTAGCACTCTAGAACATTCTATGCCCCAACAAGCATGTGCCTCTTTGTCTTTGCTCACTAGATTCCCTCAGCCTTCAACACCTTGAGAGCTTGTTTGGAGGCCCTAGCAGGGGTGCAAAGCTACTCATATACCCTTGGCTGAAGACCAGTCCTCCTCTATCGGGGATTGTCGTGAGTGCAGCTTTGGGAAGGACGCATATGGAGTGGTGAGGGAGGAAGGGGACACCTGCCTAGCCAGCCAGATCAGCCGAATCAACTTTGGCGATCAATGGGGTGACAGATGTCACAGCCAGATCACCCTCACATCCCCCTAGCCTTGAACACCTTTCCCCATCTTCTTCACCTGGCACTTTTTCTTGTGGCAGGAGATGGCAGGATGAGATTGTGGTCTTCCATCCACACAGGTAAGTGACAGTCCTCAGCTCAACTCACCTCCTCTGTGTAACCTTCCTAACCTCACCTCCCCACCCAGGTGGACTCAGCTGTGTCTTCCTCTGTGCCCCATGGAGAGGTGGACATCTGCACCCCACAGTGGCCCACCCCATTGCTCTGTGCTCACTTCCAATTTCCTCCCACTTAGGAGCTCCTGCACAGCAGACAGCCACTGGGGCAAGCTTGTGGGGGCATCCTCCCACACTTTTTGTAAAACTAAATGAAGGACTAACAGGAGGTGCGGAAAACGCTGGCTTGGCAATTAGGAGAGCAAAGCTTCCATGTTCTCCCACACCCCCAATCTTTGTCCCAGACCTTGTCAGGCCTTGCTTTCTATTTGAGGACCCCAGGACTCTGAGAAGACCCAAAGCCAACCTGCTCAGTTGCCGGCTGAAAACCTCAAACTATCAAGAACATTGAACATGGTCTCCTTGGGTGCATTCAGGAGCTTTATGAATGCTCCAATTACCCTGTAGTCACGTGGTAGGAGAGAGAGATGGAATTGGGAAGAGACCTGAGAAATTGTTTTTTTTTTTTGAGATGGAGTTTTGCTCTTGTTGCCCAGGCTAGAGTGCAATGGTGGGATTTTAGCTCACTGCAGCCTCAGTGTTCTGGGTTCAGGTGATTATCCTGCCTCAGCCTCCCAGATAGCTGTGAATACAGGCATGCACCACCATGTATTTTTAGTAGAGACGGGATTTCATCATGTTGCCCAGGCTGGTCTCGAACTCCTGACCTCAGGTGATACACCCACCTTGGCCTCCCAAGTGCTGGGATTACAGGTGTGAGCCACAATGACCAGAAAGACCTGAGAAGTTACCGTCATATTTCAGTTAATGAAATCCTTTGACAGCTTTCCGCTTTGAGTCCCCTATTGCAAGTACATCTGCAGGGAGGTGTGGAAGTGAGGCAAGCAGGGGATGTGGGGAGAGGTGGTGATATACCCAGATCCTTACAATCATCTAAGATTATTCAGGATTTATTTTTTTTAAAGTTATTCAAAGATACATCAAAGATTAGATTCCTGGAAATGGGGAGAGAGTTCAGTCTCTGGAAGGTTAACACTGTGCAGCTGATTTGTCCAAGTCCGACCGATTTTTCTCCCTGAAAGACTGCTGGGCCTTGGGACCCTGTAATTAGACTGCTGGGAGCCCCAGCCCTCTTCCTTCTATTTCCTTCTCTCCATTGCCTCCCGAATGTCCCAGCCTCCTCCTGGCTAGTAGATGCTGATGGCCCTGGGTGACCATCCAAGTGGCTCCAAGCCTTGGATTTCTCTCCTAGGAAATAGAGAATAATTTTTTTCTATCATGCTCATAGGGAGGATGAGGGCTGTGGAGACAAAGCGGGCTCAAACATGAGAAATAACAAATTTCCTATCAAATGTAAAATGGTGAAGAGGAAAAGGAAGTGGGCAGAGAGCTGGGGCTTGTGGTTCTGAGCCATGGCTTCCTCTAGTTCATGAAGGGATGGACCTTGTTTGAGTCACTCACCATCTCTGGACCCTGGTTTTCCTGATGTATGAATAAGTGTCTTGGACCTGCTCATTTGGGGGATGCGGCCAGCTTCCAACTTCCAGACCCTGCATACCCCATTTCCTGACTTAGCAGTCCTTGAGGAGAGGTTCCCATCAGGTTTGGTGAAAGTTTCTTTCCAAAGGATACTGCCATGGAATGCTGGGTCAGGATCTACTCAGAGGCTGTGGCTCCCTCCATCTCTGAGACCATGCTAGCAGACTGGGGCTCTCACATTTTAAAGCATGTTATGGAGTCTGACCTGGCCTGGATTTCCCAGCAGTGGGATTATGTCCTTCTGACTTGGCCATCTGAAGTAGGACCCCAGGCAAGAGGACACCTTCTCAGAAACTATTCATGTTTATGAAAGTCATTCATCACTGTTGAGGGAGTGAGGCTCCCTGTTCATGGCAGAATTTCCTCCAGGATTGGTTTCTCCAGCAGTGAGCTGTCTTGCCAATACCACATAGAAAGCTTGGGGGTTGAGGGTGCTAGTGTCTTGGGCCAATCATGATGTAGATGCAGACATTAGCTCCAGTTCCTTCCTGCTTTTGCCACCTCCTAGCCGTGTAGCCTCAGAGAAGTCACTTGACATTCCAAGGTCTCTGTGTCCCCATAGGCAGAATGGCAGGAAAGAAATTCCCCTGCCCATCTCATAGGGTGCTGTGAGGCTCAGAGGAAACAGTGGGTGGGAAGGGGCTTTATGATCTGTGAGGCATTATTGAGTCATGTGCTGGGGTGATTCTTGCTTGTCATGGTTACTTATCAATGATGATGACAGTACCCTGCTGTGACAAGTCCTCCAGTCAAGTCATGTTGCTGAGGACAGGAATGGTTGAAGTGGGGCAGACTTTCCCATGTGGCAGAATGGGAGGAGCACAGGAGTGGGAGTCAGACCTGGCTTCCAGCTCCACCACCCATCACTGCCACAATTGGGGTGGATCCTAAAATCTGATATGGTTTGGCTCTGTGTCTCCACCCAAATCTTATCTCAAATTGTAATCCCCACTTGTCGAGGGAGGGGGGTGATTGGATCATGGGGGCAGTTTCTCCCATGCTGTTCTCCTGATAGTGAGTGAGTTCTCACAGGATCTGATGGTTTTATAAGCGTTTGGAAGTTCCCCCTTTGCTCTTCTCTCTACTGCTGCCTTGTGAAGAAGGTGCCTGCTTCCCCTTTGCCTTCCGCCATGATTGTAAGTTTCCTGTGGCCTCCCCAGCCATATGGAACTGTGAGTCAATTAAACCTCTTTCCTTTATAAATTATCCAGTCTCGAGCAGTTCTTTATAGCAGTGTGAAAACAGACTACTACACCCCCAAACCTGGCTACCCCATCCATCAAAGAGGGACAATAATAGTGTTGCCCAATAATTAGATTGCATTCACCCAAAGCAGACCCCAATACATAGATTTGATTGAAGTAATTTATTTGGTGATGACCCAGAAGTCAGGGGTCAGGAAAGAGAAGTGAGGCAGAAAGGGAGGTAAATTCATTCTAGTGGGAAGATGGGCAGGTCTTCACCAAGGGCAACCGGGCTTGATCCCCCAGGAGCCTCTTCAGGGGTACATGGAGCACACCTCAGAGCTGCCCCACTGTGGGGTGAGGAACCTGGGTGTTTATCCATTATCTATGGGTTGCTCTTAGGGTGTTAGTGCCTCAGAACCCCCCCCCCCACACACCAGGTGTGTGGACCAAGCACACCCCTGTGACCAGAGAACACCCTCAGCCACAGAGATGCAGGAAGCCAAGGCTATGTTTGGGAACTCTAGGGTAGGCAGAGGGGCATGGGCCAAGAGCTGATGGCACCTGCTGTGCCAACTCGGTTGCTGTGAGGGTGATGCTTAGAACAGTGCCTGGCATGTGACCAGCTCCAGAGAACTCACTTATTATTATTATTAGCTATGGCCCAACTTCCTCCATTCCAAGTGAACCCAGAGTTTTTTTCAGCATCAACCTTTCTCCTCGTAGCCATGGGCTTCAAGGGAGGCTGACTCCAGCCCAGCTCCAGGGCTGGGGTCTTGGTTGGTGTCAGTCAGTCATGGCCCCCATCCATAGTGCCTTCTCTAAAATTTTCCTCAGGAGAGGAACTAGAGCACAGGTTTACCTCCAGGATAAGCTCACCTTCTCACACGGTCAATATCCGTGTGTCTCCTTCTTTAAGAGAATAAAAGACTAGGTTGGGGAAGTTCTCCTGGATAATATACTGAAGAGTGTTTTCCAACTTGGTTCCATTCTCCCAGCCACTTTCAGGTACACCAATAAAATGTAGGTTTGGTATTTTCATATAGTCCCATGTTTCTTGGAGGCTTTGTTCATTCCTTTTCATTCTTTTTTCTCTAATCTTGTCTCCATACTTAATTTCATTAAGTTGATCTTCAATATCTGATATCCTTTCTTCCACTTAATCAATTCAGCTATTGATACCTGTGAATTCTTCACAAAGTTCTCATGCTGTTTTTCGGCTCCATCAGGTCATTTATGTTCTTCTCTAAACTGCTTATTCTAGTTAGCAATTCCGCTAACCTTTTTTCAAGGTTCTTGGCTTTCTTGCATTGGGTTAAAACATGCTCCTTTAGCTCAGAGGAGCTTGTTATTGTCCACCTTCTGAAGCCTACTTCTGTCAATTCATCAAACTCATTCTCCATCCAGTTTTGTTCCCTTGCTTGCAAGGAGTTGTAATCCTTTGGAGAAGAAGAAGTGTCTGGTTTTCGGAATTTTCAGCCTTTTTATGCAGGTTTTTCATCATCTTCATGGGTTTATCTACCTTTGGTCTTTGATGTTGGTGACCTTCGAATGGGGTTTTCATGCAGACATCCTTTTTGTTGATGTTGATGCTATTCCTTTCTGTTTGTTAGTTTTCCCTCTAACAGTCAGGCCTCTCTGCTGCAAATCTGCTGAAGTTTGCTGGAGGTCCACTCTAGACCCTGTTTGCCTGGGTATCACCAGTGGAGGCTGTAGAGCAGCAAAGATTGCTGCCTGTTCCTTCCTCTGGAAGCTTCATCCAGAAGGGCACCTGCCAGATGCCATCTGGAGCTCTCCAAGATACTCCTCGAGAAGAGCAACCCCAAGACAGATAATCATTAGATTCACCAAGGTTGAAATGAAGAAAAAAGTGTTAAGGGCAGCCAGAGAGAAAGGTCAAGTTATCCACAAAGGGAAGCCCATACACTAACAGCAGATCTCTCTGCAGAAACCTTACAAGCCAGAAGAGAGTGAGCTTGAATATTCAACATTCTTAAAGAAAACAATTTTCAACCTAGAGTTTCATATCCAGCCAAACTAAGCTTCATAAATGAAACAGAAATAAAATCCTTTACAGACAAGCAAATGCTGAAGAATTTTGTCACCATCAGGCCTGCCTTAAAGAAGCTCCTGAAGGAAGCACTAAATATGGAAAGGAAAAACTGGTACCAGCCACTGCAAAAACATACCAAATTGTAAAGACCATCGACACTATGAAGAAACTCCATCAACTAATGGGAAAAATAACCAACTAACATCATAATGACAGGATCAAATTCACACATAACAATATTAACATTTGCTGGGGATAGGCCCCCAAATCTGGCCATAAACTGGCCCCAAAACTGGCCATAAACAAAATCTCTGCAGCACTGTGACATGTTCATGATGGCCATCATGCCCATGCTGAAGGTTGTGGGTTTACCAGAATGACAGCAAGGAACAACTGGCCCACCCAGGGTGGAAAACTGCTCAAAGGCATTCCTAAGCCACAAACAACAGCGTGAGTGGTCTGTGCCTTAAGGACATGGTCCTGCTGCAGATAACTAGCCAGAGCCCATTCCTTTATTTCGGCCTATCTGTTTGTTTCCCGTAAGGAATATTTTTAGTTAATCTATGATCTATAGAAACAATGCTTATCACTGGCTTGCTGTCAACTAATATGTGGGTAAATCTCTGTTCAGGGCTCTCAGTTGTGAAGGCTGTCAGTCCCCTGATTTCCCACTCCACACACTATATTTCTGTGTGTGTGTCTTTAATTCCTCTAGTGCCACTGGGTTAGGTTCTCCATGACTGAGCTGGTCTCGACAACTTTAAATGTAAACAGGCTAAATGTCCCAATTAAGAGATACAAACTGGCAAATTGGATAAAGAGTCAAGACCCATTGGTGTGCTGTATTCAGGAGACCCATCTCACATGCAGAGACATATATAGGCTCAAAATAAAGGGATGCAGGAATATTTACCAAGCAAATGGAAAGAAAAAAAAACAGAGCTTGCAATTCTAGTCTCTGATAAAATAGACTTTATACCAACAAAGATCAAAAAAGACAAAGAAGGGCATTACATAATGGTAAAGGGATCAATGCAACAAGAAGAGCTAACTTTCCTAAATACATATGCACCCAATATAGGAGCACCCAGATTCATAAAGCAAATTCTTAGAGACCTGCAAAGAGACTTAGACTCCCACACAATAATAGTGGGAGACTTTAACACCCCACTTTCAATATTAGATAAATCAATGAGACAGAAAATTAACAAGGATATTCAGGACTTTAACTCAACTCTGGACCAAGCAGACCTGGTAGACATCTACAGAACTCTCCACCCCAAATCAACAGCATATACATTCTTCTCAGCACCACATTGCACTTATTCTAAAATTGACCATGTAATTGGGAGTAAAACACTCCTCAGCAAATGCAGAAGCATGGAAATCATAACAAACAGTCTCTCAGACCACAGTGCAATCAAATAAGAACTCAGAATTAAGAAACTCACTCAAAACCGCACAACTATATGGAAACTGAACAACCTGCTCCTGAATGACTACTGGGTAAATAACAAAATTAAGGCAGAAATCAGGAAGTTCTTTGAAACCAATGAGAACAAAGATACAACATACCAGAATCTCTGGGACACAGCTAAACCAGTGTTTAGAGGGAAATTTATAGCTCTAAATGCCCACAGAAGAAAGCAGGAAATACCTAAAATTGACACCCTAGCATCACAATTAAAAGAACCAGAGAAGCAAGGGCAAACAAATTTAAAAGCTACTAGAAGATAAGAAATAACTAAGATCAGAGCAGAACTGGAGGAGATAGAGACACAAAAAACCTTCAAAAAATCAATGAATCCAGGAGCTGGTTTTTTAAAAAAATTAACAAAATAGATAGATTGCTAGCAAGACTAATAAAGAAGAAAAGAGAGAAGAATCAAATAGACACAGTAAAAAAATGATAAAGGGGGTATCACCACTGATCCCACAGAAATACAAACCACCATCAGAGAATACTGTAAACACCTTTATGCAAATAAACTAGAAAATCTAGAAGAAATGGATAAATTTCTGGACACATACACCCTCCCAGGACTAAACCAGGAAGAAGTGGAATCCCTAAATAGACCAATAACAAGTTCTGAAATTGAGGCAGTAATTAATAGATTACCAACCAAAAAAAGCCCAGGACCAGACGGATTCACAGCCAAATTCTCCCAGACGTACAAAGAGGAGCTGGTACCATTTCTTCTGAAACTATGCCAAACAATCAAAGAAGAGGGACTCCTCCATAACTCATTTTATGAGGCCAGCTTCATCCTGATACCAAAACCTGGCAGAGACACAACAAAAAAAGAAAACTTCAGGCCAATATCCCTGATGAACATCATTGCAAAAATCCTCAATAAAATACTGGCAAACCGAATCCAGCAGCAAGTCAAAAAGCTTATCCACCATGATCAAGTCAGCTTCATCCCTGGGATGCAAGGCTGGTTCAACGTACACAAATCAATAAATGTAATCCATCAGATAAACAGAACCAATGACAAAAACCACATGATTATCTCAATAGATGCAGAAAAGGCCTTTGATAAAATACAACATCCCTTCATGTTAAAAACTCTCAATAAACTAGATATTGATGGAATGTATCTCAAAATAATAAGAGCTATTTTGACAAACCTACAGCCAGTATCATTCTGAATAGGCAAAAGCTGGAAGCATTCCCTTTGAAAACCAGCACAAGACAAGGATGCCCTCTCCCACCACTGCTATTCGACATAGTATTGGAAGTTCTGGCCAGGGCAATTAGGCAAGAGAAAGAAATAAATGGTACTCAAATAGGAAAAGAGGAAGTCAAATTGTCTCTGGTTACAGATGACATGATTATATATTTAGAAAACCCCATCGTCTCAGCCTAAAAACTTCCTAAGCTGATAAGCAATTTCAGCAAAGTCACAGGATACAAAACCAACGTGCAAAAATCACAAGCATTCCTATATGCCAATAATAGACAAACAGAGAGCCAAATCATGAGTGAACTCCCATTCACAATTGCTACAAAGAGAATAAAATACCTAGGAATACAACTTACAAGGTACGTGAAGGACCTCTTCAAGGAGAACTACAAACCACTGCTCAAGGAAATAAGAGAGGACACAAACAAATGGAAAAACATTCCATGCTCATGGATGGGAAGAATCAATATCATGAAAATGGCCATACTGCCCAAAGTAAATTATAAATTAAATGCTATCCCCATCAAGCTACCACTGACTTTCTTCACAGAATTAGAAAAAACTACTTTAAATTTCATATGGAACCAAAAAAGAGCCCATATAGCCAAGACAATCCTAAGCAAAAAGAACAAAGCTGGAGGCATCACACTACCTGACTTCAAACTATACTATGAGGCTACAGTAACCAAAACAGCATAGTACTGGTATTAAATCAAATATAGAGGCCAATGGAACAGAACAGATACCGCAGAAATAATGCCACACATCTAAAAACATCTGATCTTTGACTAACCTGACAAAAACAAGCAATGGGGAAAGGATTCTCTGTTTAATAAATGGTGTTGGGAAAACTGGCTAGCTATATGCAGAAAACTGAAACTGGACCCCTTCCTAACATCTTATACAAAAATGAACTCAAGATAGATTACAGATTTAAATGTAAGACCTAAAACCATAAAAACCCTAGTAGAAACCCTAGGTAATACCATTCAAAACATAGGCATGGGAAAAGACCTCATGTCTAAAACACCAAAAGCAATGGCAACAAAAGCCAAAATTGACAAACCGTATCTAATTAAACTAAAGAGCTTCTGCACAGCAAAAGAAACTAGCATGAGTGAACAGGCAACCTATAGAATGGGAGAAAATTTTTGCAATCTATCCAACTGACAAAGGGCTAATATCCGGAATCTACAAGGAACTTAAGCAAATTTAAAAGAAAAAGCAAACAACCCCATCAAAAAGTAGGCAAAGGATATGAACAGTCACTTCTCAAAAGAAGGCATTTATGTGGCCAACAAACATGAAAAAAAGCTCATCATCACTGGTCATTAGAGAAATGCAAATCAAAACCACAGTGAGAGAGTGTAAATTAGTTCAGCCATTATGGAAGACAGTGTGGTGATTTCTCAAGGATCTAGAACCAGAAATATCATTTGAAACAGCAACCTCATTACTGGATATATACTCAAAGGATTATAAATCATTTTACTATAAAGACACATGCACACGTATGTTTATTGAAGCACTATTCACAATAGCAAAGACTAGGAACCAACCCAAATGCCCATCAATGATTAACTGGATAAAGAAAATGTGGCACATATACACCATGGAATACTATGCAGCCATAAAAAAGGATGAGTTCATGTCCTTTGCAGGGACATGAATGAAGCTGGAAACCATGATTCTCATGCAAACTAACACAGGAACAGAAAACCAACACCACATGTTCTCACTCATAAGTGGAAGTTGAACAATGAGAACTCATGGACACAGGGAGGGGAACATCAGACACTGGGGCTTGTTGGGGGATGAGCGGCTAGGGGAGGGATAGCATTAGGAGAAATGCCTAATGTAGATGATGGGTTGATTGGTGCAGCAAACCACTATGGCAAGTGTATACCTACGTAACCTGCACGTTCTGCACATGTATCCCAGAACTTAAAGTATAATAATAATAAAAAAAGAAAACAAAAGGCTTTGGCATTTTTCCTTTAGTACCCTCCCTGTCTTCACAAAGGTCTCGGGTTTGCAGTCAATGTGCCTGTTTCTTGTTCTGAAGTCTGGAGGGCTGGGCCTAGAAAGCAGGAAGGCAGTCATTTGTGATGAAACTGAGAAAGTTGGATGAAACTTCCACATTCTTGCAAATTCACACCTTCTCTGAGTGCTGCACTTAGCCACGTGCTAAGTATTTCAGTGCCTTCTGGGGGCCTGGGAGGCTGGATGAAATTATTGAGTTATGAAGCAATTTTACTTGGAATGAATAGTGAATTTTTTTTCTTGCAACAAAGAGACACCAACGTGTATTTTTGGTTTTTGGTTTTTGTTTTTGTTGTTTTTTTTTCCTTTGCAATTAATTTTAGGAAGTACTTGTGAATGCAATCAAGGTGAGGGTGGACAAAGTCATACTCGGCATTGTCTCAGAGCTGCAGAGCCAAGCAACAGCCTTAATGAACAAAGCCACATGGTCTTGGGGTTGGAGGGAAGGTTTATAACTGACTCAAGGCCTCAGCAATTGTGGGACACTGAGGGCTCACTCAGGCCCAGAGATGTGGGGAACCCTGGAGGCTGGGAGGCTTCCTTGACCCCTGCATAGAAAAACAATGCATCAGGGAGAAAGCCCTTCACTTTTGCTGCTTTATAATGGCCTGATGGAGCTATGTGGACCCTTCAGGTAAATTGGGACACTGGCTATTATAAAAGAGGTGCACAGGCAGTGAGGGGGAGAAGTTAATAATATTAATAATAATTCTGATGATTACTCTGCACGAGGCACTATTTCTATTCCCTATAGCTCTCCTGCAAGATAGACATTACTAGGCCCATTTTTATGTGCAAGGAAATTGAGCCTCAGAGCATTAAGTAACTTGCCCTGGAGCATGTGTCTGGTAGCAGGGCAATCAACTGTCCCAATTTGCTTGGGACTGTCGTGGTTTTAGCACTGAAATTTCTGCATCTCTGGAAACCTTCTATTCTGGGCAAACTAGGACAGTTGGTCACCCTAGAGGAGTCAGGGCCAAGATGACAGCCAGGTCCACCTGGTTCCCAAGACTGTTGCTCAACACCATACCAGCCTCATATGTAAGGCAAAGCTCTTTCCCATAAGGCCGCATGAATAGGAAGCTTCAGAAGAAGAATTTGAACCTAGGACTGTCTTCCTCCAGAGTGGGTATTTTCTTACCAGGCCATCAAGACAGGAGCACCTGACTGTTGATACACAATGGCAGAAGGTTCCAGAATACCTGTAGCCCTGTGGTGCTTCTGTGAACCGATAGGTAGGCCTAGTGGTTATGCCTTTCCAGGGGCACACATATTCCTGGGGGAGAAGCTGGAGTCTTTGCAGCATCTGCATCCTGGCCCTGATTTCAGGCCAGGCCTGGTGGAGAGCAGGGATGTCCTAAAGCTTTGAGGAGTGAAGGAGGGAGGAGACTGCACACAAGTTTGCTTTCATTTAAAGAGCAACACCAGGCTGGGCACGGTGGCTCAGCAAAATGCTGTAATCCCAGCACTTTGGGAGGCCAAGGCGGGTGGATCACCTGAGGTCAGGAGTTTGAGACCAGCCTGGCCAACATGGTGAAACCCCATCTCTACTAAAAACAAAAATAAAAAAATTGGCCGAGCATGGTGGTGGGTGCCTGTCATCCCAGCTACTTGGGAGGCTGAGGCAGGAAAATCCCTTGAACCCGGGAGGCAGAGGTTGCAGTGAGTTGAGATCGCACCACTGCACTCCAGCCTGGGGTGACAGAGCAAGACAATAAATAAATAAACAAACAAAGAGCAACACCAATGTTCAACTGCTCAATAATCGGCAGACACAAATACAGATATAAAATAAAGACCAATTTTAGTTGAGGTGTCACTTCTCTTTGTCTCTCTGTCTTTCTCGCTCTCTCTCTCTCTTTCTCTCTCTCTACATACAATGTGTATAAATAATATATAACATATTCTGTCACCATATTTATATGCTCACAAAAGTTTTTCAAGCTGTTTCTCCTTCCTTGAAGCTGTTTTGAATTTATGAGCAACTAGAGTAGAAAACTTATTCTTCATTGTGGCTGGCATTAAACATCACATTTAGCTCCTTGTCCTAATTATCCCTAGATTTGTTTCTATGTTTTGCTACTCCCCGGAATCCCTGTCTTTCCAACCTCCCTGGTTCCAGGACCCCTGGGTCCTCATTCCTTGTAGGTAGAAAAGATCCCAGATGGAAAGATGTGCCAGCCGAGTCTATTTCAAGTGACTTTGCACCTTGGCTGTTGGCACACTGCTGGTGTGTTCTGATATCTGTTCTCCCCTCTTTCTACGGTAATAAAAGCCTGACGTTTTGGCTGAGCACACAGCCACCCCTGAAGTAAAGACTACATTTAGCAGCATTCTTTGCAGCCAACTGTGGCTCTTTGACTAAGTTTTGGCCAAAGGATATGAGTGTGACTTATACAAGCTCTGAGTTATGCCCTTAAAGGGAAGCCTTATACCCTCTCCAGCACCATTTCTTCTCTTCCTGCTAGTTGGAATACAAATGTGTTGGTGAACTCTTTGGGAGAATTTCTTCATTTATTTAACTGGGATAATCTTGAATAAAAAAGCAAACAAAGAAAAAAGACTCCATGGTGAATAACCAGCAGAAATAAAAGACAATAGAAATAGACCTACAAAGATGTCAGATATTCGAATTATCAGAGGCTGACCACAAAACAACATCATAGAGATGGCAGAACAACATCCTGGGAGAAGCTTGGGTTCCTGATACCTTGGGGGCTGCCTGGCTAGCCTGCATATGTAAGGGAGAAGTCAGTGTCTAACTTGGGCTTCTGCTATGGTAACTGACACCATGTCCGAGTAGCATACTGCTTCTCTGTAGCAGCTAATTTCATTCCTGAGTCATTGTCTTCCAATCGTTATGTTAGTATATGCTATCTTTTGGATATGGCTTATTTGGCCCTGCCAAGTCTCATGTTGGAATTTGATCCCCAGTGTTGAAAGTGGGGTCTTGTGGGAGGTGTTTGGGTTGTGGGGGTAGATCCCTCATGAATGGCTTGGTGCCATTCTTGTGGGAGTAAGTGAGTTTTCATTCTTAATTCTTGCAAGAGCTGGTTGTTGAAAAGAGCCTAGTACCTCTTTCCATCTCTCTCTCAGCTACCCCTTCACCATGTGATCTCTGCATACCAGCTACCTTTTGCCTTCTGACATGAACGGAAGAAGCCTGCAGCCCTCACCAGAAGCAGATGCTGATGCCATGCTTCTTGTACAGCCGGCAGAACTGTGAGTCAAATAAGCCTCTTTTCTTTATAAATTACCCAGCTTTGGGTATTCCTTTGCAGCAACACAAGTGGACTAATAATAATATATTTATTAGCAGAGTCATTTTCAGAAATAGCTTAAGCTGACACCAAACAAAATCTTCAACTTCTAGGGCTTTTTAAATCATAATTTTGGTGAGAACCTGACCACTCTTTTTTTAAATGATGGCAATTGCAAGGGTCCAGAAAGATCTAGAATTGGTTGGAATTGGTAGAAAAAGAGGAGATGAAGATGGTGGAGGTGAAGGATAAGGCATGATAGCATCTAACCTTTATTGAGTGATAACTCTGCCCCAACACTATGCTAAACACTTTACGTATATACTCCTGTGAGTTATGCACTATTACAACTTCCACCTTGTAAGTGAGGAAACTGAGGCTTACTGTGCCCAGTCACACTGGTTTCCCTGCAGGTTCTCTCTAACAGTGTGCTTTGTCCTATGATCATCACTTTGCATATGCTAGTCCCTCTGTCCTGAATACCCTTCCTACCTCAGGTTGCCAGATACACAAACAAAACTCAATGAATAAACAAAAACAGGAGGTGCAGTTACATGTGAATATCAGATAAACAATGAGTAAGATTTTATTATAAACACATCTCATGCAATATAATAATGTTATGCTAAACATTATTTGTTGTCTATTTAAAATTCAAATGTAACTGGGTGCCTGGGCAGCCCCATTTCTTTTTCTTTTTATTATTTATTTATTTATTTTTAGGCAGAGTCTCGCTCTGTCACCAGGCTGCAGTACAGTGATGCAATCTCGGCTCACTGCAACCTCTGACTCCCTGGTTCAAGCAATTCTCCTGCCTCAGCCTCCCAAGTAGCTGGGATTACAGGCACACGCCACCACACCCAGCTACTTTTTGTATTTTTAATAGAGACCGGGTTTCGCCATGTTGGCCAGGATGGTCTTGATCTCCTGACCTCGTGATCCGCCCGCCTTGGCCTCCCAAAGTGTTGGGATTACAGGCGTGAGCCACCACGCCCAGCCTTGGGCAGCCCCATTTTTATCCCAACCCTCTTCCTTTTTTTTTTTTTTTTTTTTTTTTTGAGGGACTCTTGCTCTGTTGCCCAGCCTGGAGTGCAATGGTGTGATCTAGGTTCACTGCAACCTCTGCCTCCTGGGTTCAGGTAACTCTCATGTCTCAGCCTCCCAAGTAGCTGTGACTACAGGTGTGCACCACCAGGCCCAGCTAATTTTTTTGTATTTTTAGTAGAGATGGGGTTTCACCATGTTGGCCGGGCTGGTTTCAAACTCCTGACTTCAGGTGATCCGCCCACCTCGGACTCCCAAAGTGCTGGGATTACAGGCGTGGACCACCATGCCCAGTCCCAACCCTCTTACTTTACCTGGATATTTCCTGCCTACCCTTCCAATCTCAGCTTGAGTGCAACTTCCTTAGGGAAGCTTTCCCTGACTCATAGCCCAGAAGGGGCCCCTTTCATATAGCTTCTCCGGGACTATGCATCATGCCCTCACAGGCCTTACCTCCATTAGACTGTTTGATTAACACGCTCTCCCTCAAGTGGACTGCAATGACCTTGATGGCAAGGTGCGCACCTGCTTTTGCTCACCACTGCATGTCTCCCCCGCTCCTCGCACATGCCTGGCACATAGCAGGAACATGATAAAAAGAATTGTGAAATGAAATAAAGGGCGGTGGAGTAACTGGCCTAAGACAACCCACTTAGCAAGTAGGAGAATTAGGAGTCAATGCTAAGAAGCAAAGGCAAGAGATGTTTGAAAGGAAAACATCCCTCCTTAGCATGGCCTCTCAGGCCTGCTACCTGCCTCCATAGCCCCTCTTAAGGAAGGCAGCTCCGTGGGTTAGTCACGGGCCCTGGAGCAAGACTGCCCTAGATGGAACCCAGGCTCAGCCGCTGAGAATCTGGATGGTCATGGGCTAGCCACCTCACCTCCCTGGGTCTCAGCTTCTCTGTCTGTAAAATGGTGACCAAAACTTCTGGCAGGGCTTTTGGAAGGATTAACCGAGTCAAGACCTATGAAGCCATAGAACAGTGCCTGGCACCTCCTATGTGCCCAGTAAATGTGAGCAACTGTGGTGCCACCTCCACCTCGCTCACTGAGTTCCAGCTGGGCTTGCAGAGTGCTTTCAGACCCCAGGGCCTTTGCATGTGCTATTTCCTCTGCCGCTGAAGCACTTCTCATCTTTTTTTTTCCTGGTCAGCAAATTCTCATTCTTGAAGGGCCTTTCTTCGGCCGGGTGTGGTGGCTCACGCTTGTAATCCCAGCACTTTGGGAGCCCGAGGCGGGTGGATCATGAGGTCAGGAGTTTGAGATGAGCCTGGCCAACATGGTGAAACCCATCTCTAGTAAAAGTATAAAAATTAGCTGGCTGTGGTGGTGTGCACCTGTAATCCCAGCTGCTCAGGAGGCTGAGGCAGAATTGCTTGAACCCAGGAGGCGGAGGTTGCAGTGAGCCAAGATCACGCCACTGCACTCCAGCCTGGGTGAGAGAACAAGGCTCTGTCTGAAAACAATAACAACAACAGAACCTTTCTTCTTCCCACCCACTGAAGTTTCATACTCTTTCCCTCGCCATCCTGTTTCACTGGAGCCCTGTGTGCAGTATGTAATGAAACGAATATTTGGTGTGTATTTGTATAGGGTCTGTTTTCTTCTACCAAACTAAGTTCTACAAGGACCTCTCCTGATTTGCTCCCCACAACATCCACAGTGGCCAGCATAGCACGAGTCATACAGTAGGCACTCATGGTGAACTAATACACAGTGACAAAACCTGCAGGACCTGGTGGCTGTTGGCATGGAGTAGGGAGAAGAGAGGACAAGGAGGGTCCTGAGAAGTGGGGAACAGCTTTGCCTTTAATGGAAGCAGGGCATGGGGAGGTCCCTGGATGCCATTCAGCTCAGTAAATGTTTATTGAGTGTCTGCTAGTTTTTCTACTTCTTTCCCATCAGTTAATCATACAAGCTAGCTCAGAACATGGAAAACATCTCATGGGCCAAATAACGCAGATGAAAGCTCTATGACCTTGGAAGCTACTCCCATAGCAGCTGCCTTGAGATCTCTATGTGTATCTAGGCACAGATGGAAATAAGAATCATAATTGATGCCAGGAATTGCCAATTTAAAAATATAAATGATATACAATGATTTTTAAAAATCCCATAAGATACATATATTTTCCATTTTGCAGAAATGATAACTCAGTCTTAGAGGCAACAAGAGATTTGTCCAAAATCACAGAAAGTAGCAGGACTGTTGAGATTTTACCCCTTGTCCACCTGGCTCTAAAGCCTGTGCTGTTGCCCCATTTACCCTGCAGCCTCTGAAAAGCTGAACCTTGACATGATTGGTCTGTCTGCCATTCCCAGCTTAGCTCGATACAACAGGAGCCAGAGGTCTCATGGTTCAAGCACTCAGTACTGACTAAGCACACCCTCTAGGACCTTGGGGAGCAAGGGGAGCAAATTCAGCAGTCATTATTCTGATTTGCTATTCTTTCATTGATTCTTCCATCTTTTGATTTACTGATTAATGTATTCATTCATTCATTCTACAAAATGAATTGCACAGGCAGACATGTAAATAGGAAATTGTAGCAAGATGTGATTACCTGGGAGTGGCAGTGTTGGAGCAGATTGGCCCTTGTGCTACCAAGGTTCCTAGGATTGGAGGACCAGACAAGTTCTTGAATCTCTAGGACGGGGTGCAGAAATGGAAATCCACTGGAGACATCAAGCATGGCAGCTCCTGTCGGATCCCCGGGAAGGCCAAGCACGTCTCATCTCTTGTTATTCCTCATGTCCTTGCTGCCTTAATCAAAAACAATCGCAGTATGTGTGACTTAAAACGAATGGCCAAGAGGGATAATTCAAAACAGGCATGTCTAGAACTAAGCACCCCACTGGATGGGAATCAAGTGATTATGTGAACAAAGAGAAGGTATCAAGTCAGAGGCCATCTGTTCATTCACAGGCACTCCTCAAGGACTCAGTGCCAGGGCCAGGGCCTCATGGGGCCTACAGTCTAGGGGGCAGAAGAACAATGAACAATGACCATGCAGCAAGCCATGTGCTGGAAGGAGAGATAAACGCAGAGCTGTGAGCCTGGCGGTCTGTGTCTGTAACTGTCCATCTCACCTCTTTCCACACTCAGGACCTGGAGGCCAGAGCATGCCTCTTCGTCGTGTCTGTCTCCCCAGGCAAGGCTGCCAGAGTGCAAAATGAAAATGGCGGGCCCCTTTTTCAAAAAGGAGAAAAGATGTTGACATAGATGTGTTGAAGAGGGATCACTTTTACACCGCTGGTAGGAATGTAAATTAATTCAACCACCATGGAAAACAGGGTGGAGATTCCCAAAAGAACTAAAAGTAGAACTACCATTCAATCCAGAAATCCCATTACTGGGTATCTACGCAAAGGAAAAGAAGTCATTATATTGAAAAATACACTCGCACAAGCATGTTTATAGCAGCACAATTCACAATTGCAAAGATATGGAACCAACCTAAGTGCTCATTGACCAACGAGTGGATAAAGAAAATGTAGTATATATGCACCATGGAATACTACTCAGCCAAAAAATTGAACAAAATAATGTCTTTTGCAGCAATTTGGACAGAGCTCGAGGCCTTTCTAAGTGAAGTAACTCAGGAATGGAAAGCCAAATATCATATATTCTCACCAATAAGTAGGAGCTAAGCTAAGAGGACACAAAGGCGTAAGAGTGATCAGGGACCCTGACGAAGTAGGGAGTAGGGTGAGGGATAAAAACTACATATTAGGTACAGTGTAACTGCTCAGGTGACAGGTGCACTAAAATCTCAGAATCACCACTTAAAAACTTATCCACGTAGCCCAAAACCACCAGTATCCCAAAAAATATTGAAAAATAAAGTTACTGAAATATAAAGCATCTTTTCTTTTGTGGTTTTCTTCTTGCCCTGTGATTCTTTAAATTTACTATTAAACTGCAATCATGGCAGGGTGCAGTGGCTGGCTCATGCCTGTAATCCCAGCACTTTGGGAAGCTGAGGTGGGCAGATCCCCCACGGTCAGGAGTTCGAGACCAGTCTGACCAACACGATGAAATCCCATCTCTACTAAAAATTAGCCAGGCTTGGTGGTGGGCGCCTGTGATCCTAGCTACTCAGAAAGCTGAGGCAGAAGAGTCACTTGAACCCAGGAGGTAGAGGTTGCAGTGAGCTGAGATCATGCCATTGCACTCCAGCCTGGGCAATAGAGCGAGACTCCATCTCAAAAAAACAAAAACAAACAAAAAAACCCTGCAATCTAAGTTAAAATAAAACTAAAAATCCTTAGCATGAATTTTATCACTTATCTTCAAACTGTGTGATGCCAGTCTTCCATGCAAATATGAGCTCATCGATCTCTTATATAGAATCTCAGGAATTACACTTTCCTATCCTATCTTGTAGCTCCTCTGGGCACATGTATTTCATTCTTACCTGAACACTGGAAACGAGGCACAAAACAAACTCATCGGTTTTGGCTGCACCTCTGACACACACACATTCTACCGATGCTCTCTATCTGCGCCTTCCTGCTGAGTAAGGAAGGACTGGACAAAAAGGGAATTCTGTCCTGCCCTGTCTTTCTTTCAATGCCATCATCTCCAGTGTTGGTGACTGGTTAATTCAGAGACGCAACATCAGTACAAAAGGATCGGACAAAGTCCCTCTGTCATTCATGTTTCTTTGAACATCATGGTCCTCTTTCTGCATTTTGACCCAAGTTCAGGTTGCAACAAAAAGCATGGGCTCAGGGGCAGTTGGAGCCCCTGTTACCGAGATGGAGAGGCCTCATGCTTGCGGTATAGTTGCTCTGGGTCACGCTGAACTCTCATGAATCATTGATCCATCAGAATTCTGGACCAGCTGAGTGCTTCATGGAAATGGGGTGGCAGGGAATGGCGGGTACACTGGACACATGCTGTGGTATTTCCTCTGCTCGTGTGCAGGCGCTATTGTCCCATCAGACTTTACTCACAAAACACAAGTTCAAAGACAAAGCCGTTAAGAATTTCAAGACTGTGATAGCAAAACATTAAACCAAGCATGAGGCCCAAGGTCTTGGTAAACTTTTGCTGATGAATGAAAACTTTCCCCAAGGTGATCGTATTTGACTTAGGATCAATTGGTCAAATAGAAGTCTTCTAGGCAGGGAAGGGGGTAAGATAGGCCTAAGTGGAGGCAGGAGAAAGTATACCATGATGGGAAATTGTGGTCAAATTGGCATGGCTGACGGGTCTCGTGCCAGGAAGGGAGGGGCACTTACGAGGCTGAATAGGAAAGCTGGAGCCAGACTGGAGCCATTTTTGTCTTCTAAACTAAGGACACTGGAACTCTACTCACTGACAATGGGAAACAAGTGAAGATGCCTTCAGGTCTTGGGTTCAGAAAGAGGACTCCATTGCAGGGGAAGCCGGATTAGAGGAACTGGCAATGAGACTGATGCAAACTGTCAAAGCCCAGGGCCATGTGGGCTGGACCTGGGTAGTGCTTCAGGACTGGCAAGAGGGGTCCGTTTGAGGGAGAATTCAGAGAGACAACGAAGAGAGGGGGTGAGCAGCCTGCAGGAGGCAGAGAGGCAGGTGGGAGCTGAGGGCAATCCATGGCTTGCTTTCCCATTTGGTCAGCTGTGTTTTCTAACTTCTGAACTCAAGAGCTTGGAGACACTACAGGGTTGAGAGACCTCTGAAAATTCCCTTTGGATCCCACTGCCTGCAATTTCTTCCATTTACTGTTTTCTTCTGCTTAGGATGAGAGCATTTAAGCAAGGGAAGGAAAACATTGTGCAGGGCATGCTATTTTTTAGAAAGCCCATGGCACAAATAAAAAATATAATATTTCAAGGCTTCGTTTGTTTGCAAGGAAGAGACCGTGTCTACCTATAGGTTCTGGACAGCACCCCAAACCCCACTGGCCTCTGTAAACACTCTTGGATGGTAAATAATAGTAGCACCAGTGTTAAATCTATTCATTAGGGTCTTGGCATGAGCATACTATGATTTCAGAAGTCCCTCTTGAATTCTAGGAAACAGAACTTACTGCTTGGGGTTTCTATGCAGAGTTATTGCTGGAGAAAGGTGGAAGAGCGTGTTTGTGCCAACGGAAACTTGTTATTTTTATTTACTTATTAGGTCATGAGCATCATCCATACCTTACACTTGCAACATAAATTCTCTCATGCTATATAACTATATAGCATGAGAGTGAGATTTTCCTCACACTCCTAGGTTGGAGCCTGGGCCCCCCTCTTATATGAGAAAACAGGGGCTCCCGGAGGCTAGTGACTTGCCTAGCATCATACAGTTGGAAAACACTAGAACTTTCTCTCAGTACTTCATGGTCCAAGTTTCCACTAGACCAGTGTTTCATTTTTCCATGAAAGCACTCCTGTTAAAGAGTGAGGCCGTCCTAAGGGTTCTGGGAGAAAAGTTTACAGTGGGTTCCTCTAACAAGAAAAATGTGATAAAAATCTAATACTTGATCTTCATTCATGCATACCTTCCATCTTGCTGTATACTACACCAAGTGTGTTTTTAACATAGAAATAGTGCTTTGAATGACTTATCAGTAGGATAAATGCTTAAGAACACATGTCACATATATCTTGTTCTTAGCCACTAGGTAAGTCCTCGTACTACTCAATCTCACACTGAGGTGAACTGCTCCATACTGTAGCTGCCACTGAGCCCTAAAAACAGGATGAGAAGATATATATTACCCACAATAACACTACCTAACCAACAAACCCAGAATCTCAGCAGCACACAACAATCAGCATTTAGTTAGCTCAGAGGTCAGCTGGAGGGTGACTGATCTTGGCCCATGCTCAGCCAGGCTCCCCTGGGGCAGCCCAGCTCAGGCCCCACAGACCTCTCATCCTCCTCCAGAGACCAAGGCTCTAACCCAGGTGTGCTTTTCTCATGTCAATGGTACAAAAACCCAACCACCCAAACACATCCCGGCCACTGGTGATGTCACACCTGTTAGCATTCCACTGACCAAAGCAAGCTATGTGGCTGAACTCCAAGTCAATGGGTGGGGAAATAGTCTTGTTTTTTTTGTTTTTTTTTTGTTTTGTTTTTGTTTTTTTTAAGAGATAAAACTGAAATAATCATATGGCAAAGAGTGTGATACAGGGAGGGGTGAGGATTTGGGGCTATTAATGAAATCTTCCATAATCGTGAGATAACTGGCCAGGTTATTATGTGACAGTCCTACTGACTTGTGTCAGGGACCTAAATTTTAATGGCAGCTCAGCTACTTTTTAGCTATGTGAACTTCGACAAGATCTTTTCTCTCTCTGAGCCTTATTTTTCTTCTCTGTATAGTAGGAGAAATAGCTCCTTTTTAATAGAGGTCTTACCAGGATACAGTAAATGATTTGATGGAAAAGCATATTATGAGAAAGCACTGTGAAGACATTCTTACTATTACCCCACGTCATAGGTTTCTTGAGTTGCTATACTTAGCTCCAAATAACTTCTGATGCTAAAATTAATCAAATCCAGGCTATCGGCTGCTTTAGAACAGGGATATCATTATCAAAAGTAATGAAAGCAACAACCACAGCATCCATGATAAAATAACAATAGGAATACAGTTGGCCCTCTGTATCCATGGGGGATTGGGTCCAGGACCCCCGAGGACATCAAAATCCATGGATGCTCAAATATCTTCTAATCAGCTCTCAGTACCCATGGGTCCCATGTGGACACTGAGGGCTGGCTTTACCATCGTATTTACAATTGCACTTCCTAGTGGTATCTCAAACACTAAGATGTAGTACTTATTCCAATGAATATTTGCTGAGTGAATGAATGAATGAATGAATGAATGAATTGGCAACAACAGTGATACATTTGAAAAACATTTCTCTGGTTTTAAAAGTGGTTTCCAAAGGGGAACTCTAGAAAAATATCTAGGTGAGGCGCCCTGGGAAGCCAGAGTTTTACCTGCTTTGAGGAGTAATTACTCATCTCTATAGATAGATTGTAAATGTTTTCTTCAAAAATCCCTAGCAGGCTTGCAGAGCCACGCTCAGTGTTTGTCTTTTCTCTTCAGCCAAATAAAACAGTTCTTCAAGCCAAAAGTTCTTATCTTTATTCTCTGTGGCACAGTCTAGCCCCTAAACTTTGATAATTGGGGGAAAGAGAAATTGGCATATTATTGACGACCACAGATGTGTCCAGCATTTTCAAATGTCAATTCCTTGGTTCTCACAAACTCAGAGGGAAGCATTAGAATCCACAATTTACAGATGGGGCTCTGAGCTCAGCAATATTGTGGAATTTGAACCCAGGGAACAGTTCAGGTTGGTTCTGGCTTTTTCCCTGGCCCACGATGGCACTAAATACTTGCTATTTGATTGCTTTATCAGTTAACTGAAGCTACTATTAAGGCAATAGCAATTTGGCATGGAACAAAATGATATAATACCTCTCAGTACCCCAGCTCTCAGGGCAACATCCTGAACCCCACCAGGCTCAACGAATGTTGATTCTGACAATGGTGATGGCTTCTAGAACCGAATTATCTTTTTATCAAACCCAGGATTTTCAAATCGGCCAAGCACAACCAGAAATTTCTAGGATTCTTCTGGGTTTGAAAACATCACTGTTGTCCAAGCCCCTCATTTTCCAGTTGAGAAGACTAAGCTCCAAAAATAAGTGACTTCTTAGGGTCACACAGCTAGTTAGTGGCAGAGCTTGAGTTTGTTGGAAAGTTCTCTCTCTCTCTCTCTCTCTCTCTCTCACACACACACACACACACACACACACACACACACACACAGCCAGGCTGAGGCAGGGGTTGTGGGGTGGGGGTGTGATACTACCAGCTTTTTACCATGAGGGACCAGGCCACAAGCAATGCTTCTCATCACCCCCTGCCTTTCAGAGTGGGGTTGAGAAACTGGTGGAGGCTGAAGGCCTCTGCACCCTGGAGGCCAGGGGAGTCTGTGGACAATGAACACATTTGAACGGCAGCCTCTCAGCC
Organism: Homo sapiens; assembly: GCF_000001405.40. NCBI lineage: Eukaryota > Metazoa > Chordata > Mammalia > Primates > Hominidae > Homo > Homo sapiens. The sequence goes on from NC_000004.12 coordinate 4,944,003, forward strand.
CGTACATTTGTGCAGTGCTCCCTGGGACTGATTTCCCCCGCCGGCCCTTTATTAAAAGCATGACTGAGCTTCAGAAGCAGCCTGGCTGGCAGAGGAGACTTGTGAAAGAGCAGTGGCACGGTGGATTGTGAGCTGTCAAAACAGGAAACAGATTCGCAATGGTGGTTTCAGGCTGGTTGACTCCGTGTGCGAGGGAACCAGCCCGTGACGTGAAGGTCTGTTTTGGCAGGCTGTGGGCAGCTGAGGCATTTCTATCACATGGGTTGGGGACTTCAAATGGTCCAGCAGCTGCCCCTTTTTGCCTCTCGGAGTGAATGGCTGGGTAGAACTGATTCTGCACAAAGACCAGCTCTGCTTCCTGAGAGAAAGAGCTCTGCCCTGTGCCCTGTGCAGAGTTTCAACACTCACCTGCTGTGTGATCTTGACACATTACTTAGTCTCTCTGTGCCTCAGCCTCCTCCTCTTTCAGATGGGGGCAAGAGTAGTGGAGAGTAAATGAAATGCGTAATTAAATGGTTCATCCTCTAATATTATGGATATTAAGTAATTTCAGAGCAATGCAAACAGAGGCACTCAGCACAGGTTGGTTAATGCTCTTGACTATCCCTGACCCTGTACCTTCTGATGCAGGCCAATGAGAGGGAGTTTTGGCTACTTCAACTCTGCCTGGGGTCATCAACCCAAAGTTTTTGGACCTGAGCATTTATCCCTAAAATTAACATCAACTGCTCATTGAGCAGCTCCAGTTTACCTGGCATTGTTTTTGTCCCTTGTACATAGCATCTCATTTAATTGAAACAACAAATCTGTGCACTAATCATACAATAAAACTAGCCAGTGAGCATTATTTGAACATTTGAGGTGGACTTTTAAGCACTTTGCATGTATTAACTCTATTAATTAGGTTTTAGGTCTTATTTCCCCCATTTTGCTCATAGAGAAACTTGCAGCTTAGATAGCTGAACTGAACAGACCAGGTCTGGGCACTGCAGATCATGGGGAGACTTAATTTCCTCTGGATAAAACCTCTCTCTCTCTCTCTGTCTCTCTCTCTTTCTCATACACCCCCCCACACACATACACACACCGTCACACATGTGTGCAACTGTGCATGGAAATAGCATTATTGGAATGGTAGGGAAGGGGTTCCATGGGCTATCCAGGTGGCCTGCCTTGGCCTGTAAGCTCACCTCCCTGGAGCCCAGTGTAGGGTGGAAGTGGCTGGGGGCCGGGAGGATGAGCTAAAGAGGCCCATGAGCAGCAGAGGCAGGGGCTGTGCCATAGCAGGGCAGGCAGGAGGCTGGAGGACAGTTGAAAGAGATGGTGTATTAGTCCATCTTCACACTGCTGAAAAAGACATACCCGAGACTGGGTAATTTATAAAGAAAAAGAGGTTTAATGGACTCACAGTTCCATGTGGCTGGAGAGGCCTCACAGTCATGGCCGAAGGCAAAAGGCATGTCTTACATGGTGGCAGGCAAGAGAAAATTGAGAGAACCAAGTGAAAAGGGCAACCGCTCATAAAATCATCAGATCTTGGGACTTATTCACTACCACAAGAACGGTGTGGGGGGAACCACCCCCATGATTCAATTATCTTTCACTGGGTCCCCCCCACAACACATGGGAATTATGAGAGCTACAATTCAAGATGAGATTTGGGTGGGGACACAGCCAAACCGTATCAGATGGGATGGGGGCTGGATGTCATGCTGGGTCCTGGCTTGCCAGTTTTTCTGGCATCAGGAGGATCTACAGGGGAGTCTAGATTTTCTGGCAAGCCAAAAAATATCCATGTTTCATTGGCTGCCTCTGCTCTGAATGCACTCATCCCTCCCACAGCCCCAAGCTCTCCCTAGTGAGTGAACTTTTATTCATTATTTCAGATCAGTTTGGGGGTTCCTCCTTGACTGCCCAAGAGAGTGGTTCCCTGGGCTCCCATGGCATTTGGAACTTTCTTCCACCAGAGCATCTGCTTGTAGCCTGAGTTCTGCTCTTGACTGAAGGAACCCTCAGGGCCATCTGGGTTCTGCCCAGCTTAGCACAGGGGCGTGGGACATAATGGGAGATGAATAAAAGTTGGTTGACTGATGAAAAATAGGAAGCCTCAGGGAGGAGGATCCAAAAGGAGTTTTTAATTAAAAAGGGGGAAAGAGGAATGAATACAACAATCTCATTGTACAGATCAGAAGGCTGGGACTTGGCCAGTGTTATGGGGCTGAACTGTGTCCTCCCAAATCCATATGTTGAAGTCCTAACCTCCAGTAGCTCAGAATGTGACAGTATTTGGAAATAGAGGCTTTAAATATGTAATTAAGTAAAACGGAGGGTTAGAGTGGCCCCTTATCCAATATGGCTGGTGTCCTCACAAAAAGGGGAAATTGGACACAGAGGCACAGACAGACAGAAAACCGTGTGAAGACACAGGGAGAAGACGGCCATCTAGAAGCCAAGGAGAGGGGCCTGGAACTTATCCTCCCCTCACAGCCCTCGGGAAGAACCAACACTGCCCACACCCTGATCTTGGACTTCTGGCCTCCAGAACTGTGAGAGAATACACTTCTGATGTTGAAGGCTTCAAGGCTGTGGTACTTTGTTCCACAGCCCTAGCTGATTCACACAGTGAGTTGAAGTGACTTGTTTATTGCCACAGGCCTCGTGGTGGCAGAGCAAAGATTTAAACCCAAGTCAGCTTACTCCAAGGCCCGTTTGTTGATCTCCCCACTCTGTGCATCTTTCTTAGGCGTTCTCCCATCTTCCTTTTGGGAGAAGAACCGTTCTTGTATTTACCCAGCCCCTACTACTGGCACTCAAGTAAAACTCCATTTGGTCAGGAGGAGAATGGAGATTCTGAAGCAGGATGGTGAATGGAAGAGTTACATTCAATGGGCCAGGCGTGGTGGCTCACGCCTGTAATCCCAGCACTTTGGGAGGCCAAGGCGGGTGGATCACCTGAGGTCAGGAGTTTGAGACCAGCCTGGCCAACATGGTGAAACCCCATCTCTACTAAAAATACAAAAATTAGCCAGGCACGGTAGCATGTGCCTGTAATCCCAGCTACTCTGGAGGCTGAGGCAGGAGAATCGCTTTAACCTGGGAAGCAGAGGTCTCAGTGAGTTGAGATCACGCCATTTGCACTCCAGCCTGGGTGACAAGACAAGAGTGAAATGCCATCTCAAAACCAGACAAAAAAATTCAATAAACAAAACAAGTGCTTACTATTTCATCTTGATGAAATTTTTATTGTAAAGACCATCAACCTTTACATTGACCCTTTCTGTGCATCTTATCTCAGGAATGAAAGCTTTACAACTGTTTGGAAACAAATGTGTCTGCGTTAAGTCCCTTCACATATAAACTAATGAACACACAATGAGGTGGACATCAGTGGTGCCTCCAGGCCTGGGGCCCAGCATCTGGACCAGGATGGTTCAGAATGTGGACTAAGACATGGAGTGCCTGGGTTCAAACCCTGCCTTTGCTGTTGTAACTTGAGGCAAGGCATTCAATCTCTCTAGGTATTAATTCCCTCCTCTTAAACATGGGGGCAAAGTTAGTACCTACCTCAGACATTTCCTTTGTGTTTCCTGGGAGGATTGGCTGAGGTGGATAGTGCAAGCCCGGTGCTTACAATAGTGCCTGTTCTGCACTAAGTACTCTAGTAGGTGGGTTATTGCTATTGTTCTTGTCATCATTGAGATCAGAGGTTCTTGAATGTCTCCACAGGTCAAAGGCGCTACAAGAAATATTAAAATAATTTAAAAATCAATTATGAGTCAATCACACAAACACACTTAAAAGGTTTGATTTTGAATTTTGCTTCCAAACATTGTTGATATAGGAATGCAGACATTTTGTGAGGCTGGCCGCTCTTCCTATTATTACTACAAACCCCTCCCTGGGCCTGGAGTTTTACTTGGCACCTTGCACATGTTGAAACTTCCTTCTCAACTGCATAATTCTGTGTTACGTAGTACTGAAGTCCATTTCCCAGGGCAGAAAAGACCAGGAGGCTTGCCTGATGCAGGACTTTGGGAAGAGGCAGATCCCAGATTCTAACCGAGTTCTATTTTACTCCAGAGCACTTTGGGGAGGATTATTTCTATACGGTCAGTTTCTAGGAGTAAAAGATTTCTAATTCTCAGAGCCCATTTTCCAACCTCTATGTTCCCTCTCGGAATGCTAAGAACATTATAATTCCTCAAAAACCCAATGTCTGGATTGAATTAATGAGCAAAACAAAGCAACAAAGCAACGAGTTTAATTCATAGGCCCTGCCATGGGTTGGAATGTCGAGTTAGGCATCTTCATGCTTTTAATAACTCAGCCAAGTTGCGTTAGGTTCTGCACTCAGACTGAATGCCCTGGTCCTGCTCCTCTGTCTCTAGTTGGGTGCACCAGGGGAATTTGGATTCCACCTTGGAAGGCTGTTCTTAGCACTTGGTTTGCAGAAAGGAATCATGATTTTGCCTGTATCCAATAGTCATTGTGGAAGGGGGTGATGGGGTTCAGATGTTTCTGTTTTTTCGCAAGAGTTTTCCTCTGTCTCTGGTTGTCATTAGTTCCTGGTACTAAACATTCCATTTTCTAGGAACAGCTTGGGGATCTGACCATCTCCAGGAGCTGAGAGACAGAAAGAAATTGCAGATCCCTCGAGGATGCCTGCAGGGGGAGGGAGAAGAGAGATGTATGAATTCCCCAGCCTCAGAGCTCCCAGGAATTGCAATGTCTTTTTCGTGGGAGCAGTGTGAATAGTTAAATAAATACTGGCTGTAAAACCATTACGGAATCCAGGCAGTACTTGTCAATAATGGCAATTGCTAGGAATTGGAGGTGATGGCATGGACTCAGAGAGATAATAGAGGAAGATGTAAAGAGCCATCGGTCTAAATGTAAGGAACTGGATAATAATGATAAAACCAACAATAACTAGCAAGGCCAACTTGTCTCAGTGTTCCTGGAATTTCCCTGGCTATAAAACCAAAAGTCTTGTGTCCCAGAAAGCCCCTAGGCACTGGGCAAACCAGCACAGTTGGTGACCCTAATAATAATGAGTGTCTTAGATAATATGAGTTCATTCAAATAGAGACAGATTTGCAACACCTTTTAAACAATGACTAAAATGCATCATCCTAAAATGTCTCAGGAAGAGGCATTTTGCAGTCCTTGGTTGATAGTTCCACTGCGAGCCCTGGAAAACCTCAGTCGCTCTCAGGCTCAGCACCTCAGAGCCAGCCTTCTCAGGACATTTAGCTCTGACCTATCCCCTGAGACCTCAGGACTCACCAGAAGCCCTGAAATCTTCATCACAGCCCCTTGCAATCTGCAAAGTGATGCCATCACCCGTAATTCTACATCAGTCTCCCAGCAGCCCAGAAAGCAGAAATAGTGGGCATGGCTGGTCCCGTTTTTCAGATTAGCAAACTGATATTCAGAGAGGTTTAGCCACTTGTCCAAGGTCACATAGCCAGTTGGTGACCAAGCCAGGGTTTAAGGCCTAGTCTGGCTGACGCCAAAGTCTGGGGGCTTTTCACTGTGATATCTACAATTTCCCTGAGTTATTTCCTTCATGTGAAAAACCAAGATCTCATGCATCCAACGGACCAAGGCCAAGATTACCTCCAGTCACAGGAGTCTAGGGAGCACCTGGATGAGCCAAACCCCCACACTCCTGCGCCAGGCCATGGGGACAATGACAAGTTTTCAGGAACCTCAGATCCTCCTGGGGCAGTCACACATGCTTAATGACACCGGTCAGCTGTGCATGGATGTAGCATTGGCTGCAGTGGAGGGAGAGTGGCTTTGGAGTGAGATCAAGTGTGGTTTAAACCCAGCTCCATCCCTTACTGACTGGGAGCCTTGGTTTCCCCATCTGTAAAATGGCATTATGGTAACCTTGCAAGGTGATGGTGAGAATTAAGTGGGAGGACATTTGTCCACACAGGAGACAGGAGAGCTACCATTCACTGAGCACTACCCTTGTGCCAAACATGGTTCTAAGCACTTTGATGGATGAAATAATTTAACTGCAGAGATGGGTTAGGCTGGTATGTGAGTTAGATGCAGGTCAGCAGAAATGGGACTGGAGCTGGGACAGGCAGGAGCAGCAGCTGCATAGGGTTGCTAGATACAAGTTTTTAGTCTAAGTGTGCTCCATGCAATATTTGGGACATACATAGACCAAATAATTATATGAAATTCCAATTTAACTGGGCACCCTCTATTTTTATTTGCTAAGTCTGGCAGCTTTATGTCTGGACAACCGTCTCCAATAAAACCAAAGCGTCTGTGGCTCACCTGCAGTGTTCCTTGGGCACTAGATAGTTGGAGGGGCATGCAGAGGGTCAGAAAGCCTTTTAAGCCTTAAACATACCAAGTCAGGGCATCCCTGCGAATAATTAATTTTGCTTAGATCCCAGTTTCTCCAGCTTTCTATGCAGGCCAAGTGGATTTTTGCCAAACTCTTAAGTTTGTCTAACTTTCTTTTTTGGTGAAATCAATCATTCATCTGAATCCCCATTTCTTTTGTTTCCTGATGCCAGTCAAAATGATTTGTGTAGCTCCCCATTTTTCCTGCTAGTTCTTGCTTATACCCCAGAATTATTTTGAGTACGAATAAGGAAGGAAATATTCTCTCTCATTATCTTGTAAGAAATGTTTTAGGGTAGTGATTCTCAAAGTGTGGGCCTAGGACCGCTGGCATCAACATCGCCCGGGAACTTGTTAGAAATGCAAATTCACTGGAAACTCTGGAGTAGAGCCCAGCAATCTGTGTTTCCACAAGCCCTCCAGGGCCTGCTGAGGCTCATTCAAGTTTGAGAACCTCTGGTTTAAGGGGAACACCTTGCACTACGGAGCAGGAGAGTTTGGATACCAGTTCCTTTCCTCCCAAGCTGATTCAGCTTATGAAAATCACTCACTCTCCTACTCTGTTTCCTTCTGTTGAGTGCAATGGTGGAACCAGGGCTCCTATTTCCTTGCAGATGAAGGAGACATGCAGGGGTTCCCTCAGCACTGTGTCTGGGAGGAGGAGCAGTCAGCTAGGTGGAGGCCCATGGTGCTTCTTGTCCAGACCTAGACACTGCCTGTTCCCTGACACCCAGCCTGCAGGTCCCCAGCCAAGAACAAAATGACGCGTGTTGCCAGTTGGCCTTGCAATGGGAGGTGGCCCAGCGCCAGCCCTTACTAATTGCTAATTTGCACTGAAACAGCAAACAAAGCCCTTCATGTGAATGCCCTGATTATTTGGCCATTTCTCCCCCAGGGGACCATCCCCCGAATCTGGAGCCATTCACCCCAGGATTCCAGGAGGCCACTTGGGCCAGGGGTTCTTCCCAGTCCCAAGAAAAGCCAGTTTCTCTCTGCAGCTAATTGGGATTGGGGAGGAGCTTGCTATTTTTCTGTTCTGTTTCTTTCCAATGTTTATGCTTCACCACAAATAAGAAAATATAATGATTTTTCCCCTGTGGGCAGAGCTTTGGAGACAAAGCAGAGAGGTAGGAAGAGCAAGATCCTCAGCTCATTCACATTCACGTTGTAACCTTGTGAATTTCCAAGCTTTTCAGCCTTGCAGAGATTCACTTCCATACCTGTTTCAGGAGTATCCATTCGTGCCACCCTGGCACCGAGACCTAGGTAGGAATGCCTCCAACTGCAATTCATGGTCCAAGGACCCCCAAATCTCCCCAAGGAGTCTGTTAACCCTGGTTTTACTTTCTCATGGCTCAACTCCCACGTCCTCATTCTCTTTCATTCACCCCCATCACCCTGATGCACACAGAGCAATTCCTTCACCAAGTCAGCAAGAAAAGAGGAATCCGCAGGTTCCAAGCATTCTGCAATCTTGTAGCATAGACAGAAAACTGGCAGGGGTTGGAGAGGGTGGAAGAGTTGAGTTGGGTGGCATTTCCCACCCTCTGGCTACCCAGCCCCTGCACCCAACCCTGCCACATGCAGCTCCCCCAGGTCTCTGAAATGTTCAGAGCTGATCAGGCCATTTTTCCAGCAAGGCTGACTGTGTTTCTCAGAGGAACTTGGTTCCAAGAGCATGAACTTTTCTTCATCTTGTTACATGTCATCAGTGAGAGTGGACTAAGTCCCTTTCTTTTGAAAGCTTACATTTTAGTGGGAGGAGAAGAAAAAAAATGACACAAGTGAGTAATTATAGAATGTGTCAGGTGGCGATAAGAGCCAGTGAGTTTGGATTTGGACAGCCTCTCTTGTACTTTCTACTTTGCATGCCACTAGCATGAAAGCTCCAGGAGACAAGATTTTTTAAGAGTAGCTTTATTAAGCATAATGGAATATAATAAACTATACATAAAGCATACAATTTGCTAAGTCATGACAAATGTAGACACTTGTGAAGCCATCATCACCATGGAGATAGTAAACAGATCCGTTGCCCCAAGTTTCCTGTGCCTCCTTGTAAATCCCTCCTTTTGCTCCTCCCATCTCCTCCTCATTCCCTCTCATCCTCAGACAACCACTGATCTCTCCCTCACTGCAGATTGCTTTGCATATTCTAGAATTTTATATAAGTGGATTCATCTGGTGCATATTCATTTATGTCTGGCTTCTTTTTTTTAGCATTATTATTTTGATGTTCATCTCGGTTGATGCATTCATCATTAATCCATCTGTTTTTATTGCTAAGTATGTTCCATTTATGGGTATACCACTGTTTGTTTCTCCATTTACCTATTGATCGACATTTGGATTGTATTATTATTATTATTATTTTGAAACAGGGTCTCGCTCTGTCACTCAGGCTGGGGTGCAGTAGCACAATCACAGCTCACTGCAACCTCTGCCTCCTGGGCTGAAGCCATCCTCGATCTCAGCCTCCTGAGTAGCTTGGACTACAGGCAAGCGCCACCACCGGCTAATTTTTGTAGATACAGGGTTTTACTATGTTGAGGAAGCTGGTTTCAAGCTCCTGGGCTCAAGCAATCCTCCCACCTCAGCCTCACAAAGTGCTGGGATTATAGGCATGAGCCACCACGACCAGCCTATTTTTTAAATTATTAAAAACAAAGCTGCTGTGAACATTTGTGCATAAATCTTTGCACAGATGCATATTTAATTTATTATGGTTAAATACCTAGGAGTGGAATGCCTGAATCATAGGGCAGATGTATGTCTAACTTTTTAAAAAATAGCTGTTTTCCAACATAATTGTGCCATTTTACATCTTCATCAGTACTGTATGAGGGCTCCAGTTGCTGCATATTCTTGTCAAAACTTGGTATTAATCAATTTTTAAAATTACAGACACTGTGATAGGCATGTAATAGTATTTCATTGTGATATAATTTGCATTTCATAATAACTAATCATGATGAGCATCTTTTCTTGTGTTTATACCATCCAAATACCATCTTGGGTAAACTGCCTGTTCAAATATTTTGCACATTTAAATAATTGGGTTGCTTTTCATAATATTGTAAACAGACTTTTATTTCAATTTCTGATTGTTAATTGCTGGTATTTAGAGATACAATTGAGTTTTCTATATTGATCTTACATCTTGCAAACTCAAAATAAACTCACTTTACTCCAGTAGCTTTTTTTTTTTTTTTTTTTTTTTTTTTTTTTTTTTTTTGGTATATTGCATCAGGTTTGCTACATAAAGGATCATGACATTTGTGAATCAAAATAATTTTACTTCTTTTTTCCCCATTTGGGTATCTATCTTTTTTCTTGCCTTATTACAGTGGCTACAACCTCCAGTACAATGTTGAGGAGAAGAGATGAAACCAGAAATCCTTTTCTTGTTCTTGATCTTAGAAGGAAAACAGTGGATCATTCACCATTAATTATAATATTAGGTATAATTTTGTTATATATGCTCATTATCAGATTGAAGAAGTTCTCATATGCTGACTTGCTGAGATTTTTTTTTATTATTATACTTTAAGTTTTAGGGTACATGTGCACATTGTGCAGGTTAGTTACATATGTACACATGTGCCATGCTGGTGCGCTGCACCCACTAACTCGTCATCTAGCATTAGGTATATCTCCCAATGCTATCCCTCCCCCCACCCCACAACAGTCCCCAGAGTGTGATATTCCCCTTCCTGTGTCCATGTGATCTCACTGTTCAATTCCTACCTATGAGTGAGAATATGCAGTGTTTGGTTTTTTGTTCTTGTGATAGTTTACTGAGAATGATGTTTTCCAATTTCATCCATGTCCCTACAAAGGACATGAACTCATCATTCTTTATGGCTGCATAGTATTCCATGGTGTATATGTGCCACATTTTCTTAATCCAGTCTATCATTGTTGGACATTTGGGTTGGTTCCAAGTCTTTGCTATTGTGAATAATGCCGCAATAAACATACGTGTGCATGTGTCTTTATAGCAGCATGATTTATAGTCCTTTTGGTATATACCCAGTAATGGGATGGCTGGGTCAAATGGTATTTCCAGTTCTAGATCCCTGAGGAATCGCCACACTGACCTCCACAATGGTTGAACTAGTTTACAGTCCCACCAACAGTGTAAAAGTGTGCCTATTTCTCCACATCCTCTCCAGCACCTGTTGTTTCCTGACTTTTTAATGATTGCCATTCTAACTGGTGTGAGATGGCATCTCATTGTGGTTTTGATCTGCATTTCTCTGATGGCCAGTGATGATGAGCATTTTTTCATGTGTTTTTTGGCTGCATAAATGTCTTCTTTTGAGAAGTGTCTGTTCATGTCCTTCGCCCACTTTTTGATGGGGTTGTTTGTTTTTTTCTTGTAAATGTGTTTGAGTTCATTGTAGATTCTGGATATTAGCCCTTTGTCAGATGAGTAGATTGCAAAAATTTTCTCCCATTTTGTAGGTTGCCTGTTCACTCTGATGGTAGTTTCTTTTGCTGTGCAGAAGCTCTTTAGTTTAATTAGATCCCATTTGTCAATTTTGGCTTTTGTTGCCATTGCTTTTGGTGTTTTAGACATGAAGTCCTTGCCCATGCCTATGTCCTGAATGGTAATGCCTAGGTTTTCTTCTAGGGTTTTTATGGTTTTAGGTCTAACGTTTAAGTCTTTAATCCATCTTGAATTGATTTTTGTATAAGGTGTAAGGAAGGGATCCAGTTTCAGCATTCTACATATGGCTAGCCAGTTTTCCCAGCACCATTTATTAAATAGGGAATCCTTTCCCCATTGCTTGTTTTTCTCAGGTTTGTCAAAGATCAGATAGTTGTAGATATGCGGAGTTATTTCTGAGGGCTCTGTTCTGTTCCATTGATCTATATCTCTGTTTTGGTACAAGTACCATGCTGTTTTGGTTACTGTAGCCTTGTAGTATGGTTTGAAGTCAGGTAGTGTGATGCCTCCAGCTTTGTTCTTTTGGCTCAGGATTGACTTGGTGATGCGGGCTCTTTTTTGGTTCCATATGAACTTTAAAGTAGTTTTTTCCAATTCTGTGAAGAAAGTCATTGGTAGCTTGATGGGGATGGCATTGAATCTGTAAATTACCTTGGGCAGTATGGCCATTTTCACGATATTGATTCTTCCTACCCATGAGCATGGAATGTTCTTCCATTTGTTTGTATCCTCTTTTATTTCCTTGAGCAGTGGTTTGTCGTTCTCCTTGAAGAGGTCCTTCACATCCCTTGTAAGTTGGATTCCTAGGTATTTTATTCTCTTTGAAGCAATTGTGAATGGGAGTTCACTCATGATTTCGCTCTCTGTTTGTCTGTTGTTGGTGTATAAGAATGCTTGTGATTTTTGTACATTGATTTTGTATCCTGAGACTTTGCTGAAGTTGCTTATCAGCTTAAGGAGGTTTTGGGCTGAGACAATGGGGTTTTCTAGATATACAATCATGTCGTCTGCAAAGAGGGACAATTTGACTTCCTCTTTTCCTAATTGAATACACTTTATTTCCTTCTCTTGCCTAATTGCCCTGGCCAGAACTTCCAACACTATGTTGAATAGGAGTGGTGAGAGAGGGCATCCCTGTCTTGTGCCAGTTTTCAAAGGGAATGTTTCCAGTTTTTGCCCATTCAGTATGATATTGGCTGTGGGTTTGTCATAGATAGCTCTTATTTTGAAATACATCCCATCAATACCTAATTTATTGAGAGTTTTTAGCATGAAAGGTTGTTGAATTTTGTCAAAGGCTTTTTCTGCATCTATTGAGATAATCATGTGGTTTTTGTCTTTGGCCCTGTTTATATGCTGGATTACATTTATTGATTTGCGTATATTGAACCAGCCTTGCATCCCAGGGATGAAGCCCACTTGATCATGGTGGATAAGCTTTTTGATGTGCTGCTGGGTTCGTTTTGCCAGTACTTTATTGAGGATTTTTGCATCAATGTTCATCAAGGATATTGGTCTAAAATTCTCTTTTTTGGTTGTGTCTCTGCCCGGCTTTGGTATCAGAATGATGCTGGCCTCATAAAATGAGTTAGGGAGGATTCCCTCTTTTTCTATTGATTGGAATAGTTTCAGAAGGAATGGTACCAGTTCCTCCTTGTACCTCTGGTAGAATTCGGCTGTGAATCCATCTGGTCCTGGACTCTTTTTGGTTGGTAAGCTATTGATTATTGCCACAATTTCAGATCCTGTTATTGGTCTATTCAGAGATTCAACTTCTTCCTGATTTAGTCTTGGGAGAGTGTATGTGTCGAGGAATTTATCCATTTCTTCTAGATTTTCTACTTTATTTGCGTAGAGGTGTTTGTAGTATTCTCTGATGGTAGTTTGTATTTCTGTGGGATTGGTGGTGATATCCCCTTTATCATTTTTTATTGCGTCTATTAGAGTCTTCTCTCTTTTTTTCTTTATTAGTCTTGCTAGCGGTCTATCAATTTTGTTGATCCTTTCAAAAAAACAGCTCCTGGATTCATTAATTTTTTGAAGGGTTTTTTGTGTCTCTATTTCCTTGAGTTCTGCTCTGATCTTAGTTATTTCTTGCCTTCTGCTAGCTTTTGAATGTGTTTGCTCTTGCTTTTCTAGTTCTTTTAATTGTGATGTTAGGGTGTCAATTTTGGATCTTTCCTGCTTTCTCTTGTGGGCATTTAGTGCTATAAATTTCCCTCTACACACTGCTTTGAATGTGTCCCAGAGATTCTGGTATGTTGTGTCTTTGTTCTCATTGGTTTCAAAGAACATCTTTATTTCTGCCCTCATTTTGTTATGTACCCAGTAGTCATTCAGGAGCAGGTTGTTCAGTTTCCATGTAGTTGAGCAGTTTTGAGTGAGATTCTTAATCCTGAGTTCTAGTTTGATTGCACTGTGGTCTGAGAGATAGTTTGTTATAATTTCTGTTCTTTTACATTTGCTGAGGAGAGCTTTACTTCCAAGTATGTGGTCAATTTTGGAATAGGTGTGGTGTGGTGCTGAAAAAAATGTATATTCTGTTGATTTGGGGTGGAGAGTTCTGTAGATGTCTATTAGGTCCGCTTGGTGCAGAGCTGAGTTCAATTCCTGGGTATCCTTGTTGACTTTCTGTCTCGTTGATCTGTCTAATGTTGACAGTGGAGTGTTAAAGTCTCCCATTATTAATGTGTGGGAGTCTAAGTCTCTTTGTAGGTCACTCAGGACTTGCTTTATGAATCTGGGTGCTTCTGTATTGGGTGCATATATATTTAGGATAGTTAGCTCTTCTTGTTGAATTGATCCCTTTACCATTATGTAATGGCCTTCTTTGTCTCTTTTGATCTTTGTTGGTTTAAAGTCCGTTTTATCAGAGACTAGGATTGCAACCCCTGCCTTTTTTTGTTTTCCATTTGCTTGGTAGATCTTCCTCCATCCTTTTATTTTGAGCCTATGTGTGTCTCTGCACGTGAGATGGGTTTCCTGAATACAGCACACTGATGGGTCTTGACTCTTTATCCAATTTGCCAGTCTGTGTCTTTTAATTGGAGCATTTAGTCCATTTACATTTAAAGTTAATATTGTTATGTGTGAATTTGATCCTGTCATTATGATGTTAGGTGGTTATTTTGCTCATTAGTTGATGCAGTTTCTTCCTAGTCTCGATGGTCTTTACATTTTGGCATGATTTTGCAGCGGCTGGTACCGGTTTTTCCTTTCCATGTTTAGCGCTTCCTTCAGGAGCTCTTTTAGGGCAGGCCTGGTGGTGACAAAATCTCTCAGCATTTGCTTGTCTGTAAAGTATTTTATTTGTCCTTCGCTTTTGAAGCTTAGTTTGGCTGGATATGAAATTCTGGGTTGAAAACTCTTTTCTTTAAGAATGTTGAATATTGGCCCCTGTTCTCTTCTGGCTTGTAGGGTTTCTGCCGAGAGATCTGCTGTTAGTCTGATGGGCTTCCCTTTGAGGGTAACCCGACCTTTCTCTCTGGCTGCCCTTAACATTTTTTCCTTCATTTCAACTTTGGTGAATCTGACAATTATGTGTCTTGGAGTTGCTCTTCTCGAGGAGTATCTTTGTGGCGTTCTCTGTATTTCCTGAATCTGAACGTTGGCCTGCTAGATTGGGGAAGTTCTCCTGGATAATATCCTGCAGAGTGTTTTCCAACTTGGTTCCATTCTCCCCATCACTTTCAGGTACACCAATCAGACGTTGATTTGGTCTTTTCACATAGTCCCATATTTCTTGGAGGCTTTGCTCATTTCTTTTTATTCTTTTTTCTCTAAACTTCCCTTCTCGCTTCATTTCATTCATTTCATCTTCCATCACTGATACCCTTTCTTCCAGTTGATCGCATCGGCTCCTGAGGCTTCTGCATTCTTCACGTAGTTCTCGAGCCTTGGTTTTCAGCTCCATCAGCTCCTTTAAGCACTTCTCTGTATTGGTTATTCTAGTTATACATTCTTCTAAATTTTTTTCAAAGTTTTCAACTTCTTTGCCTTTGGTTTGAATGTCCTCCCGTAGCTCAGAGTAATTTGATCGTCTGAAGCCTTCTTCTCTCAGCTCGTCAAAGTCATTCTCCATCCGGCTTTGTTCCGTTGCTGGTGAGGAACTGCATTCCTTTGGAGGAGGAGAGGCGCTCTCCTTTTTAGAGTTTCCAGTTTTTCTGTTCTGTTTTTTCCCCATCTTTGTGGTTTTATGTACTTTTGGTCTTTGATGATGATGATGTACGGATGGGTTTTTGGTGTGGATGTCCTTTCTGTTTGTTAGTTTTCCTTCTAACAGACAGGACCCTCAGCTGCAGGTCTGTTGGAATACCCTGCCATGTGAGGTGTCAGTGTTCCCCTGCTGGGGGGTGCCTCCCAGTTAGGCTGCTCAGGGGTCAGGGGTCAGGAGTCAGGGACCCACTTGAGGAGGCAGTCTGCCCGTTCTCAGATCTCCAGCTGCATACTGGGAGAACCACTGCTCTCTTCAAAGCTGTCAGACAGGGACATTTAAGTCTGCAGAGGTTACTGCTGTCTTTTTGTTTGTCTGTGCCCTGCCCCCAGAGGTGGAGCCTACAGAGGCAGGCAGGCCTCCTTGAGCTGTGGTGGGCTCCGCCCAGTTCGAGCTTCCCAGCTGCTTTGTTTACCTAATCAAGCCTGGGCAATGGCGGGCGCCCCTCCCCCAGCCTCGCTGCCGCCTTGCAGTTTGATCTCAGACTGCTGTGCTAGCAATCAGCGAGACTCCGTGGGCATAGGACCCTCCAAGTCAGGTGCGGGATATAATCTCGTGGTGCTCCATTTTTTAAGCCCGTCGGAAAAGCGCAGTATTTGGGTGGGAGTGACCTGATTTTCCAGGTGCCGTCCATCACCCCTTTCTTTGACTCAGAAAGGGAACTCCCTGACCCCTTGCGCTTCCCAAGTGAGGCAATGCCTCGCCCTGCTTCGGCTTGCGCACGGTGCACGCACCCACTGACTTGCGCCCACTGTCTGGCACTCCCTAGAGAGATGAAGCCGGTACCTCAGATGGAAATGCAGAAATCACCCGTCTTCTGCGTCGCTCACGCTGGTTGCTGTAGACCGGAGCTGTTCCTATTCGGCCATCTTGGCTCCTCCCGTGAGATTTTTAAAAACCAGAAATGAAGGTTGGATTATGTAAAATGTGTTTTCTGCATTAGTAATGATGATATGTGTTTTTTCTGATTTGTTCTGTTAATAATGTGAATTATATTGAGCAATTTTTAATGTTGTATTAGGCCATTTCTGCATTGCTATAGAATACCTGAGGCTGGGTAATTTATAAAGAAAGAGGTGTAATTGGCTCACGTTCTGCAACGTGTAATCTTTTTTTCTAATTTCTTAAGTTAGAAGTTGAAATCATTGATTTGAGGCCTTCCTTCTTTTTAAATACAGACATTTTACATTATACATATCCTTCTGAGATTGCTTTAGGTGAATCCTAGAACTTTGAATATGTTGTGTTTTCATTTTTATTCAATTAAAAATATTTCAAGTGTCTCTTTTGATTTCCTCTTTTACCCATGGGTTCTTTATCAGTGCATTATTTAGTTTCCAAATATTTGGGGATTTTAAAAGACACTTTTCAGTTATTGATTTCTAATTTCTATTTTAACTCTGTCATAGTCAGAGGGAATACTTTGTGTGTTTAATTTAAATTGAGTTTAAATTTATTTATTTATTTATTTAGAGACACATTCTCACTCTGTTGCCCAGGTTGGAGTGCAGGCACGATCACAGCTCACTGCAGCCTTGACTTTTTAGGCTCAGTTGATTCTCCCGTCTCAGTCTCCTTAGTAGCTGGGATTATAGGCCTGTGCCACCATGCCTGGCTAACTTTTGCATTTTTTTGTAGAGACAGGGTTTCACCATGTTGCCTAAGCTAGCCCCGAACTCCTGGACTCAACCAATCCACCTGCTTCAGTTGGTCAAAGTTCTGGGATTACAGACATGAGTCACCATGCCCAGCCAAGTTAAAATTTATTGAGACTTGTTTTACAGCCAAGAATATGGACTACTTTGGTTAATATTTTATATGCACTTGAAGATAATGTGTTCTGTTGTTGTTAAGTAGGGTGTTCTCTAAATGTCAATTAGGCTAAGTTGGTTGATAGTATGGTTCAAGTAATAGCTATATTACTAATTTTCTGTTTACTTTTTCTATCAATTATTGAGATGGGGTGCTGAAATCTGACTATTATGGATTTCTCTATTTGTCCATTTGTCCTTTTAGTCCTGTCAGTTTTTGCTTAATGTGTTTTGAAACTCTGTGATTATGGGTCCATAAATGCTTAGAAATTTTGCGTCCTCTTAATGAATTTACTCCTTTATCATTATGAAATTACTCTATTTGTTCCTGGTAACATTCTTTGCTGAAATTTACTTTGTCTGATGTTAATATAGCCATCCTAGTTTTCTTTGATTAGTATTAACATGGTGTATCTTTTCCTAATCTGTTACTTTTCACCCTGTTGTGTCTTCATATTTAAATATTTTTTCATTTTGAGGGGGTTATTTTTCAGTTTTTTTTTTCCCTTTTTGTAGTGGCATATAGTTAGGTCTTATTTTTTTCCTTATTTGATAATCACTCCCTTTTAACTAGTGTGTTAAATGTCATATATTTAAAAGCATTTGGCATTTAATTTGTTTATTGATATCATTGAGTTTAACTTGCTGCTTATTTTGTATTAGTTCCATCTGTTTATAGATCCTTTTGCCTGGTTTTGGATTAAATGAGTATTTTTAATGATCCCATTTAACCGCTTTTGTTTACTTATTAGATATCACTATGTATGTATATGTGTGCGAATGTGTGTGTGTGTGTGTTTTAGTGGTTGCTTTAGTTGTTTATATTATTTATCTTTCATAGATCAAAATTTACCTTTGTAAGAATAGTATACCACTTTGTGTACAGCATAAAAGCCTTACAACAGTATACTTCTATTTCTTTTTGGTCTTTATGCTGTTGTTATTATACATTTGGCTTTTATATATGTTATTAATAACACACCACATTAATATCAGTTTTAATTGAAAGAGTTCATTCTTTTTAAAAAGAGATTTAAATCACAGGAGGAAAACTTTTCCTGTTTATCTACATAGTTATAATTTTGAGTGCTCTTCCTTTCTTTGTGTAGCTTCAGACTTTACCTGATATTATTTTCTTTTTGTCCAAGGGACTTCCCTCAATATTTATTGTAGGGGAAGTCTGCTGTTGAGGGATTCTTTCAGCTTTTGTATGTTTAAAAGTATTTCGATTTTATCTTCATTTTTTGAAAGATAGTTTTGCTGGGTATAGAATTCTAGGTTGACAGTTCCCTTTTTTCCCCTATACTCTAAAGATGTTGCTCCACTGTCTTGTGGCTTCATTATTTCTAACAGTCTGCTTATAATCCTTATCATGTTTCCTGTATATATGACATGTGCTCTTTGCTCTGGTTGCTTCCAATGTTTTGTATTTATCACTGTTATTTATTTATTTATTTATATTATTTAAAAGTTTTTTGAGACAAAGTCTCGCTTTATTACCCAGACTGGAGTGCAGTGACAGGATCATGGCTCACTGCAGCATTGATCCTCTCACTTCAGCCTCCTGAGTAGCTGGGATTATAGTCATGTGCCACTATTCCTGACCAATTTCAAAGCAGAAGAGAGAGGCAGAAGCAGTATAATCAAAGATATGACAGTATCGCACTATGTTACCCAGGCTGCTCTCAAACTCCTGGGCTTAAGCAAACCATCCTCTTTGGCCTCTCAAAGTGCTAGGATTACAGGTGTGAGCCACTGCACCTGGCCTATCACTGGTTTTGAGCAAGTAAGTTTATGATGTTTCTTAGTCTTATTTTCTTCAGGATTTTTGTGCTTGTCCTGTGTTGAGCTTCTTGGATCTGTGAGTTTATGGTTTTAACCAACTTTGGAAGTTTCTGGCTATTCTTTCTTCAAATACTTTTTCTTCCCATTTTTCTATCTCCTCTGTTTCATGATTCCAGTTATACGTGTCTGCTTTTTGCGGGAGGAGGGTTCTTTTTGCTCTCCTTGTGTCAATTTAAATAGCTTCAGTTAAATCTTGAATTTAACAAATTATTTCTTCTGCAGTATCAAATCTGTCCTTAATCCCATCCAGTGTATTTTTTATCTTAGAAGTATTTTTAACCCCTAGAAGTTCAATTTGGGCATTTTAAATATCTCTTGTGTTGCTTCTTAATATGCTCAATCTTTCATCTACATTTTTGAATACATAAAACATAGTGAGAATAATTGTTTTTGATGCCCTTGTCTACTAATTCTACAACCCATGTCATTTCTGGGTCTGTTTCTATTGACTGCTCTTTCTCTTAGTGATATGTTATATTTTCCTACTTCTTTGCATGCCTGGTAACTGTTTGGTCGATGACAGGCACTGTAAATTTTACCTTGTTGGGTGCTAGATATTTTTGTATTTTGTTATATTTTTGTGCTTTCTTTTGGGATACAGGCAAGTTACTTGAAAACAGTTTAATTATTTTGGTTATTTCTTTTAAGCTTGTGAGGTGGGACCAGACCATCATTTAGTCTAGGACAAATTTCTCTCCACTACTGAAGTAATAGGTTTCTGATTTTTCTACTGGATGTTCCACAAATAGTAAGGTTTTCCACTCTAGCTGGAGGGAAGAGGAACTCTTCTTGTATTTAAGTAAGCTGCAGAGATTGTTCCCTCTAATCCTTCCTAGTGGTTCTTTCCCTAGTCTCAGGTATTTTTCTTTTATTCCCTACTTTTCCTTATTCCTCTTTTGTAATCTCCTTTGTGGATTCTACCTGCTTTAGCTTCCCTGGACTCCCAGCTCAATCACTTCCAGTCAAGGTGATCCCTGGGCTCCATGTGGGCTACTGCTTTCCCTGTCACTTCATGAGAATTCTCTCCAGGCTGGGTGTGGTTGGCAGGAAAATGGCTGCCTAAAGATTTCCATGCAGTGATGTGGTTTGTATTTGTGTCCCCACTCAAATCTCATGTCACATTGGAGGAGGGGCTTGGTAGGAGGCAATTGGATCATTGGAGCAGATTTCCCCCTTGCTGTTCTCATGATAGTGAGTGAGTTCTTAGGAGATTTGAAGGTTTAAAAGTGTGTGGTACTTCCTCCTTCATGCTCTCTCTCTCTCCTGCCACCACATAAAGAAGGTGCTTGCTTCCCCTTTGCCTGCTGCCATGACTGTAAGTTTCCTGAGGACTCTTAGTCATGCTTCTGGTTAGGCCTACACAACTGTGAGTCAATTAAACCTCTTTTCATCATAAATTACCCAGTCTCAGGTAGTTCCTTATAGCAGTGTGAGGATGGGCTAATAGAGATGGCAAAGGGGAATTAAGGTTGCAGATGGAACTAAAGTTCTAATCAGTTAACCATAAAAAGAGAAGCTTATCCTAGTTTATTTTGGTGAGCCTTTGAATAATCACAAGGATTCTTCAAAGCAGAAGCGGGAGGCAGAAGCAGTATACTCAAAGATATGACAATATAAGAAGAACTTGGTCCAACATTACTGACTGAAGATAGAGGTATAGGACCACAAGCCAAGAAATGTGGGCAGTCTCTAGAAACTGGAAAAGGCAAGAAATCTCCTCTACAGCATCTAGAAGGGAATGGAGTTCTGCCAACACCTTGGTTTTAGCCCAGTGTGGCCTATTTGCATTTCTGACCTCCTAAACTGTAAGATAACCAATTTTGTTGTTTATGCCATTAATATTGTGGTGATATGAGACACCAGCAATAGGAAACAATAATACATGTTTGGTACCACAAATGTTGTGCTGCTACAAGAAATACCTCAAAATGTGGAAGTCACTTTGGAATTGGGCAATTGGTGGAGTTTGGAAGAATTTTCAGGAGCATGATAGATGAGGCCTAAATTGCCTTGAACCTACTCTCAGTAGAAATAGGGATCTTAAGAACTCTGCTGGTGAAGACTCAGGATCAAGTAAGGGGCACAGCAGGGAAAGCCTATATTGTCTTAGAGAATACCTAAATCATCATAAATAGGCTGTTGGTAGAAATATGGGTGCTGCTGGTGAAGACTCAAAATGAATTGAGAGGCGTGTTATTGGGAACTGGAGTAAAGTGAGTCCTAGTTACAGAGCAGCAGAAGACTTAGTGGAATTGTGACCAACCATTATTTGGAAAGCAGAACTTGTAGACTATGAAAGTGGACATTTAGCTGACAAAATTCCAATCAAAGAGATGAAAGTCTGGACATTACCCGCAACATATTCCCTCCTACCCCTTCCCAATTGATCCCTGCCCCCACATCTGTAAAGGTAACCTCTGTTTCTTCAACTATAGATTAGATTAGCTTGTTTTAGATCTTTATATAAATGGAATCACCTAATATGTACTCTTGTGTAAGGCTTCTTTCACTCACATCATATTTTGGAGATTATCTGTGTTTGTGGGTGTATTGGCAGTTCATTTTTTTTCCAGAGTAGTATATCATTGTTTAAATACCACGGCTTGTTTACCTGCTTTCCTATGAATGGACTGTTTCCAGTTTGGGCTGTCATGAATAAAGCTGCTATAAACATTCATGAGCATATGTTTTCATTTTTATTATTTCATCTTTAAGTTATGATGTTAACTGGGAAACAGCAGGGCCTTGAGAATTGGAAATGGACACATGGGCAGATTCCAGTGACAATGAAAACTTTGAACTTCTAGACTTTGCCAAGCCTCCTTTGCCAGCAGAAGCAGCACTCCTCCCCTGTCTGAGGAGGTTCACCTCCTGTTGCTTGCAACTCTAGTGAGATTCACTGAGGTTGTTGCTGATGGGGGGACTGCCAACCCTCCTCAAGACCTCCTGCAAAAACACTTCATTACACCTAAGCCAATAACAACCCTCAAATTCTGGCATTATCCAGTGGGCTGGGGCAAAGTGTGACCAGGGAGAAAGAATCACACATAACAAGACAAAGTCCAGGATGCTTTCAATGTATGTAAGAGACTCAAAACACATCACATTATTTTTTCACATTAAGGAATCAGTATAAATTTGGTATTAAGATAATTTGATATTTTAGAGTGGTAGTCTTTTGACTCCAATTAAATATACAGTTCAATAATTGATTTATATTTGTGATTTTAAGCGGAAATCTTACTAAGCTTATATATATAATATAAAATATATATCTTATATAGATATAAGATATAGATCTTATATCTGTAAGATGTAGATCTCATATCCTGTAGATGTCATATCTATGATATAAGATATAGATCTCCTATCTTATATATCGTATATCTATATCTCATATATATATACTTCATTATTTATGTAAGTTTATCTGATGTATAAGAATTACTTCAGTATTGGGAAGAGTTGTCAGATCATTGAGATATTTAAAATCAAATTGAGTGTAAGCAATTTATAAATGTAATTTAAAGTTTTGAAGATGTTTAATTATTTGATTTGGTTAGTGGGATCCAGCATTATTTTTGGATCCTTTATAAGTGATTATTTGCTGGGCATAGAACCAGCTTTTAAAACACTAATAGAAAGTGATAGTGGCTCATCAAAATCCGTGTCTTTTGCTCCTTGGTGGACACTATGTTTCCCCATCTCGTGGCAGTGAAAGTAGCCAAGTAACTAAGTTCTAGCCAAATGGAATTGAGCAGAAGTGATGTGTGCCATTTTCCTTCTTGGCTGACGAAAACCTCTCACGGGCCTTCCTCCCTCCTATTGTCTGGAATGGAGATGATGAAGGCAACTTTGCAAGCAACTAGTTGGAGGGGGCAAAGCCTTGGTCAGCTTGGGTCCCTGAGTGGCTTCATCAAATAAGGGATATTCCCACATCCATTTTTCACTTGTGCTATTCTGTCACCACTGTGGCTGTTACATAAGCAAGAAATACACTTCTATTGTGTTGGGCTACTCCATGTTTAAGACTATTGGTTACCTAGCCTTCCCTGATGAATACATTAACAGAATACCAAAGCCTAAGAGACAATTAGGTGTTGGTGAGCCAGGCACTGTGGCACATGCCTATAGACTGAGGCAGAAGGATCCCTTGAACCCAGGAGTTCAAGGCTGTAGTGTACTATGAATGCACCTGTGAATAGCCACTGCACTCCAGTCTGGGCAATACAGCAGAACCGTATCTGCCTAAAAAAAAGATTGGGTGTTAAGAGTTTGTAACTTTGTAAAAAGCAAAGCAAACTTCTGCCCAGACTTTTCTTGGCACAAGAATTACCTTTTGCAAAGCTTCACATTGGTGGTGATTTTTCACTTGGGGGCTCATACCTAACAGAGCTGTTGGGGACCGTCACTTTTTCCTTCTTCTCTAGTCTCACTTCTGATTTTCTCCCATGACAGATCTAAACCCTGCTGTAAGGGAGTTCACAGATCAAGAATAACGTTGAGGAGAATGTTAAAATAAAATATCTTTCAATTTTTAAAGGTAATATGCACTCAAAACATTTGGAAAACATAGAAAAGTCAGAAAAGTATCATAGAAAGTCAACCACTGACAATATTCTAGTACTCAGTATTTCAAGTTATTTTTTGTTTTACATAGTGATATCATATTATATACAAAAGATTATTCTTTTTTTTTTCTTTTTTATTTCTTTTCTTGAGACAGGGTCTCACTCTGTTGCCCAGACTGGAGTGCAGTGGCACAATCTCGGCTTATAGCAACTTCCGACTCCTAGGCTCAAGTGATTCTCCTGCCTCAGCCTCCTGAGTAGTTGGGATTATAGGTGCATACCACTACCACCCACTTAATTTTTGTATTTTTAGTAAAGATGGGTTTTCACCATGTTGGCTAGGCTAGTCTTGAACTCCTGACCTCAAATGATCCACCTGCCTCAGCCTCCCAAAGTGCTGGGATTACAGGCATGAGCCACCATGCCTGGCCCAAAAGGTTATTCTTATGTTGCGATTTAAGGAGTTTAAAGTCTGGAAACAAGTTGGAAATAGATTCAGGAGTCAGAGAGATCTTAGCTTCATTGCTGGAGGGGAGAATTCAGCTTGACTCTGCCACCATACCCAGGCCTGCTGAGGCCTGCTGTAGGACCCTCTATGGGGAGATTTTACCTATAGCAGGACATTCACCTGGCCAACTGCAAGGCGAATCACCAGGTCACATACCTTGGAGCCTTCAGAAGTGAAAGAGAGATGGAAGATACAGGAAAGTAGTTTTTAACATATTAACATACCCACTTGAGAAAAGTAGATGATTGCATGGCAGCCTCTCACTGCATAAAAAGTCTGCCTCTGCTGTTATTTTTTTATTTTTTCATGTTTGACTGATGATGCCTTTTCAGTCTCACCCACCCTTTCCTTATCTGAGCAAACTGATAAAAAAAAAAACTGGATTCTCTCTCCATTGGCATCAGTGGGAGATTCAACCAGGTAAGCCCTTGCCCACAGTGTGCAGGAATTTTCACCCAGCCCAGCCCCCTAGCCATGATAAAATCCCCAAGCTAGTCTCCTTTTTCCAATTTCTCAAGCCATTTTTGGACCTGTTGGAGAGGCCTATCCGGCTCTCCCCAGAGACAGTCATGATGTCAGTAATAAACCTTTTGATTCCCTTGGGGCATGCATGTGACATCATCAGCCTTAACCTTTGACTATCTTGGCTGGGAACCCATGTGCCTCTGCAGATGACCCTACAAGTGCCATCTCATCTATCAGATAAATCATTTCTGTGTATGTCTGTATGCATGCACATATATTTATTTTGCTAACTGACACTACCCTCAGCAATGCTGTGTGTAAAGACATCTCTGGACCTGGAGTTATCCTGTTCCCTTGGGATAACACATTAGAACGGGGAGAATATAGGGGAAAGGCTGTGCTCATTTTAAGTTTCCTGAGATGTATCGGCGAATAGCTTTTCAAAATGTTGAGCCACATCCCAAGGGAGCCAGACAGTGTGGCAATCATGAGTGTGCTGTGAAGACCTCCAAGAGAGGGAGCTATGGACCAAGGGCCCCAGCAGCTGCTCTCTGAGGGTCTGGGAGAAACTGAAGTTCCCTGACAGTGACTTTGGTTTGAAGACACGACAGTGGCTTTGCTCAACCCTCTCTAGGCTGCACCTCTAGGGCACTTCCACCAACCTCCCTTCCCTCTCTCCTTCATGGGGGCACCTGGCCATGTAGTTCCCCAGCCTTCCCTGTGTCCTCTTGCAGGTATTTCCCCTAACAAAAGAGGAAGGTGTTTCCGCTTTGCACATTTCATCCCACCTCAGTATCTGCTTCTTAGAGTATCCGGACTGACACATAGGGAGGAGTGGGCAGAATAGCAGCTCAGAATCTGAACTCCTGAGTCCCAGGCCCAGCTCTGCTCCTCCCTAGCTGTGGGAACATGGCCAATTGACCTTCCCTCTGAGTTCTTCTCAGTTCCTGCCTCTAAAGGATAGGGATTCATGATACACATTTGACAATGTCACTGTGAAAACAGTGAAACTCTGAATGTGCAATGCACACATGGCCACCTTTTCGTTCCTTTCACATTTCATAGAAAATCTGGCCTGTTTAAACATGTACAAAAGTATACATGGCACAGAGGCACCCATGTGCCCAAGATTGAGTGTGAACCTGAGCTGTCATTGCAGGCACCTCCTGATGGGAAACTGTAGAATGTCGCTTTCCAAGTGTCAACCTTGGCCCATGCTTTAGTGACTCATGGGAACTCAGGCCAGACCCCGCCCTGGGCGCCTCATCTGCGTGAGTCAGGAACACAGATCTTAGCCCATGGCCTTTGGCTCATATCTGGACAGCTGACCTAGGGTGGGGTTTCTAGGAGAGATTGTTTGGAAGACAAGTCCACATGGCGAGAAGATTCGGCAAGTCCCTGACATCTGAACGAGCACCGCCAGGCTAACAGAATTTGTACTGGAGGTAGGGCAGGGACCTATCCTGAAGAATTATTCCAATGACTCTAAATCTCAGGCTGGGAGGCTTTTAGCAAGTCACTCTGAAGCTCGAGTTTTAAGTCTGTGGCCAGAGACTTATTCACTGCTGCTTGTTCTCCATTGGTCATCTTTTTATATTTAAGACATCCTGGGTTTGACCTCCAGCTTAAGAGAGAAAAGTCATGAATGAAGAAAGTCCTTAGGGCACTTGATTTTCCTCTTCATATTTGGTAAATATTGGGGATAAGAGATAATTAGTATAATAATGCTCATAGTCAGAAGGCAGTAGCATTTGCTGGGATTACGATGAACCAGAGCTCTCAGCCCATTCAATTCTCACCAGTCTTGTGAGGCAGATGCTCCATTGCCCTCATATTACAGATGAGGAAACTGAGGCTTAGAGAGGGGAAGCAAACAGACCCAAGTGTCAAGGTGAACTTTCATGAATCCCTGTAACTGGACCTTGAGGTGCTTCTTGGTTTCCTTCCCTGGGGCTTTAGGCTTCCTGCTGGGACTGAGGGTGGCTGTGAAATGTTCCAGAGAGAAATCTTGGATCCTACTGAGGATAAGCCTTTCTTTTATTTTGCTCTTGATTTAAAATGTTCAAACACAAAAACAATTACTGAGGGCAACATAACAAAGACCCATGCTCCACAACCAGGATTTCTTAATGTTAATATTTTCTCCTATTTGCTCAAATTTTTATTTTCAAAAGAAATTAAGCACTGCAGACATAGCTGGAGTCCCATCTCTGCCCTCCTCTGGGCCCAGTCTCTCTGTAGTATCTCAGAGACAACTATTTTCTGAATATGAGGGTGACTTTCCTATGCAGGTTCTCATGTTTTTACATGTATGCATATGTTCATAAAGAATACTGCATATAATGCTGTTTTCTGGGCTTCAAATTTTACAGATGTTTCTTACAGGACATATTTTTGCACAGCTTATCTTTTTTCCTACTTGATCTTCTTCTCACTCTCTAACCTTGCTGATCCAAACAGATCTGGCTAGTGTATTTTAACTATTATATGGCAATCAGTCATATAACTATACTACCACTGATCTTTCAATTTCCATATTGATTGGTGTATATGTTGCTGTCAATTCTTTGACATTATAAACAGCACTGAAAGGAACATCCTTATTTGCATTTTCTTGTGCAAAAGTTCTTCTAGCATATAGACCAAGGACTGTACCTGTTGAGTCATAGAGAATACACATTTTCCTTTCTCCATCTCTCCCTCTCCTGTTGTTTCTTCTTTCATTAGTGCACAGAACTAAACTATTTATCATTCTTGATTCAACAAACTCTCATTAGTGGTCTATGCATGGCTCACTTGTTTGTTTGTTCTTTCTATCTATCTATCTATCTATCTATCTATCTATCTATCTATCTACCTACCTATCTCTCTCTCTCATCTCTCTATCTTTCTATGTATGTATCTATCCATCTACGTCCAAATGTATCCCCCAAATTTTATATGTTGAAACTTAATCTCAGCGTGATAGTAGTAAGAGGTGAGACAGTTAGGGGGTGATTAAGTCACGTGGGTGAAAGCTTTATGGGTGGAATTAAGGCTTTGTTAATATGGGAATAAACAAACTCAGTTTCTCTTAATAAATTCTCACAGCATGTTTCTGTCATCAGATATGTGGGGATTTTCCTTCCACACATCAAAAAAGCAGTCAGTTCTGTAGTGGACACCAGCAAGGTGTCCTGTAATTCAGTTCAATTCTGACATAGTCTACCTGGAAACAGTGTCAGGTCCCACAGGTTGAGGGCTCAGTCCCACAAAGCTGCCCCCCAACTTCAGATGCCAATCACAAGCTCCAGATTGTCTTATCTGTGCTTCTGACCCACTGGCTATAAATTGGGATTCCCAAGACCCTGTCTTTGGGTTGGATTAATTTGCTAGAGTGGCTCAAATATCTCAGGGAGATACCTACTTACATTTACTGGTTTGCTATAAAGGATATTACAAAGGATACACGTGAAGAGATGCATAGGCTGAGATACGGGGAAAGGGGCCCAGAGCTTCCATGCCCTGTCCAGGCGCATCACCCTCCAGGAACCTCTATGTGTTCAACTATCCTGAAGCTCTCCAAACTCAGTCCTTTTGGATTTTTATGGAAGCTTCATTATATAGGCATGATTGATTAGATCATTAGCCATTGGTGATTAAGATAACTTTTAGCCCCTCTGTCCTTTCTGGAGGTTGGGGTTGGGGGGCTGAAAGATCCAATCTTCTAATCCTGCCTTGGTCTTTCCAACCCCCATCCTGAAGCTACCTAGGGGCTGCCGCCATCAGTCAACTCATTAGTATACAAAAAGGCACATCACTTTGAAGATTCTAAGGATTTTATGAGTTGGATGCCAGGACACTGGGATGAAGACCAAGACCAAATACATATTTTACAACATCACAAGGGGCCTTATAAAAGGGCTTGAGAGCATGGGCTCATTTCCTTACATCTCTTCTGCCATGTGAGGACAGCATCTATCCCTTTTACCCTTCCACCCTGTGTGGACACAGCAACAGGGCACCATCTTGGAAGCAGGGAATAGACTCTGAGCAGACGCTGAATCTACCAGCACCTTGATCTTGGATTTCCCAGCCTCCAGACCTGTGAGAATACATTTCTATTGTTTATAAATTACCCAGTCTCAGGTATTTTGTTATAGCAGAACAAACAAACTAAGACACTATCATCTATCTTTTAATTATTTTTAATAGCATGATAAGAAATTTGAAATCCATTACTAAAACAAAATCTAACCTATATCTAATATGTTTCTGTCTCCTCCCACCTGAAACATCTAGCCAGCCAGAGACAGAGGGACTTCATGGTTTTCTTTTTGGTGCTTTTAGGCATCACAAGGCATCTGAGGGTGGCTATAATATAGTTGTTAGATGGCTCTGTGGGTACAGCTATATATTTTTGGTACAAAGCCTTTGTCAGTGATATTTCAACTAAATATTTCAACTTCTCCAAACCGTGTGCATTTTTCATTTTACTGAATATTGCCAGTCACTCTCAAGTCACTGCATAGGCATACCTTTCTGGAATTGTGCAGAAGTTCCCACCTGCAAACATTCCATCCACACCACTGTTATCAGGCTTAATATTGTTTGCCAGTCTGGTGACAGTAGTATGGTGTTGTCTTTGCTTGATCTTGTGGTTTTATGATTCCTAGAAAGAACGAGCATCTTTTTATATGTTTATACACCACTTGGACTTTCTGTTATGTGAATTGTCTCTCATGTATTTTGTCCATTTATTTTCTATTATGCTGTTTGTCTTTTTCTCAAGGGTTTAAAAGCATTTTAATTTGTTCCTATTCTAAAGGTTGCTAATATGTTCTCTCAAGCTGTCTTTTACGTTTTTGTGGTGCTTTTTGTCTTACATGCATTAAATTTCCATGTAGTCACAGTTATTCATATGCTTGTGATTAGTGTTTTTTACTGTTACAAAATACACATCACATAAAACTTACCATTTTAAACGTTTTAAAGTCTATAGTTCTGTGCCATTAAGTATATTCACGTTGCTGTGTAACCATCACCACCATCCATCTCCAGAACTTTTTCATCCTCCCCAGTTGAAACTCTTTCTCCATTAAATGCTAACTCCCCATTCCCCTTCCCCTATCCCCTGGTACTCACCATTCTACTTTTTGTCTCTATGAACTGACTATTTTAGGTACCTCATTTAAAAGTGGAATTATAAAATATTTATCCTTTTTAATTGGCTTATTTAACTGAGCATAAGGTCTTCACAGTTCATTTATGTTGTAGCATATACCAAAATTTTTCTTCTTTTTAAGGCTGAGTAACCTTTCAGTGTGTGTGTGTGTGTGTGTGTGTGTACCACATTTTGCTTATTCCTCATCCATTAATAGATAGTTGATATAGTTTTGGTGTCCCCATCCAAATCTCATGTTGAACTGTAATTCCCACATGTTGAAGGAGGGCCTGGTAGGAGGTGATTGATTCATGGGGGCAGACATCCCCCTTACTTTTCCAGTGAGTGAGTTCTCATGAGATCTGGTTATTTAAAAGTTTGGAGCACTTCCCCCGTCTCTCTCTTTCCCCTGCTGCCATGTGAATAAGGTGCTTGCTTCCGCCTTGCCTTCACCTTGATTGTAAGTTTCCTGAGGCCTCCTAGCCATACTTCTTGTTAAGCCTGTGGAACTGTGAACCAATTAAACCTCTTTTCTTGATAAATTACCCAGTCTCAGGTAGTTCTTTATAGCTGTGTGAGAATGGACTAATACAGAAAATTGGTACCAGGAAAGTGGGGCATTGCTATAAAGATACCTGAAAATGTGGAAGTGACTTTGGAACTGGGTAGTGGGCAGAGGTTGGAACAGTATGGAGGGGCCAAAAGAAGATGGGAAGATGTGGGAAAGTTTGGATCTTTCTAGGGACTTGTTGAATGGTTGTGACCAAAATGCTGATAGTGATATGGACAATGAAGTCCAGGCTGAGGAGGTCTCAGATGGAGATGAGGAAGTTACTGGGAACTGTAGTAAAGGTCACTCTTGCTATGCTTTAGCAAAGAGACTGCCAGCATTTTCCCCCTGTTCTAGAGATCTGTGATACTTTGAACTTGAAATAGATGATTTAGCATATCTGGCAGAAGAAATTTCTAAGCAGCAAAGCATTCAAGAGGTGACCTGGCTTTTTCTAAAAGTATACACTCATATGTGTTCTCAGAGGTAGTCTAAAATTGGAACTTATGTTTAAAAGGGAAGCATAGGGTAAAAGTTTGGAAAACTTGAGGCCTGACCATGTGCTAGAAAAGAAAAACCCATTTTTTGGGGAGAAATTCAAGCTGCCGGCTGCAGGAATTTGCATAAGTAAAGAGAAGCTGAATGTTAATCACCAAGACGTTGGGGGAAATGTCTCCAGGGCATTTCAGAGACCTTCAGGGCAGCCCCTCTCATCACAGACCTGAAGGCCTAAGAGGGAAAAATGGTTTTGTGGGCTGGGTCAGGGCCTTGCATCTCTGTGCAGCCTCAGGGCATGTCATCCTGCAACCCAGTGCTCCAGCTCCAGCTGTGGCTATAAGGGGCCAAGGTGCAGCTCAGGCTATTGCTTCAAAAGGTTTAAGTCCCAAGCCTTGGCAGCTTCCATGTGGTGTTGGGCCTGTGGGTGCACAGAAGGCAAGAGTTGAGTTTGGAAACCTCTGCCTAGATTTTGGAAGACGTATGGAAATGCCCAGATGTCCAGGCAGAAGTCTTCTGCAGGGGTGGAGCCCTCACGGATAATCTCTGGTATGACAGTGCACGGGGTGGAAATGTGGGGTTGGAGCCCCCACAGAGAGTGCCCACTGGGGCACTGCCTAGTGGAGCTGTGAGAAGAGGGCTGTCATCCTCCAGATCCCAGAATGGTAGATCCACTGACAGCTTGCACCATGCTCCTGGAAAATCTGCAGGCTCTCAGCACCAGCCCGTAAAAACAGCCATGGGCGCTGTACCCTGCAGAGCCACAGGAGTGGAGCTGCCCAAGGCCTTGGGAGCTCACCCCTAGCATTAACATGCCCTGGATGTGAGACATGGAGTCAAAGAAGATTTAGGAGCTTTATAATTTAATGACTACCCTGCTGGGTTTTGGACTTGCATGGGGCTTGTAGTCCCTTTGTTTTGGTCAATTTCTCCCATTTGGAGAGGAAATATTCACCCAATGCCTGTACTCTGTATTTATGCAATGTCTGTACCTGATTGTATCTTGGAAGTAACTGACTTGTTTTAGATTTTATGGGCTCATAGGCAAAAAGGACTTGCCTTGTCTCAGATGAGACTTTAACTTGGACTTTTAAGTTAATGCTGGAATGAGTTAAGATTTTGGGGGACTGTTGGGAAGGCAGAATTGGTTTTGAAATGTGAGAAGGACATGAGATTTGGGAGGGGCCAGGGATGGAATGATATGGTTTAGCTCTGTGTCCCCACCAAAATCTCAGGTTGAACTGTAATCCCCATGTGTTGAAGGAGGGCCTGGTGGGAGGTATTGATTCATGGGGGCAGACTTCCCTCTTGCTATTCTAATGAGTGAATTCTCATGAGATCTGATTGTTTCTTCTCAAAAAAGGAGGTTTGAAAGTCTGTAGCACTTTCCCCACCTCTCTCTGTCTCCTGCCGCCATATGAATAAGTCACTTTCTTCTCCTTTGTCTTTCGCCATGACTCTAAGTTTCCTGAGGCCTCCCAGCCATTCTTCCTGCAGAACTACGAGTCAATTAAACCTCTTTTCTTCATAAATTACCCAGTCTCAGATAGTTCTTTATAGCAGTGTGAGAATGGACTAATACAACAGTTGAGTTACTTCCAACCTTTTGGCTATTGGGAATAATGCTGCTCTGAGCATAGGTATATAAATATGTGTTTGAGTCCCTGCTTTCACCTCTTTTGGGTATAAACCCAGAAGTGGAATTGCTGGATCATTTTTTTAATTTTTCTGAGTAATTTCTATTATATTTTCCACAGTGGCTGTGCCATTTTACATTCTTATCAATAATATACAAGGGTTCCAATTTCTCCACCTTGTCACCAACACTTGATTATTCTGTTTTTATTTTTTTTAATTAATAGTCATCCTAATGGGTGTGCAGTGGTATCCTGGTTTTGATTTGCATTTCCCTAATGATTAGTGATGTTGAGCTTCTTTTCATGTGTTTATTGGCCATTTGTATATCTTCTTGGGAGAAATATCTATCAAGTCCTTTGCCCATTTTTGAATTGTGCTGTTTCTTTTTTGTTGTTGTTTAATTCTAGGAGTTCTTTATTCTGGATTTAAATCCCTTATCAGATATATAATTTGCAAATTTTTTCTCCCATTTTATGAGCTACCTTTTTACTCTGTTGATAGTGCTCTTTGATACACAAAAGCTTTTAATTTTGATGAAATCCTGCTTATCTATTTTTTCTTTTTCAGATTGTGCTTTTGAGTTCATATCCAAGAAATCATTGCCAAATTCAATGTCATGAACTCTCCTCCTCCTTTTTTGCATTTTAAGGTATCTTTACCTTCAATAAATTTATATTTTATTTTAAAATGTCTTTTATTTTTTATATTTAATCTTTTGTTGAGGAAAAATATATTTTTATGAATGAAATGAGAAAGGGATCCAATGTATTTAATTTCATGAGGCTTCCTGATTGCTACAAACCATTTCTTGAATAATACTTTTTCTCCAATTATTTGTAATGTTAGCTTTGTACCTATATATGGGAGTGGGGAAGTCTACCTCTCTCATGCTCTTTATTCATTTTTACTAATCTATATCTTACCCCTGGGTCACCATTACACTGTCATTAAATCATTAATACAGTATATAATTAGCTTTGCTCTCTGGTAGGGCCTGTTCCCCTTTGTGGAGAAAAGAGCTCATATAGCAGTCCTGATACTGCTCTCTTTAGAAAGTCCTGCTTACAAAGTTGGCCGTGGAATGATGGCTGGGAACTTGGATTTGGGGATGGTTGCCACCATTTCCAGAACTGATAAGAGTGGCTCACTGTGTCTAAAGCATTTGTACAAAGAGTAGGTTCATGTTAACCACCTGCTTTACTTCCAGGAGTCTGGAAGTTTGGTGCATGTCAGGCAGAGGGGGCCCATGTATCCAGCCAGCAGTAAAAACCCTGGACAATGAGTCTCAGTGGCCTTCCCTGATAGATGTGCTGTCATAGCACATTGCTGGAAGAATCAAGTGAGTCCCATGCAACTCCACTTGGAGAGGACCCTTAGAAGCTTGCACCCAGTTTTCTCTGGACTTTGCCCTCGTGCCTTTTCCCTTTGATAATTTTGCTTTGCATCCTTAACTGTCATAAGTTATAGCCATGAGGGTGACCACATGTCAAGTCCTGTGAGTCTCCTGGTGAATCATTAAACCTGGGGTGGTCTTGGGACCCTGAACACACCCTTTCTCCTTCTCTGGTGCCTCTTTCTTCTTCTTTTTATTCAACAATATCTTGGTTATCCTCATATTTTTATTCATTTTTATGACTCTTACAATTCTCGAGGATTCAGTTGACATCTCATTGCATTTGCCAATAAATCTGGGGGTGGAAAGGGATCAATATCTATGTCTGTGTCAAATATTGTGTCTTCATTCTCAGTACCAGCCTCATCATCCTGAGCTCTTCCCTGTGCCTCTGGATCATGGAGCCCGAAAACTACATTTCCCAGACTCTGTTGTTCATGGGCCCAGTGAGAGTCCATCATGCGAGGCACTGGCATGAGGTTGGAAGGAGGAAGTGAAGGCCTATTTCTTCTCTCTGGGACTCTGTGTGTATGGCAAAGCACAGACAAGGAATTTTGACCACAACTTTGAGCATCCTTTTGAGAAGCACTCACACTGGGCTCCAGCATCTGCCCTGTGATCCCAGAACCCTCAGAATTCCTGACCGTGCCCTTCCTGGGTTTTGCTCCCTCAACTTTCCAAAGACTATGAAAACCTCCAATTCTGTATCGTGTCTCTTCATCCTTAGAGTTCCCAGAATATTTTTTCTTTCCCTGGCCAGATCTTAACTAATATTGTTAAATCAAGTTTAGACTAAAGCTGCCTCCTTATACATTTTACGTTCAGTCTAAAGTTGTATCTGTACATAATAAACTGCAACTGAATTGGATGTGTAAACAAACTAACCTACTCTTGCGCCAGTCACTGTGTTTGGGCGAATTAAAGACAGCCAAATGTTCAAACTTTTCAAATAAGGCAAATGCCGAGCTATAATCCATCTAGCTCTTTCTGTGCCTCAATTCTATTGTCTGTAGGTCACTTTCCTTTTTCTGACCATAAATGTTCTTCCACCACATGGCTGTGCTGGAGTCTCTGAGCCTACTCTGGTTCAGAAGTTTGCCTGATTTGCAAATCATTCTTTGTTCAACTAAACTCTTTTAATTTTAACTTGTCTATGGTTTTGCTTTTAACAATATAACACCAGCTGGGCACAGTGGCTCATGCATGTAATCCCAGCACTTTGAGAAGCTGAGGTGGGTGGATCACTTGAGGTCAGGAGTTCGAGACCAGCCTGGCCAACATGACGAAACCCCGTCTGTAGTAAAAATACAAAAATTAGTTGGGCATGGTGGCACCCACTTGGAATTCCAGCTACCTGGGAGGCTGAGGCAGGAGAATTGCTTAAACTCAGGAGGTGGAGGTTGCAGTGACCAAGATCCCAACATTGCACCCCAGCCTGGGTGACAAGAGTGAGACTCCATCTCAAAAACAAAAACAAAAACAAAAAACAATATAATACCACTCTGGTTCTTCCTTGCTCCATCACTTCATTTATTTAGGTCTTTTTTATATCCTTGATAGTTTTATAAATTTCTCTGTAAAGTTCCCCAGCAGAATTGAGCTCCCATTGTCCACAGCAGCATTCGTGGTAACTGTCATAACAGTCTGAATGTTTGTATCTTTGCAAATTCCTGTGTAGAAAGCTAATCACCAATATTATAGTATTAGAGGGCAGGGTCTCTGGGAGATGATTAGGTCATGGGGGTGGAGACCTCATGACTGGGACAAATGAGGCCCACAGAGCTCCCTTGCCCCTTCCACAATGTGAAGATGCAGCAAGAAGGCCTCCTCTAGAAACCATAAGAAGGCCTCCTCTAGAAACCATAAGAAGGCCTCATCTAGAAACCATAAGAAGGCCTCATCTAGAAACCATAAGAAGGCCTCATCTGGAAACTATAAAGCAGGCTTCTCGAGACACCAAATCTGCAGTGCTTTGGTCTTGGACTTGCCAGCCTCCAGAACTGTAAGAGATAAATATCTGTTGTTTATAAGCCACCCAGTTTATAGTATTTTGTTATAGCTGCGTGAATGGACTAAGACAATAGCAAACCCTCACACTGGTTTCTTTTCCTGCTTTCCTGTCTCATTTGCCTTGTTCCCTTACTCCTGCTTCCTGGGATCATCTTCCTTAACAAGCCACGTGTTTAAGTCCATTCTCACACTGCTATAAAGAAATACCTGAGACAGCCATTTATAAGGAAAAAAGTTTATTTGGCTCAGAGTTCCACGGGCTGTACAGGAAGCACGACTCTGGCATCTGCTCAGCTTCTGGGGAGGTCTCAGAAAGCTTACAATCATGGCGGAAGGCAAACGGGGAGTGAAGCATCTCACATGGCAGGAGCAGGAGCAAGAGAGAGAGGGAGAAGGTGCTACACACTTTTAAACAACCAGATCTTGTGATGACTCACTCACTATCATAAGAACAGCACCAAGGGGACGGCGCTAAGCCATTCATGAAGGATCCACCCCCATGATCCAGTCACCTCCCACTGGGCCCCACTTCCAACTTTGGGGATTAGAATTTGACATGAAATTTTGGTGGGGACACAGATCGAAAACGTATCACTACTTATACCTAAATCCCTGTCTTAGCTTGAAAGAAACCCACACTAAAATATGCATTTACTCAGAAGCCATAACAGCAATAGCTACTATTGCTGGATATTTACCATATGCTGGGCATGTGGTTATGCTGAACAAACACTATCTCCTTTAATTCTCCCAGAATTCCCATGGTGCACTTACTTTATGAACAAGGAAACGAAACACAGAGTTGAAATAACTTGCTTGAAGTCAGAAAGCAAGGACCTGGCAGAGTCTGGGTTCTAACCCGGGACTCTCCAACTCCACATTTTTGAACTTGCCCCACCCCTATTCTGATGTCAAAGTCCAGATCCTTCCATGAGTGTGTTGTGTGACTTTGGTTCCATCATTTTAAATCTCTGAACTCACCTGGGTCTGAATTAGATGATCTCAAAATCTCTCTCTAGCATTAGCAGATGATAGCCCCATGACTCCAGGATGCAGATCACCTCCCGAGTGTCCCTTCCTCAGTGGTTTGCATGGAACTAAGTACATAGTTCCACCTCCAGTTCTACAGCCCTTGCAGATCCCCTACACCATGGCTGTCTCACTGATAAAGGCCAGAGCCCAAGTCTGGAAATCCACAATCCACGCAGAAAGATGGAAGGAGCCTGGGAAGAGGGAATGAGCTCCCTCCGTGAGGCCCAGGGTCAAGAGGAGCCCCTTACTGTTCCAGCCCCCACAAGGGATGGCTTTATGCTTCCTGCAGAGGGTAGCCTTGCAATGTGCATAAATTAAGCACGGTTCAGTCTTTATTGCCACGCAAAGCCTTGGGAGGACTGTTTTATATGTCTCTGTTCTCATGGCGTTAGCATCATATAGGCTGAAATTAATTCCACCAGACGGGCTGCTCACAAGCAGAGCCAAGAATTTCCTGGGAAGGAGTTAGGTCTGACTTTGGCAGCCGCTGTGTGCAGTGATAAAGGCGTCTCAGACGGTCTCACACAGCTGGGGCATCCAAGGGTATTATATTCTTTGGCCCTCGAGGGCTATTTCTCCCTCTTCCAGAAAACTGGGTGTGGAGTATGGGCTTGGAGTCAAGGCTGATCACAGATGGGAAATAGACCCTGGCATTCTCCCTCATCCCTGGATCATTTGATCGATGAGGCTAGGGAATCCCAAACAGGCCAGCCATCGTCCCTGTCTCAGAGCGCCGGAGCCATTGGGCCTGACTTCTGGGCTGGCTCACCTGCCCTGAAACCAGACTATTACCCACAGGAGATGGTTGCCTGAGCCCTGTGGCCTTGCTTCTGCCTTGAGTTCTGTTGGTCCTTTGTTTTGCAAAGAACTTCTAATATGGTGTCCAATTTGAGGTACCCCAGAGGCCGGGAAAGTAGGGGAGGTGATATTATTAGGCATGCTAATAATCATTATGATAATCACCACTATTTACCAAGTATTTCCCTCTGTACCAGCCCCCTTGGAAGCACTTTACACACATGAACACATTGCTTTGCAGAGAGGCCCATAGAGGAGAATGAAATGACCGAGGGCAGAGACACTCCCAGGGAATCTGCTCTGTGCCAGCCTCCTCCCCAGAAATTTCACAATCCAGAACTGTTGCAAAGCTTGCAGCTTGCCAAACATATTGTGTTAATCTCCATCCCTTTGCTTATGCTCTTCCATTTATGTGTCTAGCATTCCCTGGAAAATGCCTATTCATCCCTCAAAACCCAGCTCAGGATGCGTTTCCTTCTGCAAGCCGTGTTGTATCTCCCCAGGCTGATTGCATCTCCATTCAACCAGCACGTATTGGGAAGATTTCAAAAGGAATAAAGAACTCTTGTCTGCACGGGAGCTTAGTTTAGTGGCTGCTGAGTCCAGTCCCTCTTCAGAGCCACTCCCCTCCCTGACTGTCCCAGCCATCTTTCTCACCCTCCAGATTCCTGTTGGGTTTGGCCAAGGGGCGACATCAGCAGGAGATCTGAGGGCGGGAGAAGAGTGGGAATGGGTGTTGGTTCCCCTAACTCCCTCTCTGTGTGGTGTATGCACGTGTCTTTTGTGTTCTGTATTCAGATTCTTTGACGTCTGAGGCCTTGCTAATCCTGGAGGGACTGCCCCTCCCAGGGCTGGCCAATCTAGAAATGGTCAACAATTCGCTCAAGAGTGTGCTTTTCAAACGCCAACCAACTGATCCAGAGCCCACACCCTCCACCTCCTCCCCTATGGGGCTGTCACACTCCACCTGCCCTGATCATCCCAGGGCTGGAAACCAGACAATGCAGGGCAGCAACTCTGAGCCCCAGATCAGCTAAAATTATTCAAACCAGCAATCCTAAGCCTGCCTGCCCTGCCTCTTTCATTCCTTCCAATCAAAACCTCAATGGAGGTTCTTGCCTACTGTGTCTCCCCTCCCTGTCTCCTGACCCACCTACGTGTTTCCCCAGTGGCTCTTCATAGCATGGTGGGCCCTTTCTTATTGGGAACTCTAAGGGACAAATGATCTTTTCAGTGTCAGTCCTCTCCCAATCTGCTGGCCTTATCATACCGAAATAATATTCATATGGCCAGGCGTGGTGGCTCAGGCCTGTAATCCCAGCACTTTGGGAGGCTAAGGTGGACGGATCACCTGAGGTCGGGAGTTTGAGACCAGCCTGACCAACATGGAGAAACCCCATCTCTATTAAAAATACAAAATTAGCTGGGCGTGGTGGCACATGCCTGTAATCCCAACTACCTGGGAGGCTGAGGCAGGAGAATCGCTTGAACTCGGGAGGCGGAGGTTGCGGTGAGCCAAGATCACATCTTTGCCCTCCAGCCTGGGCAACAAGAGCAAAACTCCGTCTAATAATAATAATAATAATAATAATACATACATACATACATACATGAACACATGAGGTTGCTTAGGACGGGCTGCTTCTGTCTGCTAGAGCCCCACTGCTCTGGCCCGTTGCTCCCATCTTGTGTTTCTGTCTCCGTTCCAGAGACCACCCCCTCACTCCCCATCGGGCCTAGGAGCAGTGACACTACCCCCTGCCCTTAGCCCCTGGGTTCTACACTGTCTCTTGCTGGTTACCCAAACCTCGTTCACAACTTGGTGAGTAGTCTTTGTATTAAAGTCTTTGTATTAAAGTATTTGTATTAAACAGTTTGAGAGTCTCTGTTTCTTGGTGGGGATGGAGCCATGAGCAGACCAGTTGAACACCCTCCTCTCCATCTATCCAACCGCCTTCACTTGCTTGTCTCGAAATCTGCCTCTGGCAGGACTCTTGAGTCCAGCCTCTGCTTCCCACATCTTGGTGTCCCTGCACAGCAAAGCAATCCCCAACCTGCAGGGAGCTGAGACAAGCAGCAGGATGGAAGGACAGCATTTGGTGGTTGGTCCAATGGAGGGATTGACGGAGGAGTCACAGAGGATGCCCAGGTCTCCAGTGTCACCAGTGGTGGGGCCAGACAGAGAATAGGCTTGTGGGGGAAAGAGATGAATTCATTCATGCTGTACAGAGCTGGAGGGGCCTGTGGCATCCACATGGCCAGTGAACCACGTAAGAGGGGGTCATGGTGTGGAGAGACCCCCCAGGAACCATGCAGAGAGGAATGGGAGTGGGTCCAGGGGAGCCGGGCTGGCATGTGGAAGCAGCAAGAAGCCACTGCTGGGGTGAAAAGCAGAGAAAGGAGAGGAGAGGGCAGAGCCCAAGGACCAGGCAAGGCAGGCTCTCATGGGGAAGTCCCAGGGACGTGGGCTGAGAGGGACCTTTGCATTTGCCCACTGAAACATCATGCGGGTCTG
This sequence comes from Homo sapiens, assembly GCF_000001405.40. Lineage (NCBI taxonomy): Eukaryota > Metazoa > Chordata > Mammalia > Primates > Hominidae > Homo > Homo sapiens. The sequence continues at coordinate 4,983,812 of NC_000004.12, forward strand.
TGAGTTTTGCGGCAAGGAGGAGGGGGCAAAGGTGTGTTTGAGCAGGCGAGGATGACCATGGAAGGTGCGTGAGTCCTGACATGGGTGTGCTCAGAGGATAGCCTCGGATACGCGCAGGTGCGTGAGAAACTGTTGAAGGAAAGCGAACACGGGCAGGAGGGGTGTTGGGGGCTAAACTGTGTCCCCCTCACCCACATTCACATGTGGAAGCCCTGAAACCCCATACTTCAGAGTGTGATTGTCATTGGAGATAGGGCCTTTAGGGAGGTGATTAAGGTGAAATGAGACCATCAGAGTGGGGCCCCAATCTAGTACAGTTGGTGTCCTCATAAGGAGGGGAAGAGACACCAGAGCCCTCTCCCCTCGAGCATCCACACAGGAAAGACTGTGTGAGGACACAGCAAGAAGGTGGCTGTCTACAAGCCAGGTAGAGAGGCCTTACCAGGAACCAACCCTGTTGCACCTTTATCCTGGACTTCCAGCCTGCCGAACTGTGAGAAAAGAAACTCCTGTTCTTTAAGCTGCCTGGTCTGTAGTGTTCTGTTAGAGCAGCCTGAGCTGACTAATACAACAGGTATGGCCACCTGGCCCAGGTGGGGCAGGTGGGGGAAGGACAGGAAATGGAGACAGCTGAAGGACGGGCAAAGTTGAGTGGCTGAAAGTGTAGGGAACAGCATTTCATGCAGAGGGAATTGCATGTCCAAAGCCTGGCATGCAGCAAGCATGGCTCATTGGAATAATCAAAAAACAGGTCATTTTTACAGTAGGATTTGCCTGTGTGTGTGTGTGTGTGTGTGTGTGTGTGTGTGTCTGTGTCTGTGCTTAGCTTTTCCTTATGTTTTCTTTCTTATGGAGCCTCATATGCAGAGGGTTGTGGTGATCATATTCTTATTTCCTGACCTCATCCCCATCTAGTAGGAGAAAGCCTTTATTTTCTCTGATTTCTTCCCTCTTAGCCCCATATCCCAGCTCCGTTCGTCCCATAGTCAACCGTTCTACAGTTTTGACGTGTACTTTTCAATTATAAAATATGTGCTGCTATTTGTATGGATATATATATTTTTGTAGGACGTGTTGGGTCCTATATCTCAATTTCTCCCTTTCTTCTTTCTTTCCTCCTGTCCTTTCTTCCTTCTCCTTCCTTCCTTCTTTCTTTCTTCCTTCTCAGCCTTGTGTGAGGTCTTAAGATCCATCATGTTGCTGTGAAGTGGTGGTGAAATCTGTCACTTATACGCCAGGGCATTGCATCCCCTCCATCTTCCCTGTGATGGACACACAGGGTCTTTTCCTCTTCTTCTCCTAGGGTGGAGATTTGCAGAGTGTCTGATGAAGGAGGGAGTGAGACAGGAGGCCAGGAACCCCAGGGATGGCAGGATGGGGAGGGTCTAGTTCAGGACAAGGGAGAAGAAGGAGGTCCTATGACCTTGTGTGATTTCTCCAGGGACAGTGTGAGTGGATGGATTTGCCCAGGGTTGGGAATGGCTGGGACCCACAAGATGACAGGGAAGGGAGCAGATGACGGCACCTTCTAGAACACCCTTTCATTTCACCCTGTGAGCAGGGGAGGCCCAACTGAGACTGGCTAGTTGCTCTGGGAGGTGGGCTAGTTGGCATCCTTTCAACAGATTGTCTTTAAATACTTGTGGAACACTTATTTGCTGGGGTGCAGAGAGGAACTTATTTTTATTAATAAAAATTGCATGCCTCTCTATGCTCAAAATAAGAGATTTATTATGTGCATTTATTATAGGTGATTTTCCAAACCAGACAGCATCTTGGGAGGCATATTAAAGAGTCTAAAATGTAGATGATAATAAAATAAAGCCCTCATCTGGGGTCAACAGCCCTACATAATACCTCATTCTGTTTCTGAATCTCGGCTGGCTGTGATTTGCAGCTTCACATTCCCTATTGATGGCTGGAGCCAAGTGGATACAGCTCGCGGAGCTTGGCACAGAAATCTATGGCTGAGGCGGGTCATCCAGAGAATAGTGTGGTTTAATTTCCACTCCAGGCAGTGTCCACACTGGCAGGACCAGGGTTCAAGCTCCCCTTTGGCCAACTCTGTAAGCTATCGTGAGTGGAGACCTGCACTAACTGGAGCTGGATTTCTGATTTTTGCCAGTGATGTTTTCCTGCCCTTATGAGCCATGTCCCAGGCAGAGGCCTGGCTGGCCACTCTTGACACACCACTAGAGGTAGCTGCTGTAGTCCTTATTTTACAGCTGATGGCACAGGGACTCAGAATGGCTTAGTGACTTGCTAAAAGCCACATAACAAGCCTGGGCATGGTGGTTCATGCCTGTAATCCCAGCACTTTGGGAGACTGAGATGGGAGGATTGCTTGGGTCCAGGAGTTCAAGATCAGCCTGGGCAACAAAGTGAGAACCCCATCTCTACAAAAATTGAAAAAATTAGGCAAGCATGATGGCACGCACGAGCTACATGAGAGGCTGAGGTGGGAGGATTGCTTGAGCCTGGGAAGTTGAGGCTGCAGTGAGCTGTGATCACACCACTGCACCCCATCCTGGGTGACAGAGTGAGACCTTATTTCAAAAAATGAAAATTAAAAAATGAAAAACCACCAACACAAAAGCAATGAAACTGGGATTTGAATTCAGCTGATCTCAGAGCCCTGCTATTGCATTGGGCCTCGTAGTATATAAACCATGTCTTTTTTTTTTTTTTTTTTTTTTTCTGAGATGGAGTCTCACTCTGTCGCCCAGGCTGGAGTGCAGTGGCGCAATCTCGGCTCACTGCAAGCTCCACCTCCTGGGTTCATGCCATTCTCCTGCCTCAGCCTCCCGAGTAGCTGGGACTACAGGCGCCCGCCACCACGCCCGGCTAATTTTTTGTATTTTTTAATAGAGACGGGTTTCACCGTGTTAGCCAGGATGGTCTCGATCTCCTGACCTCGTGATCCGCCCGCCTCGGCCTCCCAAAGTGCTGGGGTTACAGGCGTGAGCCACCACGCCCGGCCAAACCGTGTCTTTTATTTTCTGTATTCTGATGCTTTCATGTCTGAGACCTTGCAGACCTTAGAGAGACTGCCCCTTCCCAGGGCTAGCCAATTTCTATAGATTGGAAACCACTCCTGTGAGTGTGACTTTCAGATGTAAACCAACCAGTCCAGATCCCACACCCCAACCACCTCCTCTATTGAGCTCTCAGTCAGAACCACTGTTCCCCTCTATGCCCCTAGGCAACCCAGGGTAGTGACGCTGCCTTGCCCATTCCTTCCCATGGAAACCACAGCAAAGGCTCTTGCCCACGTGTTTCTGCCCCTTCTGCCTCCTGACTGACCCTGGTGACTTGCACGGAGTGCTGTGCCTGTCATTTCCAGGGATCCGTGAGAGAAACACTTTTTCATTCATGATAGTCACTTCCTTGAGTCTTATATTTGATTAAAATAAATCCCGGGTCCCCTTAAGAGTGCACAGATTTTCTAACAATCGATATCCTGTTGATGCCAGGTGCCTGGCTCAGAGCTTTCACCCTCCCTTTTTCATTTTGGGTATAATCACATACAGTAAAATGCCACCCGTCTTATCTTCATCAGCACCAGCACCACCTCCTATCGTCCCCAGTTTACCCACAAGGAAACTGTATGGCAGAGAGGTTCAGTAATTTGCTGGACATGCAGAATAAACCAGTAGCTGAGAAGGAATCAAGTCAATGTCTCATCAATTCCTCTGACTCTCTAATGACAGGGTTGGAAAATAGCCTCCTGTTACTTCTGCTTGTGCACCTGACTGAGCCCTCTCTAAATTCTGCAAGAATCACTCACTCATTCATTGTCTCACGTGATCATTCACTGTCAGTGACTCTGTGCCCAGCCCTACGTAAGGCACTTGGGCAATAGAGAAATGATTCCAATGTGGTCCTTGTCCTCAAGGCCCTACAGCCCAGCTGGGGTCGGGCCTACACAGAGAAGCTGGCCAGGCTCAGTGGAGTTGGCGCTGGACTGGGGGAAGCAGAAGCATCCAGGGGCCTCCCTGGCCCCGCATGATAGAGGGAACCTACAGCCGACAAGCCCCGGGCTAGCTGGGCTCCGCCCGTGCCCGTGCCCTTGAGATCAGAGCCCTCCATGTCCTCTCTTGTTTTAACAAGCAGGGAATTTCCGCATCTTCTACCACCTGGAAGCAAATTCCACCAGCCCCTCTGCTCGCCACTCTTCCCTTCTCTGCCCACAAACCCCTTCTGTCTTTCCTATCTGGTACTGAGTGCTGTGTGATGTTATCTTTTTACTGCAAATGACGATGTGAACCTTAGTTATGAGGGTATCCAAAGCCACTTTCTAAATTGTGATAATTATCACAATTATCAACTTATCCCCTTATCTGCAGGGGATATGTTCCAAGACCTGCAGATGCCTGAAACCTCAGATAGAATCAAACCCTAAATGCGCTATGTCTTTTCCTATACGCTCATAACTATGATAAGGTTTAATTTATAAATTAGGCAGGCACGATAAGAGATTGACAACATTAATAATAAAATAGAACAATCATAACAATCTACTGTAATATAAGAACAATTATAACAATCTACTGTTATTACAACAATCTACTGTAATAACAATTATAACAATCTATTATAATAAAAGTTATGTGAATATGGTCTCTTTCTCTTTCAAAATATCTTATTGTACTGTACTCATCTACTTCCAGAGCTCAGTTGATCGTGGATAACTGACATAAGGAAGGCAAAAGTGGGTGAAGGAGGCCTGCTGAATTGGGAAATTGTTAGACAACATTCTACAACGGCTGAACAGTGCTTGTCATTTCAGTGCTGTACAAGAATATTAATGATGTGGAAAGCTGTCCATTATAATAAAGTTCAAAAAGAACTTGCAAAATACAAGATGCATTATGATCCCATTTGGTATAAATATTGGAAATGTATGCATCAGTGTCTAAGGATTGGGATTCAGGAGGTTTTCCTTTTCTCCCAGCTCATCTGTGGTCTTCTCTATTTCTATAAGAACAGGTATTGTGTAAAACAAAAACATTTGCATTTACTACGGTCCCTCCCTGCTTTCTACCGAGTCTGTGTTACTGGGCACAGAGATGGTCCTGGAAGAACAGAGATCTTAAGAAGGAACGGGCCTGTTCCAGGAGCTGGGAATTTGATTGCCTTTTTGTCCCACGGTGATCCCTCCAGGTCCCCAGGTTGGGTTGAGAGCTCTGTCACAACAACCTTTGGGTTGTGGTCCATGCCCATGTCACGCAGTAGAGGGTTCCTCTGTAAAGTAGAAATAATCGCCTCCACTCTCCCTGTTGGAAATTGAATGGCTTTATGCACGTAAAGCACCCAGCCCGAGGCCTGGTACACACTGAGTGCGCAGTAAAAGCCCAGCCATGGGCACCCTACCTTGTGCTCTTCTCTCAGCTGTCCTTGTGCTTCTCTGCTTCCATTCCTGATTCCTCCTCGCTCCGTCTTTTCTCACCTTCCGTCTCTAGTCCTTACTCCCATAATTCCTTCTTTCTTTTGCTGTCTCAGCAAGACAGGAGCAATCCTTGTTATCAAGACCAAGTTTTTTCCCAATGGTGTTATCTCATCGAAGCCTCCTAACCTTGCCGTCAAATCAGTGGTGTCATGCCCATTTTACAGAAAAGGAAACTGAGGCCCTGCATGATGCACTGTGCATTGGGATTGGTTTTGGATGGCTGTCTCAAGTCTCCAACGATCCTGTAAGCACTAAGGGTAAAGACTGCGTCTCCTTCACCCTCTGTATCCCACACCCCCTACCATGCACCCATCTTGTGAAGCCAAAAGAGGTGGGGCCTGGGTGAGCAGGAAGGATCTAGTATGACAGTGGCGGTGAGAGGATTATGCCACGGTGTAGAAAGAGTAGTTAGATTTAGAACTCTTAGCTCCTGTTCGGGCGGCCTCAAGCCAGTAGCTAAGTTCTCTAAGCCCAGTTTCCTCATCTGTAAACCAGAGATAATAACAGTCCCCACACTCCATGGGCCTCTGTGATGATTAAACGAGAAACATACATAAAACTCCTAACAGGAGAACCGGGTGGGCCATGTATGTGCAGGCAGGTCAGCCGGGTGGCGCAGTGCTCTGGACTGGAGGCAGGGTGTCGTCTTCAGCTTCCTCACCTGGGGCAATGACTCTGCCCCAGCCTTACCAGCCTGGTGTTCTGGGTGCTAATGGAGTGGGGGTGGCACTCAACTGAGGGTTGGGGGCTTCACAGCAAATTCATTTCCACCCACCCAGACCATCCCCTGCCCTCTTTCTTAACAGGACTCATGAAAACCGGGTCACATTTTCCCTTTGCTCTTGATGAACCAATAACCTTGAACATCTGAAAATAAAACGTCTATGGCCCCCACAGCCTACTGAGGTTGTGTGGCTCTGCAGACATTATAAAACATCAAATTAGATGGAAAATTGCCCGGGGTCCCTGTAAATGAAAATTACTCTTTTTTATAGGGGGAAAAAATGACCCTTATAATCGCAACAAACAATTCTGGGCTCTTCCTTTTATTAGCCGGCTCACATGGCAAGCAGTATTTTCTCATTCCACCGCTTTGGCCCCAACCCATGTTTTTACCACATTTTACTTTGCACATTTTCACAGCATTGTAACATGAAAATGAGGTTCTGCCCTTGTCTTGAGTTCCTGTTGGAAGGGGATGTTTTGCCTCCGCAAAGTTTTAGCCTCCTGGTGAGTGCTGGCTGGATCCAGGCTTGGTGTAGGGTGGTGAAAGAGCACTGGATAGGGGGTTAGATGACTAAGCCTGCTGTGTGACTTCCAGCTGGTTGCTTAACCTCTCTGGGCTGCACTTTCTTCCTCCATGATAGGAGAGGGCTGGATTGGGTTAGGGATGGCACAGTCAATGCCTCTAGGTGCCAGCAAGGTGATGTCCATGTGTGATGGCCCTGTGTAAAACACCCTCGACCTCCATGGGGTCAAGCCAGGGCTTGTGGCCTCCCATTCTTGTCCACATCCCGACATAAAAACTTAGGCATTTTTTTTCTTTTTTCCTGTAGAACCTCACAAGAATATTTTGGAAACAAGACAAAGAGGGAGGATGCTGTTGGCTGTAGCTCAGAGCTTCTCAACACAGGGCTGATTTGGGCCCTGATTTGGCCATGTCTGGGGCGTTTTTGGCTGTCATGACTGGGCCATCATCTGGTGATGCTGCTGACATCCTGTGGGTGGAGGCCGGGTCTGTGGCTAAACACCCCACAGTGCAAAGCCCCACCACCGACAAAGGACTAGGTGGCCCCAGACGCCCCCAGTGCCCAAGGCTGAGAGCCCTGCAGCAGGGCGGGGTTGGGTTGGATTTGGGAGTGGAGACTGGCTGGCCTGGGTGGGTCCCTGCCACTGGCTTGACACCCTGTGATGCAAAGCAGTGCCCGTGGAGCCTTGGATCGCTGGCTGTCAGCCACATGAGTCAGCAGGGCCCGAGCACAGCCTCCATGCTCTCTGGCTGTGATGGGCCTACAGACTGACCTTTGTCAAGGGCTGGAGAACCTCGGACGGCTGCCACCAAGCCCCAGGCAGAGCCTAAAGATTTGTCAGGGTTGGGGGTGGGGGACCAAAGATGCTGGTTAAGTGTTGAGGAGTGAGGAAGCCACAGTGACTAAGCCGCGCCTGGGCGCCGCGGGCTGATCCTAATGAAGCCTAGCCAGTCTCTCCTCCACAGTTTTGACACAGTTAGAAAAACTTTCTCTTGTTTAACTGGAAACAGCCACCCACACTCACCCTTTCACATACCAGTTGCCTTCTTGCAGATCATAGGAAATAAACTGACCTTTTAAAAAATCACAAGTGAAATATAAGGAAACAGAGTGAGCGGAGGCGTTTAGGGGTCTTGAATTCGGCCCACTGGGCAGGAGTGAGCAGGAGTGAGATATGTGAGGCTGTGTGAGTCCATCCTGCCTCCACTCTCTGTGCTCCCGTCTGTGGAGTGGGGCAGTGGACACGGGCTCCTCAAGCCTGCTGGCTCTCTCGGTTTAGGTGTCTCCTGACGGGAGTGGGAATCCGGGCAGGGGCGGGTGGCTGCTTCTCAGGGCCTTCTCACGGCTCCCTTCTCGGGACATTTCATTCACAGATTTGTGAATCTGCAGTTTTGGGAGGATGACTAAAGGTCACTTTGTCCAACCTCAAATGCAGATATGCCCTCTACTTTCTTCCCAAGAGGTAACATTGTCTCTCCTTGGTGGCTCCTGGGATGAGGGGCTTACTCCTATGCCCAGGCCAGCCAATTTCATTCCTGGACACCCCTGGACAGCTCTCGCTTCCGTGCGTGCTGTTTTTTTTTTCCTTTTTTCTTTTTTTTTTTTTTTTGAGACAGACTCCAGCCTCGCTCTGTCGCCCAGGCTGGAGTGCAGTGGTGCCATCACCACTCACTGCAACCTCGTCCTGCAGACTCAAGCGATCCTCCCACCTCAGCTGGGATTACAGGCATGTGTTACCACACCTGACTAATTTTTGTATTTTTAGTAGAGACAGAGTTTTGCCATGCTGCCCAAGCTGGTCTTGAACTCCTGGACGCAAGAGATCCTCCTGCCTCAGCCTCCCAAAGTGCTAGGGTTATGAGTGTGTGCCACTGTGCCTGGCCTCCATGCGTGCTCTTAATTCTACTTTTTGGCACCAACTGGAACAAAGCTAATAATCACCTCCAGCCCCAGATGGAAGCAAGGCACACAGCCACAGAGCTCTTGGGTATTTTTCTTTTCTTTTTTTTTTTTTTTTTTTTTTTTCGAGATGGAGTCTCACTCTGTCGCCCAGGCTGGAGTGCAGTGGAGTGATCTCAGCTCACTGCAAGCTCCACCTCCCGGGTTCACGCCATTCTCCTGCCTCAGCCTCCCGAGTAGCTGGGACTACAGGTGCCCGCCATTACGCACGGCTAATTTTTTGTATATTTAGTAGAGAAGGGGTTTCACCGTGTTAGCCAGGATGGTCTCGATCTCCTGACCTCATGATCCGCCCGCCTCGGCCTCCCAAAGTGCTGGGATTACAGGCTTAAGCCATCGTGCCCGGCCAGCTCTTGGGTATTTTATCTGTTCCAAGTCTTCCTAGTTTTAGGGTGAGCACCCCGAGATTCTTCATCTGACGCTCCTAGTGGCTATTTGGGTGTGTGTTTGGGGGTCCCTCCTCTTGGCACACACATCAGTGTTCACTCTGGGTTGGACTGCACGCTGGGACAGGTGCCGTGAGCTGTATCCAGGGGGCATCACCTCCCATATTCTGGCCGCTCTACTCCTATTGATGTGGTCCAGTACCATCCAAAGCATTTACAACAATATTAGCAAGGCCCTGTTAATTATTTTTAAGTGGGAATAAAACAGGTTTTCTAGGTCTTGAATCATATTTGTGGCTAACAATCCAAAAAACCATGGGGAAATGCCAGAAGAAAAAAGTGATTTAGGGACACAGGAGGTAGATTCCATTCCACTCATCCAGGTCATGGCCATATAAGATCCAGGAATCATGCCTGTCACTCCCCTGCCCTTCTACTGATTGTTCTGGTCCATAGGCTTCCCATCCCCCACCTGCCACCTCCTCTTCAGCCCTCCTGCTGCTGTCCCCCCACAGCCCATGGGCTCTCACCTGGACTAGTGCAGCAGCCTCCTGGGGGGCTCCCTGGATCCTCCAGCCTCCACACAGCAACCAGAGCAACCTTTCTAGAACACAAGAATGCTCACTCACCTCCCTGGTTTCCAACCCTTCCTGCCCAACCCCAACCTACCGCCACGTGGTCTGTACATTAAGCCCTGCCAAGCTTTTTTTTTTGTTTTTTGAGACAGAGTCTCGCTCCCTTGCTAGGCTGGAGTTCAGTGGTGTGATCTCGGCTCACTGCAACCTCCGCCTCCTGAGTTCAAGCGATTGTCCTGCCTCAGCCTCCCGAGTAGCTGGGACTACAGGCACGTGCCACCATGCCCAGCTAATTTTTTGTATTTTTAGTAGAGATGGGGTCTCATCGTGTTAGCCAGGATGGTCTCCATCTCCTGACCTCGTGATCCACCCGCCTCAGCCTCCCAAAGTGCTGGGATTACAGGTGTGAGCCACCGCACCCAGCCCACCCAAGCTTTTCAATGCAGAGCTTGCTTTTAATGCGAAGTCGTGTGCCAAGTGACCACCTGTCTTCCTCCTCCTTTTCTCTCCTGGGTCCCTGGACTCCCACACCCTTGGTCCCAGCCACCCTGGTGACCCTGCTCCCTTTCTATGCACCTTTCTGTGACTTCTACACTTGCTGCTTCCTGGCTTGGACATCGCCTCACCCGGGAAAACTCCTATTTATTTCCAATCCCAGTTTCTATGTCCTCCTGCCCGTCCCCACCCCCCAAGAGCCTTGCTGAGGTTAGGAAACTATGAGAAAGGGATTTCTGTGCCCCACAGCAGTGAGGACACCCGCCCTTGGTCATTTCATATTCGATGTTAGCTCAGAGAAACAATACTAGGAGATAACATTTGCCAACCCCCCCGCCCAAGATTCACTCGCTGATACTAATCCAAACTTGTTCACTCACGTGTTTGTTTAATTAACAAATATTTATCGAGCACCTGCAATGAGTTATGTACTATAATAGATGCTAGGGCACAGTCAGGGATGAAACAGACAGAAGTCCTTGTCTCCATGGAGCTGACATTCTGGTTGGGGGAGGCAGCCATTAGGTGAAATGAATAAGTAAACTGTAGACTGTAATAGCAACAGGTGTGGCGGAGAAGAATGAAGTGGAGATGGAGTTGTCAGGTGAGAGCTGCAATTTGAAATTGAAATTCCAGGGAGGATACACAGAGGGAAAACCTGAAGTTGAGGACGTCAGGTGAGCTGCTACCTGGGGGCAGGGAGCTCCCGGGGAAGGCTTGTACGTTCCAGGACAGGCATCTGGGCGCTGTGTGGCTGCATTGTGGTGGGCTGGGGAGAGGTAGGTCCTGAGACCTGAGAGGTGACAGCCCAAAATCCTGTAGGATCCCAGAGGCCATAGCTGGGACTCAGCTTTTCCTCCAGGTGGGCTGGAAAGCACTGGAGGGTGGTGGACAGAGGATGGCGTGGTCGGATTGCAGCGGGATTCCGTGCGTCCCCTGGCTGCCCTGTGCAGAAGGAAAGGTGCAGCGCAAGGCGGGAGCCGGGAGAACAGGGAGAGAGGCTGGAGGCTTGGTCCAGGCTGGGGGCAGTGGGAACAGCGAGCAGGCGCTGGATCTGGGACATAGTCATGGTGCTCAGCTGCTGCAAGGAAGTCATTTTATTTTTAGCCCAGTTATAACGATGAATGAAGTAGGGATGCAGAAAGGTTAAGGTCACTTTGCTAAAAGGCGCTATGTGTGGCGCCCACCCAACCCATGCACCTATCCCTCTCCAGGAGTGAGTCTCCCATGGGCAGGCATGTGCCCCTCACTGGGCACACTGGGTCCTGACACGCAGTGGGAACTCAGCGCTGTTAAATGTGGATTTCACTGAGCCCCACAGGCAGCCCTTTAGGACCTCGGCCCAAGGTCATTCTGGCCAAAGGCCGCTAGAGGGCAGCGGTGCTTTTCCCTCTGCATGAAGTTTGGGACAACGTCCGCAGTCAGCCTCGTCTGGTCCCAGGTCACCACTGAGGGCCTTGCAACTTAAGGGACAGGAACACGATCGGTGAGCACCACCAACCCCAACCCCTTGCCCAAGCCAGGGGAAAGGACCCAGGAGGGAGGCTGGACAGGGCCGTGGAGAACCACAGCATGATCCCCTCCTGGGTCCCCTACTTACACCTGGGAAAGCAGGCAGAGAAGGAGGAAGGGGTTTGCCTAGGTTACCCCGGGGACTCGCTGCTAGACCCACACCAGCCCTTCTCCCAGGCGACCTTTCCTGTGACCCCAGGGACTTCCGTCAGCACAGCTGACCCTGGAAGGCTGTGGGGTTGGGTGTGCTGGGTGCACCAGGTTAGATCAGTGTCCTGAGAACGTCCCTCTGGGTGGAGGAGAGGTGGGTGCAGGGGCCCCGAACAGTCGGAGAGGAACCTGGCTGAAGCAGCCTGCTGGCAGGTCCTGGCCTACGTTTTATGCCCAGACTGGAGGGCAATAATTGTGAAAGGCAAACAATGTTAAGTTTCTCAGCTTCAGTTATTGGTGGCATTAACGAGCATAGATCGATTTTTAAGAATCTACATACCACTGCAACTTGACCTTGGAGAATCGTTAATCACTTTAGAAATGCACATAGAGAGGTCACACTGATGCTTTGTGTAAAAAATCCCCGCCTAAATAGTTGCTAGCAGAGAACCTCATTTGCAAGCGTAAATCTGTTTATAATTAATCACGTTTGGCAAGGCTCCCCCTCCACAGCCTGGCTGGCTTCGGGGCCTCTGGCTTTTGCTGTCGATGCTCATGCTCGATGTATCCAGGCCAAGCTTTCACTCTTCCCCTGAGCTATACCACATTTTCCCTGACCCTTTTCCTGAGAGGCAATGCCTGTCCAGGCCCTGCTCAGGCTCAATCTGTCTGCCGCCAGCCTTGCCTCCCTGCTTCCCGGGGGCACCCTCCTGAGGACAGTTGCTACCATCGGTGGTGAACCATTGGTGTGTGCCAGCCTCTTCTCCAAATGTTCTCCACGAAATAACTTACATGGCTCTTCACGCAACTCTATTCAGTAGGTATTATTATGAACCCCATTTTACAGATGTGGAAACTGAAGCCAAGAGATGCTTCGAGGAGTCAGCGTCAGGATTTAAACCCAGACTTCTGGTTCAATTTAAACCCAGTTTTGTCCTAATGCTCTCCCTCCCCTTGCTCTCCACCCACTGACAGGCCCCAGGCCCCGGTGTGTGATGTTCCCCTCCCTGTGTCCATGTGTTCTCATTGTTCAACTCCCACTTATGAGTGAGAACATGTGGTGTTCGGTTTTCTGTTCCAGTGTTAGTTTGCTGAGGATGATGGCTTCCAGCTTCATCCATGTCCCTGCAAAGGACATGATCTCATTCTTTTTTATGTCTGCCTAGTATTTCATGGTGTATATGTGCCACATTTTCTTTATCCAGTCTATTATTGATGGGCATTTGGGTTGGTTCCAAGTCTTCGCTATTGAAAATAGTACTGCAATAAACATACGTGTGCATGTGTCTTTATAGTAGAATGATTTATAATCCTTTGGGTATATATCAAGTAATGGGATTGCCGGGCCAAATGGTATTTCTGGTTCTAGATCCTTGAGGAACCACCACACTGTCTTCCACAATGGTTGAACTAGTTTACACTCCCACAAGCAGTGTAAAAGTGTTCCTATTTCTCCACAGCCTCAACAGCATTTATTGTTTCCTGACTTTTTAATAATCGCCATTCTGACTGGCTTGAGATGGTATCTCATTGTGGTTTTGATTTGCATTTCTCAGTGATGATGAGCTTTTCTTCACATTTTTCTTGGTCACATAAATGTCTTCTTTTGAGAAGTGCCTGCTCATATCCTTTGCCCACATTTTGAATTTTTTTTTTCTTGTGAATTTGTTTAAGTTCCTTGTAGACTCTGGATATTAGACCTTTGTCAGATGGGTAGATTGCAAACTTTTTCTCCCATTCTGCAGGTTGCCTCTTCACTATGATGCTAGTTTCTGTTGCTGTCCAGAAGCTCTTTAGTTTAATTAGATCCCATTTGTCAATTTTGGCTTTTGTTGCAATTGCTTTTGGTGTTTTAGTCATGAAGTCTTTGCCGATGTCTATGTCCTGAATGGTATTGCCTAGGTTTTCTTCAAGGCTTTTATGATTTTTAGTTTTACATTTAAGTCCTTAACCCATCTCAAGTTAATTTTTGTATAGGGTGTAAGGAAGGTGTCCAGTTTCAGTTTTCTGCATATGGCTAGCCAGTTTTCCCAGCACCATTTATTAAATAGGGACTCCTTTCCCCATTGCTTGTTTTAGTCAGGTTTGTTGAAGATCAGATGCTTGTAGGTGTGAGGTGTTATTTCTGAGGTATCTATTCTGTTTCATTTGTCTATATGACTGTTTTGGTACCAATACCATGCTACTTTGGTTACTGTAGCCTTGTAGTATAGTTTGAAGTCAGGTAGTGTGATGCCTCCAGCTTTGTTCTTTTTGCTTAGGATTGTCTTGGCTATATGGGCTCTTTTTGGGTTCCATATGAAATTTAAAGTAGGTTTTTCTAATTCTGTGAAGAAAGTCGATAGCTTGATGGGAATAGCATTGAATCTATAAGTTACTTTGGGCAGTATGGCCATTTTCATGATATTGATTCTTCCTATCCACAAGCATGGAATTTTTTTTCCATTTGTTTGTGTCCTCTCATTTCCTTGAGCAGTGGTTTGTAGTTTTCCTTGAAGAGGTCCTTCACATTCCTTGTAAGTTGTATTCCTAGATATTTTATTCTCTTTGTAGCAATTGTGAATGGGAGTTCACTCATGATTTGGCTCTCTGTTTGTCTATTATTGGTATATAGGAATGCTTGTGATTTTTGCACATTGATTTTGTATCCTGAGACTTTGCCGAAGTTGCTTATCAGCTTAAGCCGTTTTGGGGCAGAGACAATGGGGTTTTCTAAATACAGAATCATGCCATCTGCAAACAGAAACGATTTGACTTCCCCTCTTCCTATTTGAATACCCTTTATTTCTTTCTCTTGCCTGATTGCCCTGGCCAGAACTTCCAATACTATGTTGAATAGGAGTGGCGAGAGAAGGCATCCTTACGCCAGTTTTCAAAGGGAATGCTTCCAGCTTTGGCCTATTCAGTATGATATTGGCTATGGGTTTGTCATAAATAGCTCTTATTATTTTGAGATATGCTCCATCAATGCCTAGTATATTGAGAGTTTTTAAAATGAAGGAATGTTGAATTTTATCGAAGGCCTTTTCTGCATCTGCTGAGATAATCATGTGGTTTTTGTCATTGGTTCTGTTTATCTGATGGATTACATTTATTGATTTGCATATGTTGAACCAGCCTTGCATCCCAGGGATGAAGCCAACTTGATTGTAGTGGATAAGCTTTTTGATGTACTGCTGGATTTGGTTTGCCAGTATTTTATTGAGGATTTTTGCATCAATTTTCATCGGGGATATTGGCCTGAAGTTTTCTTTTTTTGTTGTGTCTCTCCCCAGTTTTGGTATCAGGATGATGCTGGCCTCATAAAATGAGTTAGGGAGGAGTCCCTCTTTTTCAATTGTTTGGAATAGTTTCAGAAGGAATGGTACCAGCTCCTCTTTGTACCTCTGGTAGAATTTGGCTGTGAATCCGTCTGGTTCTGGGCTTTTTTGTGTTGGTAGGCTATTAATTACTACCTCAGTTTCAGAACTTGTTATTGGTCTATTCATGGATTCAACTTCTCCTGGTTTAGTCTTGGGAGGGTGTATGTATCCAGAAATTTATCCATTTCTTCTATATTTTCTAGTTTATCTGCATAGAGGTGTTTATAGAATTCTCTGGTGGTAGTTTGTATTTCTGTGGGATCAGTGGTGATATCCCCTTTATCATTTTTATTGTGTCTATATCATTCTTCTCTCTCTATTTC
Source organism: Homo sapiens (assembly GCF_000001405.40). Classification (NCBI taxonomy): domain Eukaryota; kingdom Metazoa; phylum Chordata; class Mammalia; order Primates; family Hominidae; genus Homo; species Homo sapiens. The sequence continues at coordinate 4,999,273 of NC_000004.12, forward strand.
TTTATTAGTCTAGCTACCAGTCTATTTTGTTAATTAAAAAAGAACAGTTCCTGGATTCATTGATTTTTTGAAGGGTTTTTTGTGTCTCTATCTCCTCCAGTTCTGCTCTGATCTTAGTTATTTCTTGTCTTCTGCTAGCTTTTGAATTTGTTTGCTCTTGCTTCTCTAGTTATTTTAATTGTGATGTTAGGGTGTCGATTTCAGATCTTTCCAGTTTTCTGACATGGGCATTAATTCTATAAATTTCCCTCTTAACACTGTGTTAGCTGTGTCCCAGAGATTCTGGTACATTGTCTCTTTGTTCTCATTGGTTTCAAAGAACTTATTCATTTCTGCCTTAATTCCATTACTTACCCAAGTGTAATTCAGGAGCAGGTTGTTCAATTTCCATGTAGTTGTGCAGTTTTGAGTGAGTTTCTTAATCCTGAGTTCTAATGTGATTGCACTGTGATCTGAGAAACTGTTTGTTATGATTTTCATTCTTTTGCATTTGTTGAGGAGTGTTACTTCCAAGTATGTGGTCAATTTAGAATAAGTACTACATGGTGCTGAGAATGTATATGCTGTTGATTTAGGGTGCAAAATTCTGGAGATGTCTATTAGGTCCACTTGATCCAGAGCTGAGTTCGAGTCCTGAATATCCTTGTTAATTTTTTGTCTCATTGATGTGTCTAATGTTGACAGTGGGTGTTAAAGTCTCCCACTATTATTGTGTAAGAGCCTAAGTCTCTTTGTAGGTTTCAAAGAACTTGTTTTATGAATCTATGTGCTCCTGTATTTGGTGCATGTATATTTAGGATAGTTAGCTGTTCTCTTGTTGCATTGATCCCTTTACCATTATGTAATGCCCTTCTTTGTCATTTTCGATCTTTGTTGGTTTAAAGCCTCTTTTATCAGAGACTAGGATTGCAACTCCTGCTCTTTTTGCTTCCCATTTGCTTGGTAAATATTCCCCCATTCCTTTATTTTGAGCCTATGTGTGTCTTTGCGTGTGTGATAGGTCTCCCGAATACAGCACACCCATGAGTCTTGACTCTTTATTCAATTTGCCAGTCTGTGCCTTGTAATTGGGGCATTTATCCCATTGACATTTAAGGTTAATATTGTTACGTGTGAATTTGATCCTGTCATCATGATGCTAGCTGGTTATTTTGCACATTAGTTGATGCAGTTTCTTCACAGTGTCGTTGGTCTTTATATTTTGATGTGTTTTTGCAGTGGCTGGTACTGGTCTTTCCTTTCCACATTTAGTACTTCCTTCAGGATCTCTTGCAAGGCAGGGCTGGTGGTGACAAAATGCATCAGCATTTGCTTGTCTGTAAAGGATTTTATTTTTCCTTTGCTTATGAAGCTTAGTTTGGCTGGATAGGAAATTCTGGGTTGAAAACTCTTTAAGAATGTTGAATATTGGCCCCCATTCTCTTCTGGCTTGTAGGGTTTCTTCATAGAGATCCACTGTTAGTCTGATGAGCTTCCCTTTGTAGGTGACCTGACCTTTCTCTCTGGCTGCCCTTAACATTTTTGCCTTCATTTCAACCTTGGAGAATCTGATGAGTATGTGTCTTGGGGTTGATCCTCTCATGGATTATGTTAGTAGTGTTCTCTGTATTTCCTGAATTTGAATGTTGGCCTGCTTTGCTAGGTTGGGGGTGTTCTCCTGGATAATATCCTGAAGTGTGTTTTCCAACTTGGGTCCATTCTTCCCATCACTGTTAGGTACACCAGTCAATCGTAGGTTTGGTCTTTTCACACAGTCCCATATTTCTTGGAGGCTTTGCTTGTTCCTGTTCATTCTCTTTTTCTCTAATCTTGTCTTCATGCCTTATTTCAGCAAGGTGGTCTTCAATCTCTGATATCCTTTCTTCTGCTTGATTGATTCAGCTATTGATACTTGTGTATGCTTCAAGAAGCTCTCATGCTGTGTTTTCTTGGCTCCATCAGGTCATCTGGTTATTCTAGTTAGCAGTTCCTGTAACATTTTATCAAGGTTCTTAGCTCCTTTGCATTGGGTTAGAACATGCTCCTTTAGCTCAGAGGAGTTCATTATTACCCACCTTCTGAAGTCTACTTCTGTCAATTCATCAATCTCATTCTCTGTCCAGTTTTGCGCCCTTGCTGGAGAGAAGTTGCGATCATTTGAAGGAGAAGAGGCATTCTGGCTTTTGGAATTTTCAGCCTTTTTGCACTGGTTTTTCCTCATCATGGATTTATCTACCTTTGATCTTGGAGGCTGATGACCTTTGGATGGGGTTTTTATGTGTGAATCTTTTTTGTTAATGTTGTCGTTGCTGCTTTCTTTTGTTAGTTTTTCTTCTAATGGTCAGGCCCCTCTTCTGCAGGTCTGCTGCAGTTTGCTGGAGGTCCACTCCAGACCCTGTTCACCTGGATATCACCAATGGCAGCTGCAAAACCACAAAGATTGCTGCCTGCTCCTTCCTCTGGAAGCTTCGTCCCAGAGGGGCACCAGCCTGATGCCAGCTGGAGCTCTCCTATATGAGGTGTCTGTCAACCCCTGCTGGGAGGTCTCTCCAAGTTAGGAGGCACGGGGGTCAGGGACCCACTTGAGAGGCAGGAGGCAATCTGACCTTAGCAGAGCTGGGGCGCTGCGCTGGGAGAATCCCCGTTGGCAGGATCAGCTGCTCTCTTCAGAGCCAGCAGGCAGGAAGATTAAGTCCGCTGAAGCTGGGTCTGCAGCTGCCCATCCCCTCAGGTGCTCTGTCCCAGGGAGATGGGGGTTTTATCTATAAGCCCCTGACTGGGGCTGCTGCCTTTCTTTCAGAGATGCCCTGCCCAGTGAGGAAGAATCTAAAGAAGCAGTCTGGCCACAGCCGCTTTGTCATGCTGGGGTGAATTCCACCCAGTCCAAACCTCCCAGTCTCCTTAGCAAGGAGTGCATCTTCTTAAGTCTGGATATTGTCTTGTGCCTGGCACTAAGCCATGTGATAGCCCTCAGGCTGGCTCACATAGCCACACCATCCATCTACTATGCCCTTCCTGCCCCTCTTTTATTTGTCTGGCAATTCAGGGTGTCCTCTTCTGTCCTCCCCTCCAGGAAGTCTTCCTGCATCAGGCCCTTTGTTGGTAACTGGGGAGTTCTGTGCTCATGGTTCATCCAACCAAGGAAGACTGCTTTCCACACTGCTCTCTACAGAACAGCTGCGTCCTTTCGCCAGGTCCACCGCAGGCCTTTGCTCCACTTTGTGAGGCCTGACGTGTGCCCACTTTTTGATACCACTGTCTCCTATGTGATACCACTGCACAGTCAATGGGTTTGTCCTATTTTTTGTTTTTGTTTTTGTTTTTTGTTTTTTGACCAAGAAGCAGCCAGTAGGTTGGAAGACTTCAGGGTCAAAACAATCCTCACTCCATGCAGCTGGAGGCCTCCTGTGGAACCCCATGAAGTATCCCCAGCTCTCCTCTGCCTGCTGCCCCAGCCACCCACCCACCTAGGGGTGGTAGCAGTTAACCATCTCACTCCCAAAACACAGGACACAAGAGAACTTTGTAAAACAATCTTTGAAAACATGGAGGCAGGGCCAGGCGTGTTGGCTCACATCTATAATCCCAACACTTTGGGAGGTCGAGGCAGGCAGATCGCTTGAGGCCAGGAGTTCGAGACCACCCTGGCCAACATAGCAAAACCCTATCTCTCTAAAAACCCAAAATTAGCCGGGTATGGTGGCATGCACCTGTAATCCAGCTATTCGGGAGGTGGAGGCACGAGAATTGCTTGAACTCAGGAGGCAGAGGTTGCAGTGAGCCAAGATTGTGCCACTGCACTCCAGCCTGGGCAACAGAGCGAGACTCTGTCTCAAAAGAAGAAAAGAAAAGAAAACATGGAGGCAGGAGGGAGTAGGGTTATTCCACAGCTGAGAGACCAAGGCACTTGGCGGGAAGAGCCTTGTGTTCAAACTAGAGGAAGTGGTCCAAAGCCTGCTTCTGCCAGACACCTGTGCCTTCAGGTGAGCCACATCACTGTCTAAAAATCCCATTTCATTGTAATCTTTAGGATGGGAGATATCCACTGTGTTCTGAACACATCTTTCATTCATTTTGCATTTTGAAACACAAGGTGTAACATCAGCCACCATGTCTGTCCATGTTCTGTAAACTGCAGGGCATTAGAGAAAAAATAGAGGTGCAGTGAAGATGGGGGTGGCCCACAGGTCTGAAGCTGGACTGGGGAGGGGCGGCGGCTCCTTCCTCTAATGCATCCCCACTCTGAAGGGGAGACTTATTCCTCGGGCCCAGTCTCCTTGGAGGAAGCACCACCTGTGGCCAGAGATAAGCAGAAGCTATAAATCCATTTTACAGAAGTCACTCAAACAACAAGTGTGGCTTTATGACATCTGGGCTCCCCCTCCCAAGCCAGGCTGCAGTGCAAGAGAGGCCAGGCCAGATGTGAGAGGCTTATCAGCGATTTCAGGTGGTCTGCAACACTGATAAGAGGCTGACGACACCACAGCCACGGAGGGCCGGGGAGTGAGACGAGGCCATGCTGGCTGGGGTCTCAGCTCAGCAGGCCAACAGGAGTGGAGGGTGTCCTCTCCCTGGTGGCCCGTAACCCTCTGCACTGATCCTCCTCAGAACAGGTTTTCAATTTGTCACCAGGGTACTATGGCCCCAGGTAAATTCTCCAGCGTCAAAACTGTGCATACAAATTAATTTTCTTTGCTAGATAAGTGTCTTAGCCATGATATTATGCCTTCAGAAGAGGAATTGCTGTATTTGACTAATTTTACAGTAAACAGTTCCTTCATTGTTTTCCCACTTTTAATCAAAAGAACACTTAAAAAAGTAAAATACGCTGCTTGAAGGTGTGAACTCGCGGAATGATTGCAGACCTTTCCATGTGCAGCTGAGCAGAGGAGAGATGGTTTGGGAGGGAAGAATGGGGGGTCAGGTGCTGGGGGTTTGGAAAGTGTAAGAGGCAGAGCCTTGGAGACCCCATGGATACACAGGGGTGGAACTCAGAGGGTTGGTCCAGAATTACAGACTTGTGCATGGAGAGGGGAGAAAAGAGGAAGGATGGAGGGAGGGGAGGGCTGACTAGTCTGGTGGGAACAGCCCATTGAGTCCATGGCTGGGGAAGGGAATTCTCACAAGTGGCTGAAGACGTGAACGCAAAGGGAACACAGAGTGAAAATCCACACCCAACAGCAAAGGATAAAGAGCCAGGGGACAGCAGGGACAGACAAACCAGCAGGGATGCCTAGAGAACGATTTCAAGGCCTGGGATGCTTCAACCTTTATTTTTTTCTCCTTTCCTCAGGGAGCAGGTAGGATGCCAGGATGGGACTCGCATCTGCTCTGGTTGATGAGGCGCTGTGAGGATGGCAGGGAATGTTCTTCCCTCAGGAGGTGAGGAGAAGGTCTCTCACTCCCACAGCTTCTTCTGGTACTTTCTGGTAGATTAGCCCAAGACCCCTGCTTTCGGTGAGTGGATGGCCAGCAGGGGAGGGGTGGGCCCGGGAGGCCATTGACTATCCCAGCACACCTTGAGGAGGGATGGGGGTTGCGGGTCAGGGGAGGGGACTCGCGCTTTGGAGGTTCTACAGCTGAGCAGCTGTGTGGCTCCAGGCTGGTCTCTCTACCTCTCTGAGCCTCGTGAGCAATTGTCTAAGCTCCAGGCCTGCCCCTCAAACTCCTAAAGGCACATGTCAGTCCTGAAAAGCCCCCCAAAGGGTCTCATCAGGGAATCCCTCCACACGTGGAAAGAGCTGGAGCTCAGGGTCTGGAGACAGAATTCTACCACTTTTATGGCTGATCTGGCCTCAGCAAATTACTGAACCTCTTTGAATATCACTCTACCCCAAAGGCTGTCTCTGGTTTTGTTTTAAATGACGTCGAAGTTCAGCTATGCTCTTTGTAGGAAGATGTGGTACTTTATGTTAAAAAAAAAAAACAAACAGAAAAAACAAAAAGGAAATAATTGAATGATTGTGCCATTAATTGAAAGTTTATCTCAGTGATTCCAATGGATAGAATTGTTATTTTAACATTTTAAATTCTGGAATAATTGAAACATTGGAAAAAAGTCAGAGAACCATAAACAAGCACATGCGCCCACCACTCAGATCCAGTACATGTGAACATTTTGTCATAGACACTAATTTAAAAAGATCAAAGTTCCTGATGAGGTTGAAATCCTCCACATTTCCCTCCCAGCACCATCCCCTCCTCCCTTCTCTGCAGAAGCAACTAGTCTCAAGTATGTGATGTGTTTCCAGTCCATTCACCCAATGGACATATACTTTTGCAATCGGTTTTCTTATTAGGCAAAGGTTTTTAAGATCAATGCAAATTGAATCTTGGGTATCTGATTCATTTTAACTGCTGTGTGATATTTCACAGGTGACTATATCAAAATTTATTCAGTTTTTGGGATAGACTTCTAGGATGTTTCTTTTCTATTCCCATTATCGCCAATCCTAGGATGAACAACCTTGTTCCCTTCTGCTTGTGAGAGTTTGTCTAAGACATATCCCCAGAAATGAAGTAGCTTTTCCAACTATCATGACACTGTTCATCAAAAAAAAATTATATCAGGACCTGAACCTGTAAAACAACTGGAAGAAAACATAGGGAAAATCTCCATGACGTTGGTCTTGGCGATATCTTGAGTATTACCCAAAAAGCACAGGTAATGAAAGCAAAAATAGACAAATGGGATGGCATCAAATGCAAAAGCTTCTGCACACCACAGGAAACCATCAGGAGTGAATAGACAGCCTGCAGAATGGGAGAAAATACTTGCAAACCATATAGCTGATAAAAGGTTAGTATCCAAAATATATAAGATACCCAAACAACTCAACAGCAAGAAAACAGATAACCTCGTTAAAAAATGGGCAATGAATTGCGATTTCTCTAAAGAAGACACACAAAGGACCAACAGGTTTATAAAGTGCCCAGCATGGCTAATCATCAGAGAATGCAAATTAAAACCACAATGAAATATCACCTCACACTCGCAAGAATGGCTTTTATCAAAAAGATGAAAGATAAGTCGTATTAGTCCATTCTTGCATTGCATATAAAGAAATACCTGAGACTGGATAATTTATAAAGAAAAGAGGTTTCGTTGGCTTATGGTTCCACAGGCTGTACAGGAAGCATGATGCTGGCATCTACTCGGCTTCTGGGGAGACTTAAGGAAATTTAAAATCACGGTAGAAGGCGAAGAAGAAGGACACACATCACGTGGCCAGAGTAGGAGCAAGAGAGAAAGGGAAGGAGCTGCTACATACTTTTAAACAGCCCGGTCTATGAGAACTCTCTCACTATCTATGACGAGGACAATACCAAGGGAGAGGGCGCTAAACCATTCATGAGAAACCACCCCCATGATCCAATCACATCCCACCAGGCCCCACTTCCAACAGTGGGGATTACAATTCCACATGAGATTTTGGCAGGAACACAGATACATGCCATATCGCAAGAGTAGAGATATAAAAAATGAAACTACCATATAATTCAACAATCCCACTTCTGATTATTAGTTTTTGATTTGATTTCAAAGAAATAAAATCAGTATGTCAAAGAGATGTCTGCACTCCGATGTTCACTGCGGCACTATTCACAACAGCTGAGTTACAGAGTCAGCCTAAGTTCTCCATCAACAGAGGAAAGGATAAAAAAATGTAATATATTGGTCGATAGCCAACCTCCCCAACAGCACTTGGGTTTTCCTGTTGAGAGAGGGGACTGAGAGACAGGACTAGCTGGATTTCCTAGGCCGACTAAGAATCTCTAAGCCTAGCTGGGAAGGTGACGGCATCCACCTTTAAACACGTGGCTTGCAACTTAGCTCACACCCGACCAATCAGGTAGTAAAGAGAGCTCACTAAAATGCTAATTAGACAAAAACAGGAGGTAAAGAAATAGCCAATCATCTATCGCTTGAGAGCACAGCGGGAGGGACAAGGATCGGGATATAAACCCAGGCATTCGAGCCGGCAACCGCTACCCTCTTTGGGTCCCCTCCCTTTGTATGGGAGCTCTGTATTCACTCTATTAAATCTTGCAACTGCAAAAAAAAAAAAAAAAAAATTTAAAAATGTAATATATGTACACAATGGAATACTATTCAGCCAAAAAGGGGGAAAGTCCTGTCATTTGTGACAGGAGGGATGAACTTCAGGGTTGTGATGCCAAGAGAAATAAGCCAGACCCAGAAAGACAAATGCCATGTGATCTCACCCAAACGTGGGCGCTGAAAACGTTGGTCTCATAGAAATAGAGTAGAATGGTGGGACCAGAGATTGGTGTGGGGGGCTGCATAGACATTGATCCAAAGATACAAAATTTCATTTAGACAGGAGATCTATTGTATTGTATACTTGAAAACTGTGAAAAGAGTGGATTTTGCATGTTTTTTACCACAAAAAATAACTGTATTAGATAATGGATATGTTAGTCTGATTTAGTCATTCCACAATGTACACATATTCCAAAACATGTAGTACACCATAAATATATACAATTTTTATTTATCAATCTAAAAAAATATAATTTAAAAAACAATTTGTATCAATTTACTATTTCAAAATCAGCTTATGAGAGTTTCTGTTTTTCTCATCTGCACTAACAGTTGGTATTATCAGACTGTATTTTTTTTCTCCCTATTCGATGGGTGTAAAATTTTATCACATGGTTTTAATATGTCTCTCTCTGGTTACTAGAAAGACTCAACATCTTTTCATATATTTAAACAGCCATACAATTTATTCTTCTAGATGGGGCAGTCTGTATCCTGCCCATTTTTCTCTCTCTTCCTTATTGATTTGTAGGCAATTTGGATAAATATAGTTGTGAATTAACACATTATCTTTCTAATTTCTGCTTTTTTTTTTTTCTTAGCTTTGCTTATTGTGTCCTTCAAATGTTTTTATACTGTCTTTTTATACCATCTTCTCAGTGTTTTTCTTTCGTGGGTGCACTGTTTATGTCTTGTTTAAGGATGTTTTCATAAGGAATACACAAATACACAAAGGTATTGTCTTGTGTGTTATATGATAATATTGTTTTACTTGTTAGCTCTGTCATCATTCTCAAATTTATTTTTGTTTATTGTGTGAGGAAGAGATATATAATTATTTTTTAATTGGATAGCCTATTGTCATAACACCGTTTATTGTATTGTCTATTATATTCCCTGTGACCGGTATTGTATTCTCAGCAATTTACCAAATTTCTCTGGGTCTGTTTCTGGGATCTCTCTTCTGTTTCACTGGTTATTTATTATCTTTGCATCAATACCCCATTTGATTAATTTGTATAACTTTATAAGGAATCATGATACCTTATAGGGAAGTTCCTCTCCCTCCCATTTGTCTTTTCAAAACTTATTGATCTTTTACATTTGTCTATAAATTTTAGAGTACATCAAGATCCATCCTGTTGGGATGTCCATTGGACACACAGAATTTATGTTAATTTGAGATTCATAAACATGACTATCACTTTAGTTATAGAGGACATTTTTAATGTCCTTTAACAAAGTTTCATAATTTTCTCCATACAGTTTGTATACATATTTTCTTACATTTATTGCTAGGTACCTTATATTTTTTTCTGCTATTATAAATAAGATTAGTTTTAAAATTGAATTTTCCAATTAGTTTTTAATATTTTATGGGAATACCATTCATTTTTATTATAAAATTTTGACTAAATAATTAAATAAATGTATAAATGTGCATGTGTATATATGAATGGTAAAACAGTGACCCATTGTGTACCTACTACTCTGCTTAAGAATAAAGTATTGCTATTAATTTTAAAGTCCTTCTTTAAAATTACTGTTCTCCTCTATCCCATCCTCTTCCTCTGCTCCTCACGTGGATTCCGTCCTCCAATTTTTTTTAATCACTCTCTTTAACTTCTTTAAAGTTTTAACCCACCTATTTCTAGCCCCAAAATATATATTTTATGTTTTTCCTGTATTTGTTCTCTACATTCTGTATGTCTTCTTCTGCTGCTTACATTTTCTTCCTCACTTTATGTACCTGAGATTCAGCCATATCATTACGTGTCATTATAGTGTATTAATTATCATTATCATTGTATGACTCTACAACAATTTATATATCTGCTCTATCATTGATGGGCATTTGGGTTATTTCCAGTCATTTGCTATTATAAACATTCTGCCATGAGCATCCTTAGACATATTTGCTGGTCCATAGGTAAAATAATTCATCTAGGGTACATTTTAGGGTTAAAACTTGCTGGGGTATAGGATATGCACATTTCTAAATTTTCTAGGTAACAATAAATTGTTTTTCCATGTAGCCATATTACTAGCAGTATGTCATGTCCTGGTTGCCTTAGGTCCTCATCAACACTTGATATTGTCAGATTTTGAATTTTTAAGCATGTTTGTAGCTATAAAATGATATTTACTTGAAACTTCACTTTTAAATCTAAAGATAGAGACAAACTGTCCTAATCCACTTATTCTAACTTCAGACCCTTCCTCTCCAGAGAAGAATAATTTCTAAACTCAGAATATGTATAACTGCCCAGGCCAGAGGAAGGATGCCCAATGCTGAGGAAGTGACAAAAACTTGAGCCCATGTTCTGACTTAGGAATGCCTTGAGCTGGATTGAGGCAGCAGAAGTGGGATTGGAATCAAATGAATTAAGAAGCAATGACTCTGGAGCAAGTTTCCTTGTCTTTGTGTGGCAGCCAGGAAATTATCGAAAAAATAAGCAGACTTGCATTTCAGGAATTTGATTGCAAACATTTTAGAAATGCATATCGAGTGCCCAAATAATGCCTGGGTTGCCTTCACCATGAAGAAACATAATCTAAGTTATGACTCTGCTGACTTGACCATTTTCCACATATTGGTACTCTATTTTTTTTAATCTTCTGTCCTCTAACCCTTAATCGATGTCAGGACAGCCCTTTCCTCTATCCTGTGTGTTCTTGATCTGACAATCTACAGAACTGAACATTCTGCAAATGCGGAAGGGGATTTTGCATTTTTAGCACTCTTGCAAATCAACTAGGCTTAAATGATGAGGATTTTTGCCTAATAATTCTCAGTTGGTTTAAATTGCCCCTGGGTGTGAAGGTGCAATGCTGATTTCAGCAGTCAAAGGACATGATCTGCCTTCCATTTTAATGGCTCACCTTGACCACTGTGCTGAGGATAAGCTGTGTCGGGGCAAGGATGGAAGCAGAGAGACCCTCTAGGTAGCCACTGCAGTAATCTGGGGAAACAAATTCAAGTGACCTTGGATCAGGTGGGCAGCTGGGGAAATGCTAAGAATTGGTCACATTCTGGGTTATTTAGACATTAGAGAGAGCAGGATTTCTGATGCCTTGGAAGTAGGTTATGGGAGAAAGAAAGGAGTCAAATTTAACACCATGCTTTTTGGTACAAGCACAAAGATGGTCTCTAAAGCCACGAAGCATGAGATCCCAAAGAGAGTAAAGAGCACGCAGAGGAAAGGAAGGGAGTGAGAGCTGAGCTCGGATCACTCCAATGCCGAGAGGTCATGGGAAGAGAGGACCTAGCAGCAGAGGTGGAGAAGAAGTAGCCAGTGGAGTGGGAAGACTCAGAGAGGTGGCGCCCTGGACGCAAAGTGAGAAAAGTACGTCAAGGGGGAGGAAGCAATCAGCTGGGGCAGGTTTGATGATGAGTATGATGAACATACAAGGATGAAATAAGTACAAGAGAGAAAGGTAGTCCAGAAAAGAGAGTTGTTCCTTCTATCGGGGATTCTGCAAAAGTTTCAGGGTACAAGTTACACTTAAGCAGTTGAAAGACCATAGGGGTTTCCAAGGGTGTGGGAGGTGGGAAGGCAGCCCGGCATGTGCTTAGACATGGAGGTAATGCTACATTCAGAAAATGCTTTGTTGTGAGAAGTGGGCATATGTGTGGGTGTAGGGGGAAAATAGCAGTGGGTGAGATCAGGGAAGGCCAAGGCCAGATGAGGTGAGTCTTTACAGGAGCAGCTGGTGGGCATGAAACAGAGGAATATTGGAAGCAGATTTGCACCATAGGAAGATTGCTCTGGCTTGTGGGTGGAGGGTGGATTTGGAGGGAGGGAGGAAGACATGAGGACATACAGGAGGGAGCTGTTGCTGTTGTCCAGGTGGGAGGCTGGAACAAGGGTTTATGTTCAACTGTGCTCTTGTCTTGGAAAAGGGAGTGCATGGACTTTTGTACTGCAGGTACTGTCATCCAAAAGTAACCCTGGACTCTTCAGCAACTACTGCATTGGCTTTGATGGTAATTAGAGCTGATTAGAGCTCTTATTTCCATCAGATCCTATAAGTGCTTGAAATGTGTCAATTCATGTTATCTCCCAAATAAGCCTATGACATTTGTATTATTGTCATCCTTATTTCTCAGATGAGAAAACCGAAGCACAAAGGCGCTAAGTAAATTGCGCACCCACACATAGCTAAGAAGCGGCAGAGCTGGACGAAACCTCTGCACTCACCACTTCCGTGGCTGTGCTTTGTTTCACGAGGTGAGACAAATCAGCTGAGGAAGTAGAACATAGGCCCTAATGACTAACAAGCCTATGAAAAGCAAGTCCCGCTTCTGATGGGGAAGCCTTAGGGGAGAAGGACCAGTGACTGGCAGACCCTCACTTGGGACAAGAACTAATGCTGGGGTAAGACCCACCAGAAGATTGAGTCCTGAGCACAGACACAACCCGGTGTTTGTTCTGAGAAGCTTCTGAACTAAGGCTGAGTCAGAAAAAGCCAATGGAGAAGGCAAGAGATACAGAGGAAACAGGGATAACCAGCTGGCTGTGCAGAAAGCTGAAGAAGGAGTCCAGGGTGGCGGCAATGGGCTGGGACACAGAGGGAGGAGCAGTGTCCTTGTTTTGTTACTGTTGTAACCCAAATCAAGGAGGCCCCTTCAGGAAGTGACAGCCTCCAACCATGTCCAATCCTTCTGCTTAGAAAGGGATTCTTCTTTACGTGACCCTGGTCATGCAACTAGTGATGGGGTAGGGATGTGCTGCCTGGTAGCCTTTACCGCAAGCAAAGCCATTTACATTTGGATCCCTCTACATTTTCAGCTCCACTTCTCAACCTCCCTAACCACACAATGGCATCCAAACCATGCCATTCACTTCCCCTGGAAGCCTCCATGCCTGTGGTGGTGCTATAGCTTCTGCCTCCACCCCTTTTCAGCTCAACAAGCTCCCCGTCACATTGCGAGTCCTTGCCCAAACTGCAGATCCTCTAAGAAATCTTTCTGCCCCTTATTTGCGCCTTCCTCTGCTCTCTTTCAGATTTTGCATTTGTCTCCCTTGGTAACCTAAAAAGGGAAATTCTTTACTTTTCATCTCAGTGTTTGTTGAGTTCATAGTAAGCACTTGGTAAATATTGAAGAAGTGAACAAACAAATAAATGTCCTTTGAAGGAATGCAGATGGAGCTGGAGGCCATTATCCTTAGCAAACTAATGCAGGAAGAGAAAATCAAATATTGCGTGTTCTCATTTGTAAGTGGGAGCTAAATAATAAGAACACATAAACACTTAGTGGGGAGCAATAGACACAGGGGCCTACTAGAGGGTGGAGGGTGGGAGGAGGGAGAGGATCCAGAAAAATAACTAATAGACACTAGGCTTAATACCTGGGTGACAAAACAATCTGCACAACGAATCCCCATGACAAGAGTGTGCCTACATAACAAACCTGCACAGGTACCCCTGAACTTGAAAGTTTAAAAAAAAAATTAAAAAACCACAAATAAATGTCTGAAATGCTTTAATTAGTTCTTGTCTTCACTGGTTTGCTTTTACTGCCTGGAACTAGCAAAGGGTTAGCAGAGCTATGAAATGACTGTGTCACTTGCCTGTTTGTCTGGAATCCCTTCACCACCACGTATTAGCTGTCTGGAGAAATCACTTAACCTTTGAACCCCATTGTGTTTCCTCCACTGTAAATCAGGGCATATAGCCCCCATCCTGCAGCATCTTTGTGAAGAATCAGTGGCTAAGGAATGCTGTGTGCTGGGTTCCATGCCGCCATATTCAGTATCAGCCAGGAAGTGGTAGATGGTGGTGGTGGTGGTGGTGGTGATTTAAAAAAAGAGTCAGTCTGTTGCATTATTTTCCTTTGCAAAAAGGTTATTTATTGAAAAAGTGATTGTTGTGGGTTGAATTGTGTCTCCCAAAAAGATACGTTGAGTCTTAACCCTCTGTACTGTTAACATGACCTCATTTGGAAATAGGGTCCTTGTAGATGTTATCAGATTAGGATGGGATTATACTGGATGAGAGTGGCTCCTAATTTAATAGTATTGTTATAAGAAGAAACAATTTTGAACACAGAGACACAGACACAGGGAGAACACCAGATGTTGATGGGGGCAGAAACTGAAGGGACACATCTAAAAGCTGAGACATGGTGAAGAATGCCACCAATGGCCAGAAGCCAGGAAGAGATGAGGAAGAATCCTGTCCTAAAATCATCAGAGGGAGTGTGTCCCCGATGATGCCTCGATTTCAGAACTTCTAGCCTCCAGAACTATGAGACAACGCATTTCTCTTCTTTCAAGCCATATAGTTTGTGGTCTCGTGTTACGGCAGACCCAGAAACTAATAATTCTGTGGACTTGTGCTTCTAAATAGAAAATACAAACTTATAAATCTTTCTCATAAATCATCTGAGAAGTTAGAGGCATCTAGGATTAAGGAGGAAAATCCTGGTCTATATGTTGAGAAAAGAGGAAAAGAAGCCAAAAGACTCCAATACAACATGTGGAATTTAGCAAAATCAACATTTGAGATACTTTTTCAACAATCCCGTTTCTTAACTGAGATTTTATTGTTGGGTTCATAAATTAATTTAACAAGCATGTTTCACCTGCAGAGAGCCGGGGTGGCCACGCTGGGAAGAGTATGGACTTTGGAGTTGCACAGGCTTGGGTTCAATCCAGGCTTCCCCACTTAGCAGCCAGTGGTCTCAGGCAAGTTACTTGACCTACATGAGCCTCAGCCTCCTTCCGTGCCCATCTCCGGGTTTGCTGTGTGGAGTCAATAGTTGATATTTGTGATAAGTGCAGCAAAGCACTGCCTGTGGGTATGATGCAATCTGCTCCCAATGTATATATCCAAAGGAAACATCTGTCCTCAACAGAAATCAGAGCAATCCCCAACACTTAAAGAGCAGACATTCATGCAGGTGGATGAAGCAGAACCAGAGACACTTGAGCTTGACTGAAAGAAGGAGAAAGTTGCATCATGCTTAGAGCAGGAGTTTTCAAGAGAAGTGTGAAAAAAACACAACCCTGACATCCACCTTGGACAGATATAACAGGACACGTGTTTCTCATGTGAAGAGATTCTTTATTTGATTTTCATCACCTTTCAATGAAAGAGTGGGTCCTGTCAGCACTACGTAAAATATATATCTTAAGAGCATTAATTTCTTTTTAAATGAAAGACAGTGAAGAAAGTCTGTGTTAGAAAAAGGCATAATAGAAGCTTGGTTAAATGTAAGCAGGTTTCTATCAAGAAAGAATAAAAGTACCATTACTCCATTAAACCAGTAATAAAAACATACTATTGTGCAAGTTCTCAAAATAGTTGTTCATAAAAGTGAAGCTTGTTAGTCCTTTTCTTCTTTTTAGTGACCAAATCAACATGCTGTGTATCTAACCATCCTGGCAAGACATGAGTCAAGGGAATGAGAAGCATGGTTGCTAACTCTATGCTCAAAGGAGGTTCCTGGGTAGGAATACCAGCCCTGTTTTCCAGAAGGTAGAGAGATACATAACAGTTTCAGATACAACTAACACAAGACCTGTGAGGGTCATGGCTCTGGCCCATTAAGTCTGGGTAGCTGACATAACTGTAGTTCTCTTGGGTTCTTTCTCTGGTCTCAGTTCCCTTAGCGCTGACGATCTGGCAGGACCGTAGTCACTGGGATTGGGTATTCCAAGGCATTGCAGTCATCCAACAGGAATACCAAATCCTGAAAAAGATGTGCAATGAGCAGGAAAGTTACTGAAGGTGGTCACGGAGTCCATATGCAACTGTAGGGCTCTTGGTTATCCTCAAAGGCCATTCAGTTGTTCCTCTTTCTGTAAAAACTTCCCATGCCTTACTCTCCCCAAAAAGGGCTAGTCACTTCTTGCTTCACATTCCAATAAAATTTCATTTCCATAATTTTCACTTCACATTCCAATAAAATTTCATGTTTTATGGAATTCACACATACATTGATTGACTAGATGGATAGATGACTATGGGTGAGGGAGGGAATAAATGAATGAACCTTAGTTGCTGAGCAGCACCCTGGGTCAGGCATTGGAATGACCTCACTTCAATCAATACCACTTCTCATCACACTGTTATCATAATTGTATCAGCTTCCTATCTTCCCCCACAAACCAAAGGGAGCAGGGAGGAGGAGGAAACTGGGTGTGGGGGAAAATTCATAACACATCTTTCATACAGGATCAAGAAATTATAACTTAATAGCTAATTACTGCAGTTTCCAGAGGAGCTTACTCTGGGCTAGGCATGGTGCTAGCAATTCCATATTTAGTCACTCTACTAGGCTTCTTAGGATCAAGGGAGTTACTGCAGTGCCCACACAAGGTAAGGGTGTAATTATTATTATCCACCTCATGAGATGGGCACTACCATGTCCTCAGTTCAGGACTGAGGAAACTGTGCCTCAGAGGAGTGAAGGGACACTGCTGTGATTTGAATGTGGTCCCAAAAGTTTATGTGTTGGAAACTTAATCCCTCTGCCTTTGTAGGTGAATTAATGTAGGCTTTGACTTAATGAATGGATTAATGAGGGCTCTGCCCTTATGAATGGATTAACGTCACTACCTTGGGAGAGGGTTGCTTATTGCAGGGGTGGCTTTGTTAAAAAAGTGAACTCTCTCTGGCTCTTACCCTCTTGCTGAGTGATGACCTCTGCCATGGTATGATGCAGCAAGAAGGCCCTCACCAGATGCCAGCACCATGCTCTTAGACTACCCCCCAGCCTCCTCCATAAGCTAAACAAACATCTTTTTTTAAAAAATAACTGACCCAGTCTGTGGTGTTATGTTATAGCAGCAGAAACAGACTAAGACAGGCACTCCCACTTGGGAAGCAGGGAGATACAGACCCAAGCTCAGGGCTCTCTGATGCTGAAGTCTGTGCCCTGCAATCACATGCCTCTACTTTCCACATTTTAACTATTGCTGATTTTCTGTCCTTTTACCCTCTCCTACCGGAATCCTCTTATCAGAGCACACCTGAACCTCCTCCTGCAGAGTCTCCTCTACCCTGCCTCACTTGGCTCCTGGCAGAGTCTATCTATGTGGCTGGGGTGTGGTCCTGGGGTGTAGCCCCTGCATCAATGCGCAGCTCATGGAGACAAAGGGCCTTGTCCTGAACCCCATCACCCAACAAGGCAACCATGGTTGAGAAAGGGCTTTGTGAACTGAAAGCATCTGCGAAACATCTCTGCTCCTCTTCCTTGTCACCATCTCCTCCCAACTCTCCTCTTTGAAAAGCTCAGAAAGTCTTGGCTGATAGCAAGTAGAAAATAGACTTTCAATGGCATCCACTTACTCTCCTGCAGAACGAGTTCATGATGGTGTACAGCTTCCGTGCTTTGTCCTTCAAGGAATCTACCTGGGCCACTTTCCAACACGGGGGCGAGGCCACAAAGTCCCGCAGCTTGTCCAGCACACAGTAATTCTGGGAGTGGGCAATGGGGAGGGGGCTTGTGGGAGAAGTCAGTAGCAAGAGGAACAGGGACTGAGCTGCATAAGATCTCTCCCTGACTCTGTGCCACACAGCCAGCAGCAGAGGTTCAGACCTGAGTCCCTCAGCCCAAGACCTCCCTCCCCCAGGGAGAACCCTCTTACGTGTATGTCCAGGTACAGCCTGGGCAGGTATCTCACACATGGCTCCTGTGGAAAGGGATAAGGGGTTCTGGGATGCCCACAGGGGCATACCTGGTCACAAAAGTCTCCCTAGTGGCCCTCTCAACAGCCAGACCAGCCCAGATCCCTGGGGCCCTCCCTGATGCTACGACATGCACAGTACTTTCTTGTGTCATACGTCACACTCCTCCAGAAATGGGCGACTGCGCTTCCGGAATTAGACTTTTAGAATACAACTTTTATATCATTTGCTATGAACCAGGGAGCTGTTTTATATGCATACCCATTCAGAAATATACATACACGTATATACATAAAAGCAGTCCTATAACTGTAATATAGAAATAGTGATATATAATACAGTAATACAAGTATACATACAGAGTATATATGTACATCTATAAAACAGTTCTATAACTATTTAGTTATATAACAGTTGTATAAGTTAGTTATATAGTAACTTATATAATAATATACTTATATAATAACTTATATAAGTATATTAGCTATATAACAGTTGTATAACTGCATGTAATTATAGACATTATATATACTTACATAAGTACGATATATGTAATAATACCTATTGTTCTATAGGCATTCTATAGCTAATATGTAGTTGTATATAGTGTATAATATAGTAATATCGAAGTGCATAAATTTGCATACTTTTATATTTCTATATTGGGCTTCCGTTTTTGCGCAGGGCTGAAGGGCAAAAGCCCTCGTGCTCTGCCCTCTCAGTAATCCCCGTGTGACCATGGGCAAGTGCCTTCCTTCAGTCCTCAGTTGTGAAATTAGAGATTTAGAATGCATAATCTTTCCACTTTCTTCCCGCTCTGTGGTTCAGAGCCTCTGAACTTTTTAAACCTTTTAAAATCAGATTCCTTTAAAAGATGATTGCTGTCTATATTCGATAACAAGAAACTTGTGGGTAAATTGTGGTGAAACTGTACAACAAAATGTTAAAACAAAAATGAACTTATTTGATAGTGTCATTAAAAAGTAAGTTGCAAAACTGCTTGTGCTGTTTGACCCAAATTTTGTTTACACACACACACACACACAACACACACGTATTTGAATACCTATATGTAGACAGAAAGCTGAAATATGATCCTCCACAATGCTACGGCAGCAGCTACCTCTAGGTGGTAGAATTACAAGCAAGATTTTTTTTCTTCTTTGTACTTTATTTTCCAACTGTTCTACAAAGTACAATACTTTTATAATTAGGGAAAAAATACATGTTATTTAACTTTTAAAAAGAAAATACCAAGAAGGTGTTAGCTAGGCTTTTGTAAACCCCAACATCTGAGAAACATTATGTTTTGTTTGAAGCATTTGCAAGTGATTAAAAGACACTTTGAAACTTTACAAAAGCTTTTAATGAAGTTTAATGCATTTTGTTTCGACGGAGAAGCAGGCAGAGGCCTGGGTTCTAGTCCCCAAAAGCCCTCCCGGGTCTTCCCCTCTCTGAGTCCCCAGATCTGCCTCTGAAGATCGTGCTCACATCAGCTGGCATCTGTTGAGTACTTGTTCCTGTAGGCTTGGCTCTGTGAGCCCTGCCTGTGTTCACACCTGCCTTTGATCGTCAAAGCCACTCTAAAGGGAGGGGTGCTACTGTCATCCCATTTTACAGACAAGAAAACTGAAAGGCAGAGGCTGAGAAATTTGCCCGGGTCCCTCAGCAGATGAGGGGCGGAGGCCAGTTCTGTGAGCCACCTCTTAGGGCACACTCCTCACTAGGCTAACAAAAGCAATACACAAGCTTCATTCCTCCGTCCTCCTTAACTCTGATGGGGAGCTGTTTTTCTCCCCATCCTCCCACTCCTTTTTTTTTCTTTTTTCTTTTTTTTTTTTTTTTTTTTTTTTACATTTTACAACAGATCCTTTGATATTTGCTAGTAAGTCACAAAAATTGTGTTGTCTTTACTTTTTCTTGTGTTTTGAAGAAAGCAAACCATTGGTATCATATTTAAAAGGAGATGAATAAAACACAAATACTCCTGAGATTTACATTTACTAGAAAAGAAAAATATCCTTTTCTCTCTCTCTCTCTTTTTTTTTTCGTGTAAAGGCAAGGGTTTAAGAACTGGGTCTGCCATGCACCCCTGTCCTGAGCGGGCGGGGGACTCACCGAGGGCTCCGAGACCTGCAGGAGGTTGAAGTCGCGGGTGATCTCCTGGCTCAGGGCCCGCATGCGGGAGTAGCAGGTCGGGGGAGTGGGCCGCGCGGCGGGGGCTCCCGCCAGGAGCAGCAGCAGCACGGGCAGAGGCCCAGGCGTCCTCATGGTGCCAGGCGCTGGTGCAGCCTCGCCGACCGCCCCTTTATGCAGGCTGGGGGTGGTCCAGGGCGGCTCCACGCCTCCACTTCCTGTGGGGCCAGCGCAGGCTGCGGTCCATCCAGGGTGGCAGAGAGGAAGCCAGCACGCCCACCGGGCAGGGTCGGGACAGGAATCCTCTCAGACACGAAAGCCCCAGGTTAAGAGGAGGGGCTGCCTGGAGGAGGGGGTGACAGAGGGTGGCTTTGCCTCCCCCACACTTTCAGCAAGAAATTTCTTTCTGCACAGGGACTTTTCCTGAAAAGGCAGGAACAGCAGATGGAGAGGGGTGGGGGATAAGAGGAGGACAGAGATGGAAGGAGGGGAGGGTCAGAGGAGAGGAGTGGGCAGTCAGGCCTGGGTTTGGATGGCACGGTTTGTCAAAATGGATATAGTGCCAGGAGGGAAAGGGACTAGCAGGGGATGACTGAGCATCCCTCCCTCCAGGCAGCCCGCAGTGGAGCAGGGATGCAGAGCTGCGGTCAGGCCACCGGTGTCCTCGTCCATCAATCGCTAACCAGGTAGGTGAGCCTTGGGCCAGGGCCCCCAGCCTCTCAGAAGCCGTGTGTGTCTCTCGGTCCGGAGGATGGGCTCACTGAGCGGCCGTATGTGTGGGGAGTGTGAGTACCCCCACCCTCTTCTACCTCAAGCTCCCAGCACAGGCCCCGAGGGAGAGCAGACCCTCAGGAAGGGTTAGTTTTCAAGAAGTGCATCTCCCTCAGGGCTAACTTCCCAAGACAGTGGCAGGTAAAGGTCTAGGCTCTCCACTTAGACGCCGTGGGTGCAAAGCAGGGTCACCGCCTTCTGGCTTTGACCTTGGGCAAGTTTCTTCAGTGTTTCCTCCATCTCCTTATCTGTGAGATGAGGCTGGTGAGAGTGGCTCACTCAAAAGGCCATAGTGAGGAATCAACAGGATATAGCATGACTGAGCAAGCCTCATGCCAGGCCCATTGTGTGTTTCCAAGTGATCGGAGCTAATAGCACTGTCTCTGTTAAATCCAGCAATTGTCTCTGTGAGGTAGGTGCCACAGAAAAGAGTCCCATTTTCCAGGTGGGAAAACTGAGGCTCAAGAGTTCCAGCAACTTGCTGGAGGTCACAAAGCTGGAGGCACATGGGTTGGGATGAGACTTCAGGCCCTGTCCTCCTGCCATTCTTCCATCCCACAGGGCAGGATGGGTGAGGAGCAGGACTCTTGCAGGCAGAGATGAGTTGGGGTCCTCAGGCTGCCCAAGATCAGGCAACAAGCAAGAAGGAACTGTCAAAAGGGAGAAGATTCTTCCTTAACACTGAACATGACTTACATACCAGCAGCCACCAGGCCAGCTGCCATTGGGAACGCTATGACCCTCACAGCCAGCCAATGAAGTGAATGGGGTTATTCCCAATTCCCAGGCGAGGAAACTGAGGGCCTCGGGGGATGTGAAGCTGGGAAGAGCAGTGGAGCCCTGGAGCTATGTCTGGACTTTCCTGCCTCCAAAGCTTCCTCCAACAAAGGAGGAAAGGGGAGCATCCTGGGCAAGCTCCACATTCCCAGAACAAAACAACCAAAGATGCAGCCCACAGGGATGGGTGAACCAGAGCATGGCATCCTGGACACAGGGCTGGACTGAGGATCAACCACAGGGATGAAGCCCGGCTCCAGCTTGTCCCCACTGTATTTGCCAGGAGAAATCCCTTCTCGACCTGGCCTCCATTCCCTGTCTGTAAACAGGATAGCATCACGCTGGGCGATGTCTGAGGTTCCTTCCAGCCCCAGTGTTTTATTTATCTAGTTTCTGGTGGTAAAAGCCCTGGGCAGGGACTGTAAGCTGTGCCTTCCTGTTTTGTAGGTGAGAATGTGTTCTCTAAACACCTTTAGCAAGATGACATAGGGACCGCGGCCTTCGGGCAGAACTGTGTGTGCTTGGAGGTGGCAAGTGGAGGCACAGATGTGTTTTCTTCTGGGTGAAGGAGTCTCCACACTCCCTCCATGATAGTGCCTGGGGCATGGGCCTCCCTGGCAGAATAGCTGGCCCCAGCTGGGGACTCTAGGTCTGCTTTAAAATGCTCTAGGGCTTCTGGATGTGCTCAAGGAATGGGCTTAAATTCAGAGCAGGGAAGAAAAACAAGCCCATGGACCAAACAAGTCCTGCACCATTAGATCAAGGAGACATTGCTGTGCTGGAAAACAGGAGTCATTTGTGAGATAAATGTACTGCTGGGAGACTTGACCTTGTTCCACCCGCAATACCGTGTGTGGTTATTCATGGGACTTCTTGGGTAAATCAGCTGAGCTCAGAGCTGCAAAGAGGCTTATAGGCCTTCCCATTGAGCATGAGAATGAATGAGTAAGTGGCTGTAGCCATAAGCTGTCACTGGTACCAACTGAGATATGGTGGATGCTGGGCCCCTGAGGAGTCACAGTCAGTGGGGAGACAAGGAATGAGGCTGTTGTGCACTGGGCCAGGTGCAAGAGAATCGCCACCTCTCACTCTACCAAGCCAGGAGTGGGATGAATGGGAAGAACACCAGAGGAGAGGGTGCCTCGTGCTGATTCCCAGGGCAGGTGGAGACAAGGAGAAACAGCCTGTGCCGAGCCCAACACACACAAGCTTGCCTGCCGAGCCCAATGCATGCCAGTGTGCATCCGGGAATTCTATCTGCTTTCTGGCCCTCTCCAGGGTTCCTCCGCATCCTATGCATGATACATTGACTTGCCTCCTGGCATCTGTCTCCTTTAATGACCATGCCCTTCTCTAGGAGAGAAAGACAGTCTTTCTCATCTGTTTCTCGGCACCCAGCACGCAGCCAGGTAGAGCGGATGACCAGTAAGGTGTGGCTGAATGGACTTGGTGACTACTCGTGTTACTCAGAGATTAAGGCACAAGCCCACTAAGAAACCTACGCAGGACAGCCTGACGTGGCTCCCCACCAGGGGCTCCCTATGAGACGCCGCACTGGATACAGGCTGGTGGACCCCCGCACGTGTGTTCTGTTCTCAAATGTCTCCTTCACCACGAATCACCTGCATCCTCCCACCAGCTCTTTCTCTGCCCCCTTCTGAGGCTCCTTCAGCAGTTGGCTGCTCCGAATATTAAAAATCCAGGCAGGAATTTGCCCACAAATCAGGTAAGCCCTTGTCTCCGCCAAAAGGTCTCTTCTGGTTTTCTTAATGTCTTACATCGGGCACGGACCCCATCATGCAGGAGAGCTGAAGAGTCAGAGTTAACGAGCAGGTGAACATCTCTGAGGTAGATATCGGCCATTGCCTTTGGATGGGTTCTTCATTTGCCAGATGCATGTCTATCTATTTATCGAGAGTCTGTTGTGTGCCAGGCACTGAGATGGGTGAAAAGACAGTGAATGACAGAGTTGCTATCCTCTCGGAGGAGATTGATGAGGGCAGCTGACACTCTGGGTGAGTGGTGTGATGGCAGAAATCCTAGTGTTTCTGGAGCCCCTAACCCATCACTGGCAGCTGCTCCCTATCAGGTGAGAGCTGAGAGGTGACGAATGCAGTGGGGAAGCGGGGTAGGTATGAAGGCATGTGTGTGTGTGTGTGTGTATATGTGTGTGTTTGTGTGTGTCTCTGTGAAAGACAGAGAGTGAGGGAGATTGTAAGATATTGTGCTGCTGGCTTTGAAGATGGGAGAAGAGGCCACAAGCCAAGGAATTCAGGAGGCCTCTAGAATGCAAAGAAAGATTCCTGCCTAGGGCCTCCAAAACGGGCCCAGTTAGACCCCTTCTGAGCCCGGAATTGTAAGATCATAAATTCGTGATGCTTGGAGTCCCTCGGTTTGTGGTGATTTGTTACAGCAGCCACAGGAAACAAGCATACTGTCTCTCTGGGGTTTGGTAGAATAACAGAAATTAATGTGGGAACCTAGAAATTATCCAGATCTACCTGCCTGCTGCTTATCCTTCCTTTACAGTCTCCCTGTCAAGTGCTTGTCCAGAGTCTGCTTGCATACGTCCCTGGACAGGGAGCTCTTTGCCTCTTACAACTTCCTTCCAGTCTCTGGGCAGCTCCAAATTCTTCCCAGGGTGGAGATGAGATGCGATGACACCCTGGTGCAGGCCTTCAAATCCTGTACCTTCTTATGCAGAACGGAGGTGTGGCGATGTTAAGACCATTCTCATTCTTCAATGTCTCTACCTCCACTCCTCCCTGCCCCTCAAAACAGAGTCAACTCTCTTTTGGAGCTACCATCCCCACTTCGTGAACCCTTTTAATGAGAAGTGGCCTCAAGACCCTTCAATTACATCACGATTAACGCCTCTCTGTCTAGAGCCCTATCTCCTCCCGGTGGCCATTTCTAAAGCAGAAATTCAATCTTGCTCCTCCTTGTTTCAAAGTCTCCCTGGCTCCCAGACACAAACCCTGCTGTGTGTCCATGAGTCTTACACTATGTGGGACCCAGACTGGAACACAACCCTTCCTGGGAGATCTGGTCAGAATGAGGCTATCAGTTTTGAGCCTTTCCTATGTCAGTTAGGACTGTAGGCTGTGTGTTACAGAAAATTCAGCATGAGACACCAAAGTCTGGGTTTTCTGGAAAGTGCAATTTGAAAATATAGAGGGAATCTGGAGCTCAGGAATGGTTTGATCCAGGAACTCAATGAAGTCACTAAGGAATTATCTCTTTCTCTGTTCTATATTGTGATAGTGTTTTCATGTGTCATCTTGACTAGGCTACCATCCTCAGTTATTCTAACACTAATCCAGATGTTACTGTGATGGTATTTGTAGATGTAATTAGAGTCCTTATGCAATAAGCTCTATGTAAGGGAGATGATTTTAGATACTCTGGGTAGGCCTGATTTACTCAGTTGGAAGGTCTTAAGAGCACAGCCAAGGCTTCCCTGAGGAAGAAAGAGTTCTGCCTGTGGAGTAGCTTTGTCTGTTCTGGTGATTCCAGTTTGCACTTCCTGAAAGCCTACCCTACTACAATTTTGTACTTGGCCAATGTCCACAATCATGCAAGCCAATTCCTTGTACTAAATCTCTTAATATCTCTCTGCCACTGGTCATGCTTCTTGGGTTGAGCTCTAACTGACACATATACCATTAGCTCCATCCCAAAGCCAGGCCCTGTCCTGAGAAGTAGGGTCTCCCTTGTGACCACTGAAGAAAGTCCTGAGCTTTGTGCTGGAAGCGGACCCTGCCTATGCCCTGTCCAAGCCTCCTCAGCCCTGACATTTAAGGGCAGGTGGGCTAGGCTTCACCTGCCAGCACCACCCTCTGCGACAGGCCTTCCTCTGGCCATAGGTGCCTGTTCTGCCCACGTTAGAGCAAGCCAGAGTATTGGGGACTCTTAATGCCTCCCAGAAGTAGCCCTCAACCGATGATTCATGAAAGTTGGGAAGAGTCTGGCTTCTGGTTAAAAATCTGTATGTCATCCATGGGCAGTTACAACGGCTTTACACAACAGGCCCCCAAGGGGATCGGGGGAGCTGCACCCCCAACCCCAGGCTTGGGACACAGCCAGAGCTTTGCATGCAATCTCTGAAGGGAGTTGCTGTAAAATGCTCAGGCCCCCAGGCTGGCCAAACCCTTTACCTATTTGCCTGGCACCTTCATTCGTGGGTCTCTTTATCTGAGGACTTGGGCCAGGTCCTCCCCAGGCGCCTCTGCAGAGACCTCCGAGTATGGGAGGGGGGAATCCTTGACACCCTTCCCCCTTCTCTGACTCAGGACCCAGCACTTTTCTACTCGGGGCTGTTTCCCTGCCTCCCCCTCCGCCGTGGTCCATAGACCAGCAGGAACCTTTTGTTGGGGCTCCCTCAACAGTGAGACGACCCCCACCTCCACATCTATGCTGGTCCACTTGATCCCCCATAGTGATGTGAGGATGTGAGGAAGCACCCGTCCAGGGGGGAGGTGGAACGGGGGAGCTGGGCTTCCTCTAGTTTGGCCTCTTCCTTAGACCATTGCAGTGAGTGACCAAAGGCTTAACTCTCATTTTTGGCTCTTGCTTTAACTTGGCTGCTTAGACACCTGCAGCTCAGCTCTGTCTCAGCTCAGCTGAGCTCCTAACTCATTGGTGTGTAAATATCCCTACTCCTTTACCCTGTTGGTGGGATAACTCTGAGGTGAATTCTACAGTGTCTCCGAAAGTCCCCCAGCAGGATCAAGCTCTAGGGGTCCACAGTGAGAACTTGCTTGATGGTAATCCATGGATGTATTGGCTTTCTGTCCTTCTCTGTCTCATGTTCCCATTTCTCTACAAGTGTTTTCTGGGCTTGCTCTCAAAGAAACGTCTTGCACTCAAATCCTTGTCTCAGAGTCAGCTTTTGGGGAAACTCAAACTCAGACTATGGTACTGGCCCAACAGAGGAGTCCCCTCTAAACTATGACAAGAACAATGTGATCACACATATTGGCCTAGCCCACTAATGGGCCATGAAGGTGAGACACCCTGGGATGGGGTAAGTGAGGTGGGGCGGAGACATTACCACAATGTGAAGTACGCTTGTCTCTTTCTCTAACACAGCCCAGGGTGGTCCAGGACACCATGTCCCATGACCGACACCTCTCTTAAGCCGCCTCCCTTCCAGGCCTCCACGACTCCCTCCCAGTGCAGACCTTATCCCAGCAGCAGACATACACATGATGAGGAGATCCTTCCAGCAGATACCAAACCTCAGCTGCCCATTGCTTAAGTACCTTCTGTTTTCTTCTTGTGATCTAATATTTTCAGGATCTGAGACTTTTAAAAATCATTTCAGGAGAAAGAGCATTTAACCCTTTCCTGCAAGCTGTTCAGACAGGCATATTCCAATAAGTGATACAGGTAACCAGGGAAATACTCTTGGTTTTCAGTCCTGAGGGGTTATGGGATGTTCCCAGTTGTATTAGTCCAATCTCATGTATTAGTCCAATCCCAAGACTGGGTAATTTATAGGAAAAGAGGTTTAATTGATTCCCAGTTCTGCATGGCTGGGGAGGCCTCAGGAAACTTACAATCACGGCAGAAGGCATCTCTTAGCAAGGTGGCAGGAGAGAGAATAAGAACCGAGCAAAGGGGGAATCCCCTTATAAAACCATCAGATCTTGTGAGAACTCACTCACCATCATGAGAACAGTATAAGGGAAACCACTCCCATGATTCAGTTATCTCCACTTGTTCATGCTCTCGACACATGGGGATTATTACAATTCAAGGGGAGATTTGGGTGGGGACAGAGAGCCAAACCATATCACCAGTGAACTGTAAGAAACAGCAACCTGCTGTTGGCTGTGGCCTCTTGTGACATGGCTGGAACACAGACTATCACCTCTCCTGCCTGCTCCCTGTGTTCCCATCCTGTGCCCACTTGTGATGGAAACCCAGGCTGAAATGGACATCACCATTCTCAAATGTCCTCTGTTGCCCAACCTGCAGCCAATAGCTGTCTTTGACAAGGATTAGAAGAGTCCAGCAGCAGCTTCCATCTTTTTTAGAAAACATTGCACTAGACCACACGAAGAGTCTGAGTGCTAAGGTAAGAGCCTAGCATTGAACACATCAACGCTTGCAAAGAGGCTACCTCTTGTTCCCTCACTTCTGCCTGCATTTGAGGTCAGGAGCCACTAATCAAGCTGACAGCCAGGAGGTGTTGGGGTTGGGGTAGACTGAATACCTAGCCGGACATTGCCTCTGGTGCTCCTGTTGATATTGGTATTCCTTTGGTTAAAAGTAACACATCTTCCCCTGTTTATGTGATGTGTTTTTGAGCTTGTTGCTTTTGCTCTTGGCAAACCCAGGTGGAAAGTTGGCCCACATGGCCCAGAGTGAAGGAATGAACACAAACACCAAGGCTGGGCTTTGCTTTTGGGCAGAGATTATGAAAAGCGATTCATGTTTTAGAAGAGAGATTCCTTCATAAGCCCCCAAAACATGGATTTGAACTTTAATGAGAAACAGCAGGCAGGAGGAGCTGTGTCCCAAACATTGCCCCAGGCCTGGTACACAGAAAGGACTCAGAGAAAGTCCTTCAAGAAGGGTCCCAGCTTGTCCTAGGAGAAAAACTACAGGCTTTGGAGTAATACAGACTTCAGTTTAGATCTCACTTATGTTACCATGCAGCTGTGCAAATGTGGCCATTACTCATCCTCCTTTGATGTGGGGTTTATACCACTTATTGCACAGTTTTTGTGAAGAAGAAATAAACATGAAAAGCTGGAGTGACTGTGGTTTTGGTTTTTGTTCTTTCTGGTTATCAACCCTGTTCCATAATCCCATCTTGGTCTACTTCCTCCCTCCTGTTACAGGAGTGATGATGGGCCCATGGCTCAGGAGGGACTAATCAGTGTCTCTACCTGGTGTTGAAAGATGCACACAGGATGAGAGCTGCCCTCTCATGCCCCTACCATGGCTATGCTGTCGTTGCCAGCAGTTAAGTCTTTTGCTCTGGAGTGTGCAAGACCAGGAGGTACACAAGCAGAGCTGGGAGATGGATGGAGGAAGAGGATCTGAAGGGGCTGCATCCCTGCTTCCAGATCCAGAGGCTGAGACCTGCGTCTCCTTCTTGGACATCATCAGCTGCCCTGCGGTCATTTCTGGCTGCAGAGCTAATGCAGAGTTCCTTCAGCTTGAGCTGATTTCAGTGAGGTTTCTTTCTGTCCCTGGCAAATGAAAGAGTCTGACCAATACAGCATCCAGCAGAGTGCTCGGTGCGGAGCTGGAGTTCTTACAGCAGTTACTTTGTTTTTAGAGACAGGGCCTCCTTCTGTCACAGAGGCTGGAGTGCAGTGGAGCCATCTTAGCTCACTGCAGCCTCAACCTCATGGGCTTAAGTCATCCTCTTGCCTCAGGAGGATCTGGGACTACAGGAGTAGCTGGGACTACAGGGGCTCACCACCACACCCAGCTAACTTAGTTACTTTTCTTGGATGATTTTCTATTTGTGTGAATCCTCAGTGCTGGTCATCAAATATGTTCAGTTCTTTCTCTCCTGGTCCCAGGCCAGGATTGAGTTTCCCTGTCCCCTTGAAGTTACATACAGCAACATAGGTTATTTTATACAAAGTGACGTAAGAGAAAGTGATGGGTTTACTTCCAGGCAGCAGCTGTAAGAGCCTGTGCTTCCTTTTCTACATGCTCTATGATGCTATTGCTTTCTCTCTGCCATGGGACCACCCAAGTTTTGCTTGGGCTTTGCTTTTGGGCAGAGATTATGAAAAGCAATTCATGTGGTTGATGCTCTATCAGCCTCAAACTGCGGTGGAGAAGACCCAGAGTGATGTCCCAGACAATCTGTGGTAAGGACTAGGAGTTGTTTGTTACAGCAGTGTAATCTAGCCCATCCTGACTGTGGCAGGCAGAATTCTACAATGACCCCTGTATTAGTTCACTCTCACACTACCATAAAGAAATACCTGAGACTAGGTAATTTATAAAGAAAAGAGGTTTAATTGGCTTATGGTTCGGTAAGCTATACAGGAAGCATGATGCTGCCATCTGCTCAGCCTCAGGAAACTTACAACCTGGTGGAAGGCAAAGGGGAGCACATCGCATGGCCGGAACAAGAGGCAGGAGGTGCCACACATTTTTAAACAACCGGGTCTCAGGAGAACTCACTATCATGATGACAACATCAAGGGAGATGGTGCTAAACCATTCAGGAGAAACCATCCCCATGATCCAATCACCTTCCACCAGTCCCCACCTCCAACACTAGGGATTACAATTGAACATGAGATTTGGGTGGAGACACAGATCCTAACCATATCATCCCCAATGACCCTTGCAGAACCCCCTCCACTGAGTTGGGGGTAGGCCTATGAATAGGATGAGATCTCTCCTGTGGTTAGGTTAGTTACATGGCAAAGGGATCTTGCAGTTGTAATAAAAGTCACTTGATCAAAAGAGAGATAAGCCAGGTGATCCTAATGCAATCACACAAACACTTTTAAAACAGTAAGTGTTGCAGGCTGGGAGCAGACGAGGGAGTCAGAGAAATTTCAGGTGTGGAAAACATTCAACCCAGTGTTGCTGGCTTGACAGTGGAGGGAGACACAAGAGAACGGATGCTGGTGGCCCTCAGAAGTAGACAGTGGCCCCTGATTGACACCAGCAAGGAAATGGGAACCTGAGACCTAGGGCTGTAAGCAATGGGGCTCTGTTAACAATCTGACACAACCAGGAAAGGTCTGTTAACAACCCATACAGCCTGGAAGCCGGTCCTCCCCGACGGCTCCTGCAGACGAACCCAGGCTGTCCGACACCTTGATTTTGGCCTTGTGAGAGCCAGAGCAGGGAACTCAGCAGACTCCCACCCAGGCGCCCATCTCCAGAGCTGCAAGCTGATAAATGGTATTGTTTAAGCCTTCAAGTTGGTGGTCATTTGTTACACAGTAATATGGTTAAATTTTGTGTTCCCGCCCAAATCTCATCTTGAATTGTAATCCCCATAATCTCCACGT
Organism: Homo sapiens; assembly: GCF_000001405.40. Taxonomy (NCBI): domain Eukaryota; kingdom Metazoa; phylum Chordata; class Mammalia; order Primates; family Hominidae; genus Homo; species Homo sapiens. The sequence continues at coordinate 5,029,864 of NC_000004.12, forward strand.
GTCAAGGAAGAGACCAGGTGGAGGTAATTGAATTATGGGAGTGGTTTCCCCATGCTATTCTCATGATAGTGAATGAGTTTTCATGAGATCTGATGGTTTTATAAGGGGCTCTTCCCGCTTTGCTCAGCACTCTCTTTTCTGTGTCCTTGTGAAGAAAGTGCCTTGCTTCCTCTTCACCTTCCACCATGATGGTTAAGTTTCCTGAGGTCTTCCCAGCCATGCTGAACTGTGAGTCAGTGAAACCTCTTTCCTTTATAAATTACCCAGTCTTGAGCAGTTCTTTATAGCAGTGTGAAAATGGACTAATACACACAGCAACTCATTAGAAAACCAATACATGGACTAATGCACTATTATTCGAGGTTATTCACTGAGGTTGATGATTTTTCAAGCTAGTAACACATGTGCCATATTACCCATGCTGCCTTCTAAGGATGTGTCAATTTCTTTATCAGATTTGGGATTTCCTGATAGCAGGAGCTGAGCTGGTCATCTCCGGATCCCCCAGACCTAGCATGGATACTGAATGGAATACTTTTAGAAGATGTGAGTAGCACCTGGTAACATTGTGAAGTTGATGAAACTTTTCTGCCATGCTGTCATATCCTGGCATGATAGTCTGGGTGCCTGGAAACGAACAATAGCTAATGTGGATACAGTGTGAGCCGGGTGTCTGGTGCTTGGGGCACTAGGCACTTTAACCAAAGCAATCCTCATAAAAACCTTACAAGGTAGGAGTTGGTATTATCACAGCCTCAATTCACAGAAGAGGAACCAGAGGGTGGGAAGTTAAGTAACTTGCTCAAGGTCATACCATTAATTAATAGTGGAGCCCAGGTTCAAACCTAGACAGCTAGGTTCAATCTGTGTTCCCAGCCACCACATCTTCCTGCCACTTAAGACGAGGGACTCAATACATATTCACTGAAGGCAAGAAGGAAAAAAAGTAATTTACATGAATGCTAACAAGCTGTGTGTATTAGGTTCTCCTAAGAAAAAGAATGTGTGTATGTATAGACACATGCACACACACACACATCTATACATATACATGGAGAGAGAGAGAGAAGGCTGATTTTAAGTAATTGAGTCAATTAAATAATTGATTTTAAATAATTGTGGAAGCTCAGCAAATCCAAATTTTGCAAGGCAGACTGACAGGCTGGAGACCCAGGGGAGAGGTGATGTTGAAGCTCTAGTCCAAAGGTTATCCAGAGGCTGAATTTTCTTGCTCTTGGTGGGTCTCAGACTTTTTCTGAGCCTTCAACTGATTGGACGAGGCCCACCCACATTATGGAGTGTCATCTGCTTTATTTAAAATGTACTGATTTAAATGTTCATCTCATGTTAAAAACCCCTTCACAGAAACATCTGGAATAATGCTTGACGAAATACCTGAGTACAGACTGTGACCCAGTCAAGCTGACACATGAAATTAACCATCACACTGTCGGACTCTGGGCAAGTGCCTCACTTATCTTTGAACTTTACTTTCCTTGGAAAATGAGGGATGACTTTATTTAGAGGGTTTGAGGCCAGTCTGGGCAACATAGTAAGACATCATCTCTGGTATAAAAAAACAAAACTTAGCTGGGTATGGTGGCATGTGCCTGTGGTCCTAGCTACTGGGGAGGCTGAGGCGGGAGGATCACCTGACTCCAAGAGGTCGAGGCTGGAGTGAGCAGTGATCACATCACTGCACTCCAGTCTAGGAGACTCTGTCTCCAAAAAAAAAAAGATAAATATGTTTGGAGTCTGTTCTCCATTATAAATTTGGTGATTCATTGCTTTTAAGGGGCCAATCATGAGAATGCCAAGTCCTCTTTGCACAGGGATGTAAGAAGCTGCACGTTACAGAGGCCCAAATGTGGGTTCATGGGCAGGTCGGGGTCCCACTTAGCAGGCCTGTGATATCAAGAAGGTGCTTGACACCACGGCCTCAGTCCCCTCCTCAGATCCCTCACCCAGTTGTGGGTGTGAGGATTTAAGTGGAGGCCCAGTTTCAGACAGAGTGGCTGCTCACTCAAGGCTGGTCGCTCTCACCAGATCTGTGTCTATAGAGCACTTAGAAAATTCCCCAACTGGGAAACAGATACCACCTTGCATTACAGACTGTATGTTTTTTACCCTTTGTTTTGCTAATAGAATGCTGAATGATTCACCAAGCAGACTTTTTAAAACAAATTAACAGAATTGACTTAGCTAAACAAATACGTTTTTTGTATCAGTTGCATATACAACGATATATAGGTCCTTTGAAATTAGAACTTGAGACTAGTAGCCAGTTATGACTCCTGAGCTCCTAGAAAGAAAAAAAAAAAAAAACCTGGCCGGGCACAGTGGCTCACACCTGTAATCCCAGCACTTTGGAAGGCCAAGACGGGCGGATCACTTGAGGTCAGGAGTTCGAGAGCAGTCTGGACAACGTGGTGAAACCCCGTCTCTACTAAAATACAAAAATTAGCCGGGCGTGGTGGTGCACAACTGTAGTCCCAGCTACTCAGGAGGCTGAGGTGGGAGAATTGCTTCAACCCGGGAGGCGGAGGTTGCAGGCAGTTAGCCGAGATTGTGCCATTGCACTCCAGCCTGGACGGCAAAGCAAGACTCCATCTCAAAAAAAAAAAAAAAAAAAAAAAAAGAAGAAAGAGAAAGAAAAGAAAAAAACCCCTAAACTGCATTTTCCATCTTTCATGATTTCTGTTATAATGAAAGATGACCAGTTTCTAGAGCTATATTATTTTCCCCCATACCTATGAAAAAAAATTTTATTGTAGTAAAATATGCATAATATAAAATTTATCATTTTGACAATTTTTACAATTTGGTGTTAAATACATTCACATTGTTGTACAACCATCACCACCATCTACCTCTAGAACTTTCTCATCTTCCCAAGCTGAAACTCTGTCCCCATTAACCACTAACTCCCCACTCCTCGCTCCCTCCAGACCCTGGCAAGCACCCTTCTATTTTCTGTCCTTTAGAGGCCCAGTTTGATTTAAAGGTTTAAACTCAAACCAGACAGTTGAACTCTCTGAGCTCACAGACCGGCTCTTTCCCTTCCCAGCTGTGTGACTTTATCTCATTTCTTCATCTATAAAATGGAGGCCACACTTTTACCTCTCACATGGGGCTGAGAGAGGATTAAATGGTCAATATTTCCAAAGGCCCGAGGCTACTGCTGGTGTAAGGTAAGTACTGGAGATTTGCTATTATTATTTATGTAACTTCCAGCCCCACAAACACAGTCCCCAACCACCAAACACCCCACACACTAGCCTATAAGGGCCCCAGGGTCAGCGGCCTCATGGAAGGAAGAGAACGCTGGCGGAATGAGGGAATGAATGATGCCCTTGATTGCCTTTCCACTTACAACACGGTAGGTGATACGGCGTCCACAGCTGCAGCACGGTCACCATAAACAAGCATTTCCCCAGCTGGGCCATGGCCCGTGGAAACCCTGCTTCTCCCTCCAGGTTCCTGTGGACTCCAGCTTCTGGGAAGGTAAGGCTTCCTCCCTTGGGAAGCATTTTGAGTGTTTTGGCCTGTGTCCTTTCAGGAAGCCCCGTAGCCAACACACACCCCAGGGCAGGAAGTGGGTGAGAACAACTTAGACCTTGGACAGAAAGCAATTCGGAAACTGGCTCAGCCTCTTCTCGTTGCTGGCACGGCAAGCAGTGTTAAGTGTGAGCAATTTTTTGTTTTGTTTTGAATTTGAATGGTTCCTTTTTCTCCTTCACGAGGAGGCCATGGTTTCTGAGAGTGGGGCTTGCATGTGGCAAAGAATAAGGATGGCAAGAAGGGCGGAAGCACCCCTGAGCACTGCAGCTGCTACTTCCAGTGCACTCTCTGTTTACAACCGCCCTGGGAGATGAGAAGAAAACCTCCAGATTATACTTGAAACGCTGAGGCTGGAAGAGGTAGACAAGATGTGGCGAAGTCACACAGCTGCCAACTGATGGGCTGGCCTGCTGGATCCCAGAGCCAACATTCTTTGTGGTAGGGGAGGTGTCTAAACCATCTTTTTTTGCTGGGGACATGCAAATACATGGAAACTCACAACGGCTGTGTACTTCTCACAAACTTTCAAAAGGTGTTTTGTGAATTGAGCTAAATTCACTGCTGTGCAGGAGATGTGAGGCCCTAAACATGGTATAAAATTCTGTAACGGACACTTTACAAAAGAAGAAGGAAAGGGAAAAAAGCAGATTGAGAAATGCCACATACGTTTCCAGGCGGGGACATAGATTTCATGCCGTTACACAGCTTTCCTAACTCCATTTCACCTAGCTGGAGCTTTGGACTCTTACGTAAAGTTCCTTATTCATTTGTTCAGCAGAGATTTATTAAGCAGCCACTGCGTCTCTTGCAACTACAGAATCAGTCTTTTGAAAAATGAACCAGAAAATGTATGGAAACTAATCCTGCCTTTCTCACCAAACACACTGTAGGGATAACCTCTCTCATACGTGGGCGTCAAATGTTTACAAAACTTGTGCCTTCCATCTGTCACTTTCCTGCTGGCCGCTGGGCCTCCGGACACACAGTTCCCCTGCCTGCAGCACTCCAAAAATATTCTATGCGCTCCCCTCCCTACAAATATTTGATGAAGGAATAGCAGAAAGAACACATTCTTTCCATGGTTTATATAAGCACCACACTCCTGCCAGGGCTATCTGTCTCAGCTTTTTCCTTTTCACGATGAATCGTACCACAGTTTGTGCCTGATGCTCTGCAGAAATTGATCTTAACACTTAAAAACAACTTTGCCTGTTGGGTACATGTCAGATGTTTTACAGAGTAATCTTCACATTTTCCTGCTTGAGCGATATATTCAGACATCCCCACACTCATTCAGCTGATGGGAATGTTGGTCTCAGCCCTTGAACAAATCAATCAGGTAGGCTGGAGGGGCATCCTGGATTCTTCTCCAGGCTCCATCGTCAGACACTGGTTCAAAATGAATGTTCATGGCAGCCTGGTCATAGAAGTCCTGGGGTAATGTCAGTAGCACTTGATTTACTGGGCTTTTCCCTGCTGGGATCTGCTCCCGGCCACTCCACTGGCCATCAACGACTTCCTTTGAATGGTGCTAACAATGCATTTTCACGGTTAGATGTAGATTTTGTTCTGGAGTCCCAGAAGTACCTCCCTGATGTCTGGAAACCTGTGCCCCATGGATTGGCTCCAATGGGGAGGTATTTTAGAGGAATGTGGAGCCCTGCAGGCCTTGGCTCGCTATGCTTGGTCCAGCCACTTACCAGCAACAGAACTTCAGAACCACGTTGCTTCATAGCATCATGAAGTTTTTAAGCACCACACACCTTTTCCTTTTCATTTTATCCCCAGCACCTGGCAGTGCCTGTTTCATAGTCTGCATGTACATTCATTGAAGACATGAATCTGTGAATCAACTTCTTAGCCTTATTCTCACATATTATAATGGAAAAATAATCTTTCTAGCTTGAGTAAATGATTAAGAAGATGTTTGCAACATGCTTAATTATAGAGCTCGACACATAGTAATTGCTCAGTGAGTGGGTAATGGGCTGGCATATCACACAGCAGGAGAGGCAGGAGGGATGAAAGGGGGACGATATGCTCGACTATGCCTGGCTCCTGAATATTTTGGGTGAAGACCCCCACCCACACATGTGCCTGCACCTAACCATAGGCTGCCCAAAGTGCTGCCCTGGCAGGTGAGGCACTCTGCTCTTTGTCAGAGTCAGGGATTAGGATGGAGTCGCTTCCAGATGAGGAGACGGTGGAGACTGACATTGGAGGCTGGGCGATGGACTTCCCAGCAGAGATGTGCATGCATACTCAACGAGCTGAAGGATCTTTTTAAACATTTGTATTCAAAGTCTGTACAATTAGAATGTATTTTCATCAGAAATGCAAATTAAAGGATCTGTAAATTTTTTTTTTTTTTTTTTGAGGGACGAAGTCTCGCTGTCACCCAGGCTGGAGTGCAGTGGCGCGATCTTGGCTCACTGCAACCTCTGCCTCCCGGGTTCAAGTGATTCTCCTGCCTCAGCCTCTTGAGTAGCTGGGATTACAGGCGCCCGCCACCACACCCGGCTAATTTTTGTATTTTTAGTAGAAACAGAGTTTCGCCATGTTGTTCAGGCTGGTTTTGAACTCCTGGCCTCAGGTGATCCACCGGCCTCGGCCTCCCAAAGTGCTGGGATTACAGGCGTGAGCCATCGTGCCTGGCTAAAAAAAAAACTTTAATGCTTTTTTATCTATGCTTTCAAAAAGTGTAACTTCCTTACCTTTAACAAATACCACTCCTGCCTAGCTCAAAGTTTGTGTAAAGAGAGAATAATACTATAGATGTGAAACCAATCTGAAAGCTGCTGGGTGCAGTGTGCACGGGGACTATGCTTGTTTTGTCCCCCACTGAGTACCCAGCACTGAGCATAGCCCTGACATGTAGTAGGTGCTCCGTGAATACTGGCTGGAAAAAATGCTTCAGTCATCACATTTGCACTGGAAATCATCATCCTCGACACAGCAGGCCCCTTTTGGTTCTGATTATGCAAATTGGGTCCAGGTGTCTCTCTGAAGTCAGAAAATAAACTCCACATTGCAGGCCAGAGTAGAAAATGCTGCCGTTTCTTGCTGAGTCATCAAGGAGGCCTGAGAAGTTAAGATTAGGTTCTGCCAGCAACAGTTCACATGTAGCTAGAAGGAACTAAAGCTTGTGTCACTGGTATATTGAGGCAAAAGCGTCCAAAATTCCACTTGAAACACTGTTTTATAATTACATATTAAATACCAAGGCAAGGGTGGATTTTTTTTTTTTTTTTTTTTTTTTTCGAGATGGAGTCTTGCTCTGTCATCCAGGCTGGAGTGCCGTGGCGTGATCTTGGCTCACTGCAACCTCCGCCTCCTGGGTTCAAGCAATTCTCCTGCCTCAGCCTCCCAAGTAGCTGAGATTACAGGCGCCCACCACCACACCCGGCTAATTTTTGTATTTTTAGTAGAGACGGGGTTTCACCATGTTGGCCAGGCTGGTCTTGAACTCCTGACCTCGTGATCTGCCCACCTCGGCCTCCCAAAGTGCTGGGATTATAGGCATGAGACACTGTGCCCGGCCAAGGGTGGAATTTAAAATTGCACACAACAGCTCTCTGGCAAGAGTGTGGATGCATCCTGTGGAAATTGGCATTTTTGAGGGTCTGGAGCAGGGTGTCTGAGCTATTGACCCTATTGACACTTTGGGAGGGATATTTATTTGTTGTGGGTGGCTGTCTAGTGCACTGTAGGATGCTGAGCAGCACCCCTGGTTTCTATCCACTAGGGCCAGTAGCACCACTTCACGCCATCCTAGTCACGACAATCAAAAATGTCCCCAGACATTGCCAAATGTTTCCTGGGTGGGGGATCACCCCTGTTGAGAAGTACTGGGCAACAGCAATATTTCTCATGCTAACAAATCAGCACCCATTCATTTTTATTAAGCCCCTGGTAGGCGGCAAACACTCTATTGGGTACTTTGATTCAAAGCTCACAGATAGGAAAAATGGTCCCCACTTTACAAATGAAGAAACTGAAAGAAAGTAACTTGTTCAAGTTGAGTGATTGAATAAATTAATGAATGTCTGACAGCTAGTGTGGTCTTGGTCACAACCAGCTCTTCTGGTTCCCTAGCTGGAACCCTGAGCCCTCCAGAACTGATTCACTGCTAATAAATATCAATTACTCTACAGATAAAGGAAGTGGATTTGGACTGAGGGTGCCTGGAGGACTCTGAGAAAGGGCTCTGACAAATGAACTTCCCCAAAGCAAACCCTCTTTCCCGTCTGTGTTAAAGTTGGTGAAGATAAAGATGGTTTTCTAGATAGTGGCTCTGGGGACACACTGAAGACTCAAAGATTAAAATGTCACCATGTTTCAGCCTGTTTCAGCTTCTACTCAGCTATGACACTGCTTTTATTTACCACTGCACTGTTTTCTTCATTGGGCTGTGAGGGTGGGCATGGGGACCTGTTATTCATTTCTGTTCCTGCTGGTGCCTGGCATGTAATGGGCACATGTTTTTTGGGTGAATGAATGGATAACTGAAGGGACGGAAGGGGGAGGGAGTGTGTGTTACCTCTCTTTGCTCCCTCTAAGACCTCCCCACCCGTCCATCCTTGCTTTGCCAGACCCTTGGCTAAGAAAATGCCAGCCAACACTGTGTTCTCAAGTGACTCTCAGTTCTTAGAAACAAAATGATGGAATTTCAGTATTGGAAAAATGCTTAGACATGACCTCATCCCTACCCAAGCTGGTTCATGAATCATCCCCATAAAATTCCTGGCATGCCAATTAAAACCATTCAGCTGTTCATTCATTCTTTCATTTTGCTGAACATTTGTTAGGTACCTATATCGTTCTGGAGGCAAGGAAGGATGACGATGACAATGATGACCTTGGCCTCAACGAGTCTGCATTTGTTTAGATATGGATTAAGCTGATGAACCAAAGGAATCCCCAAATTCAAAACATAGTCATGCATTGCTTAATGACGGGGATACATTCTGAGAAACGTGTGTTGGGCAATTTCAGCATTGTGCAAACATTGCTGCACAAATCATAGAGAATACTTACACAGCCCTAGGTGGTGAAGCCTACTATATGCCTAGGCTGCATGGTCTAGCCTACTGCTACTAGGCTACAAACCTGTGCAGCATGCTACTGTACTGAACACCATAGGCAACTGTAACACAATGCATTTGTTAACACAAAGTATTCGTGTATCTAAATCTATCTAAATACAGAAAAGGGACTATAAAAATAAGGTATAAAATAAACAATAATAAACTTGGATAGGGTACTTACAATGAATGGAGCTTGCAGGACTGGAGAGTTGCTCTGGATGAGTGAGTAGCTGGTGAGTGAATGGGAAGGCCTAGGACATGACTGTATTATACTTTAGATTTCAGAAACTCTGTACACTTTGGCTACACTCAATTTATAAAAACATATTTTATTTCTTTAATAATAAATTAGCCTTAACTTACTATAACTTTTTTTACTTTATGAACTTTTTAATATTTTTAAACTTTTTGACTCTTTTGTAATAACATAGCATAAAACACAAACATACTGTACAGCTATACAAAATTTCTTTCTTTTTTTTTTTTTTTTTTTGAGATGGGATCTTACTCTTTTGCCCAGGTTGGAGTGCAGTGGCATGATCATAGCCCACAGCAGTCTCCAACTCCTGGGCTCAAGTAATCTTCCCACTTCAGCCTTCTGAATAGCTGGGATGGCAGGCATATGCCATCATGCCCAGATATATATATATTTTTTGTATTTTTGGTAGAGATGGGGTCTTGCTATGTCGCTCAGGCTGGTCTTAAACTCCCAGACTCAAGTGATCCTTCTGTGTACCTCAGCCTTCCAAAGTGTTGGGATTACAGGCACGAGGCACCACACTTGGCCACTTTCTGTCTTTATAACCTGAATCTATAAGCGTTTTTCTACTTAAAAATTTCTTTAGAACTTTGTGTTAAAAACTAAGACACAAATACGCACATTAGCCTAGGTCTCACAGGGTCGGGATCATCAATTTCTGCTTCCACATCTTGCTCACTGGACAGTCTTAGGGGCAGTGACATGCATGGAGCTGTCATCTCCTAGGATAACAATGCCTTCTTCTAGAATCCCTCCTGGGGGACCTGCCTGAGGCTGCTTCATAACTAACTTTTTTCTGCATAAATAGGAGGCACACATTTTAAAATAATGATAAAAGTATAGTAAGTACATAAACTTTTAACATAGTCATTTATTATCATTATCAGGTGTTATGTACTGTATGTAATTCTATGTGCTAAATTCTATGATTGACAGTGCAAGGAGGTGTGTTTACACCAGTACCACTGCAAACACGTGAGGAATGCATTGTGCTACGAAGTCATGATGGCTGCCATGTCACCAGGAAATAGGAATGTTGAGCTCTGTGATAATCTTATTGTACATGTGGTCCATTGCTGCCCAAAATGTCATGATGCTGCACACGACTGTTAAGTGGTATCACCAAGACAGTGTCTATCCTCTCTTAACAGTCCAGAGGCAGTAGGCGGTCCAGGTCAGGTAGGCCATTCTGCTACATGAGGACGTCCCACACCACGGCTACTTCCTTGTGGTTGCTCTGCTACTCCCTGGAGTGCCGTCCTCCCCAGCAGGTCTTCAGGTGGTCATCACAGCCTGCAGGAGTGGTAGGAGATGCGGTCGGTGCATGTGTCATTTCTCACATCCTGTTGGCTGGAACTTAATTCCATGGCCACTCCCACCTGCAAAGGCAATTGGAACACCTAGTCCCTAGCCCAGTGGCCATGTGCTCAGCTAACACTGGAGGTGTATGTTCTATTTGTAAAAAGAAAGAAGGGGTAAGTGGATACCATGAACAAGTAGGTGTCTCTGCCACACTGCCCAACTCCTTCATTTTTTTCAGTTTACAGATGGGGAAAATGAGGCCTATAGAAGGGAAGTGACTTCTCTCAGTGCACATGATGAGGCAGTGGCAGTAGAATTTTTTTTTTTTTTTTTTTTTTTTGAGACGAAGTCTCGCTGTGTCGCCAGGCTGGAGAGCAGTGGCACGATCTTGGCTCACTGCAACCTCCGCCTCCTGGGTTCAAGCAATTCTCCTACCTCAGCTTCCCGAGTAGCTGGGATTACAGATGAGTGCCACCATGCCCAGCTAATTTTTGTATTTTTAGTAGAGACAGGGTTTCACCATGTTGGCCAAGATGGTCTCAATCGCTTGACCTCGTAATCTGCCCTCCTTGGCCTCTGAAAGTGCTGGGATTACAGGTGCCACTGCGCCCGGCCAAGCAGTAGAACTTTTAAGGCCTGTCTCCTGCCCTGTAGGCCACACACTGGCTACCTCAATATAGTCAGATGTTGCTTCACCATGGGACATGGTCTGAGATATGCGTTGTCACCACATGCCAAGATGGTACAGTTGACTACATGCCCAGGCTATGTGGTGTAGCCAATAGCTCCTAGGCTACAAACCTGTGCAGCATGAATACCCTAGGCAACTGTAACACATTGGCAAGTATTTGTGTATGCATACACAGAAAAGGTGCAGAAAAATACAGTAGTCTCATCTCATGGGGCCACTGTTGGGTGTGCGGCCCATCCTTGATGGAGACATCGTTATGTGTCATGTGACTGTGTCTAGTGCCTTTTAGTAAGTCATTGTTATCACTTCTGCTACGTATGGTTCCTGCTTTCTGAAAGAGGAGTCTCTTCTCGTTGATAGAAACGATTCTTTACATCACTGCTTCTGAGTCCTTTTCTTCAGGGAAATGGGTGGGTTCATGGAGCCTTTTAAAGAGCTGTGACAGATTTTGACTCTCTTCCTATAAAAATAACCAAATATGTGCAAGCAGACAACACACGCACACACACACAAGTTCAAGTACAGTTTCAGAGTGTTCATGACGACTCCCTTAAGCCCCTAAGAATCCCTATAAACCCAGGCAAGAATACAATGAAATACATTGCACAGATGTTGCGTTTGGCAGCTACGGAGCCTTCCTTCTGACCCAGCCTGGTTCACAGTACAGCTAGAATTCTCCACAGACACTTAATTTGAGGTCACCATGGAGCTACTATGCAAATTATTTTAATGTAAGAACAAGAAGCTCAGAATTGCTGGGCTACCAAGTTCCCAACTATGAAAATGCCTCTAGGGAAGTTTTATAATGCCAAGAAATGCAGACACTCTACATTAGTAGCAATTTATGGACCCCTATTTTGAGTGAGCACTCAACGCACACACACGCACACATAAAGACTCTTAACAATAAAAGACTGCTCTTGAAGTTATTATTTTTAAGTCATTATGGATAATTCGCTATCTGAGTGAGATGACTTTCAACAACAGAACTGGATGTGCAAACTATTTCTTATCTTGGTGTGCCACAAAACAGCCTTTATCTTTTTTTTTTTCTTTACAATGCACAATGCTGCCAAACAGAACATATTGAAATTGAGTGCAAGCAGACGGTATTTACTCTAAGCAAACCAGACTCAAGTTTTAAATAAAATAGGCTTAACATAAACGATAACAAAATCTGATATAGCAGACTCTACAAAATGGCTTGGCACAGAAGACGCCCTGCTCCAGGGAATCACATTAGCTTCTACAGCGTGATCGTGTTACATAAAATTAAATGTTACGGCTTTAGGGTTTATGGCTCCAAATGCAAGTATGGTGATTACTTGATTGTGTTCTCAGCAAGAGGAATAGCAGCCACAAGACTCTACTCATGTACATGTAAGTCAGAAAAAGAATCCCAGTTCATATTTCTGTGCCTACATTTGGGATTTGAGAAGTAACAAGAGTCATGTGCTCAACCCCTTGTTAGAGCCACAGGAGAAGTTCTAAACCATAATTTCCATGATCTCTCCATAGTCTACGTTCTGGGAAAGCCAAGCAGACTCAGCACATATAAGTAGTTGGTTTATATTTTATTGTTTTGCACATAATTAGAAGAACTTTATAAAACTTCATCCATCTGTGAGCCAGGCAAGAGGGCAAGACCTGGAGCTGACTTCATCTGGAGCACAGCTGACCCCCAAGTTCCGCCATTCTCTCTTGAGGAGACTGGATGACACTTAACATAGTGTAGGAAGTAGAAGGAATGTACTTACTTCAAAATAATTCTTCCAGACCGTGTCAGTGTTAGGTGACCAATTCCTTCAGCCATGAAGAGCCATGGCTCGCATTTCTCGGGGCTTGCACCCTCAGCTGTCTGCTAAGGAGACCAAAGGGGAGCGAGGTAGAGTTTCACTTGTCATCCTTTGCATACCTGGAGGCTTCCTGATTGAAAATGAACCTTGCAGGGGAATGGGAGGAAGTCCAGTTTAGGGTGGCCAGGTTAAATGCATGATCCCGTCCCTGACAAAAAGCAATAGAGTAGCCAATAGCTCCTAGGCTACAAACCTGTGCAGCAGGGGCCGGGCGCGGTGGCTCACGCCTGTAATCCCAGCACTTTGGGAGGCCGAGGCGGGTGGATCATGAGGTCAGGAGATCGAGACCATCCTGGCTAACAAGGTGAAACCCCGTCTCTACTAAAAATACAAAAAATTAGCCGGGCGCGGTGGCGGGCGCCTGTAGTCCCAGCTACTCGGGAGGCTGAGGCAGGAGAATGGCGTGAACCCGGGAAGCGGAGCTTGCAGTGAGCCGAGATTGCGCCACTGCAGTCCGCAGTCCGGCCTGGGCGACAGAGCGAGACTCCGTCTCAAAAAAAAAAAAAAAAAAAAAAAACCTGTGCAGCATGAATACCCTAGGCAGTACCTGAGTCTTCACTCAGATACCAGGAGGAGAAAGGAGCTCTTTTCTGTTTTCTTTTAGTAGCAGGCTTTCGATTCCAAATGTTCATTGAGTCTCCCTTGTCTCAATCCTTTCCAATAATACCTGGAAAATTTCTTTCTGTGGATATTAGAGCTCTACTTGCAAGAGTTAAGAACTGGACTCTCTATTTGGAATGACAATGCATACATTTACTTAGTTTTCAAGCATATTTATTATGTATTATTCTGAACTGTGCATATAGTTTTGCTTATATCTCTCATAAATCTAGCTATATGTCTCATAGTCCTTGCAACAAATAATTCCTTTATATAGGACTGGACACCCAGAACACCTGTAAAGCTCCTGCTCTGCTTCCATGATATCTTAGCAGCCTGCTCTCTTAGGAGGTGGTGCATATACTTACTCCAGGCCAGGAGGGCCGTTTTGCTACATGAGGTTGTCCCAGACCATGGCTACTTCCATCTGGTTCCTCTGCTACTCCTCGGAGTGCTGTCCTCTCCAGCAGGGCTTCAGGTGGGCATCACAGCCTACAGGGGCGGAAGGAGAAGCAGTCGGTGCACACGGCATTTCTCACATCCTGTTGGCTGGAACTTAGTCCCATGGCCACTCCCACCTGCAAAGGCAGTTGGAACATGTAGTCCCTATCCCAGTAGGGCTACCTGTCTTCTCGGGCTCCCAGCCCAGTGTCTGACACATAACACAAGCTCAGGGCATGTTGGCTGAAGGAAGAAATGAGAGTAAGGAAGCCTTTCCCAGGCAGCAGTCCAGCCATTGCCTCCACATAGGTTTTTATCAGGTCCGTTTCTTGAGTTGTCTTCATGGCCAATAACAAACACGCACTGATGGTTTACAATTTACCAGGTGCTGGTAATCCTTCTAGGCATTTAATTCTCACAGCTATTCTCGGAGGCAGGTATTCCTTCGCCAAAGGCAGTTGATCCAGCTCTCTCTCAATCCCTGCCTCTGCGAGGGCTCTTCCTTCCCATCCCTTTCTGTCTAAGCTGGCTGCCTTCTCCATCTCCCTGGCCTCTTCCTGTTGGAGTCCTAGGGTTGATCCTTGCATCTCCAAGAAAACCTTCTCCAATCTCAGGGCCTTAAACATCATCAATATGCTCAGGACTCCCAAATTGTAATTCCTATTGTCAACTTCTCTCCTAAACCTCAGACACATCTGCCCAGGGACTGCTACACACCCACCACAGACCCTTTAAATTTAACATGTCCCAGAGGGGACTCCCAATCTCCTCCTTCCCTCCCTTTGCCCTGCCACACCAAAACACAGGGATCCAGCCCCACCCTCAGCCTCCCCTGTCTTCATCCTTCCAGTTGTTCAAGCCAAAAGATTTGAGCTATCTTTGACTCATCTTTTTCCTTCCTCCTTCAACCAACCACCAGGAAATCCGTTTAGGTTTTCCTCTATTCAAAATATGTTCAGGACTGTTTGGGCATGCCGGCTCATGCCTGTCATTTCGGCACTTTGGGAGGCCCAAAGCTGGAGGATTGCTTGAGTCCAGGAGTTTGAGAGCAGCCTGGGAAACACAGTGAGACCCCTGTCTCTACAAACTTAAAATAAAAAGTCAGCCAGGTGTGGTGGTACACACCTGTGGTACCAGCTACTCAGGAAGCTGAGGTGAGAGGATCTCTTGATCCTGGGAGGCTGAGGCTGCAGTGAGCCATGATTGTGCCACTGCACTCCAGCCTCAGTGACAGAGTGAGATCCTGTCTCAAAACAAACACAACCAAAAAACCAAAAGCCCAAAATATGTCCAGGACTAGCCACTTCTCCCTACCACCCCAACCCCCAATGTGCTGATGCCACCAGCATCTCTTGCCTAGCAGTAGTCTCAAAGCCAGTGTTCCCCTTCATACCTTTGCCTTGCCTCAGTCTACTCTCAGCAGAGTTGGAGGGGCCCTTTAAAAAGATGTCTGTCATACTTCCCTGTTCAGAGCCCTCCAGTGTGTGCCC
This sequence comes from Homo sapiens, assembly GCF_000001405.40. Lineage (NCBI taxonomy): Eukaryota > Metazoa > Chordata > Mammalia > Primates > Hominidae > Homo > Homo sapiens. The sequence continues at coordinate 5,045,151 of NC_000004.12, forward strand.
ATTTAATTCAGAAGAAAGCCCCGAGTCTTTGAGCCACCTGCCAGGCTCTGCCTGAGCGGGCTCTGTACCTCTCATCTCTTTCATCTGCTCCATCTTCTGCTTCACACATTCTAGCCTCTGTGGCCCCCTGCAGTTCCCAGAGGAAGTCATGTGCCCTCCTGCCTTGGGGTTTTGGCACTGGCTGCTTCCTCTGTCTGCAATACTTTCATTCCTGACATCTGTGCAGCCAACTTCCTCACTGCCTTTTAGAGTTCCTTCTGGTGTCAGCTCAGTGAAGCTTCCCTGACCACTCTGCTTAAAAGTCCAGAGGCGGTTTGATAGAAATAGTATTGAATCTATAGATTACTTTGGGCAGTATGGCCATTTTTATGATATTGATTCTTCCTATCCATGATGATGGAAGGTTTTTCCATTTGTTTGTATCCTCTCTTATTTCCTTGAGCAGTGGTTTGTAGTTCTTCTTGAAGAGATCCTTCATATCCCTTGTTAACTGTATTCCTAGGTACTCTTTGTAGCGATTGTGAATGGGAGTTAATTCATGATTTCGCTCTCTGTGTGCCTATTGTTGGTGTAAAGGAATGCTTACGAATTTTGCACATTGATTTTGTATCCCGAGACTTTGCTGAAGTTGCTTATCAGCTTAAGGAGTTTTGGGGCTGAGATGATGGGGTTTTCTAAATATAGAATCATGTCATCTGCAAGCAGAGACAATTTGACTTCCTCTCTTCCTATTTGAATACCCCTTATGTCTTTCTCTTGCCTGATTGCCCTGGCCAGAACTTCCAACACTATGTTGAATAGGAGTCGAGAACTGTTTTCATCAAACTACCATTAACATTCTTCACAGAATTAGAAAAAACTACTTTAAATATCATATGACATCAAAGAAGACCCTGTATGGCCAAGACAGTCATAAGCAAAAAGAATAAAGCTGGAGACATCATACTACCTGACTTCAAACTATACTACAAGGCTACAGTAACCAAAACAGCATGGTAGTGGTACCAAAACAGACATATAGATATCAGTGGAACAGAAGAAAGACCACAGAAATAACACCACACATCTACAACCACCTAATTTTCGACAAACGTGACAAAAACAAGCAGTGGGGAAAGGATCTCCTATTCAATAAATGGTGCTGGGAAAAGTGGCTAGCTATATGCAGAAAATTGCAACTGGACTCCTTCCATATACCTTATACAAAAATTAACTCAAGATGGATTAAAGACTTAAATGCAAAATCCAAAACTATAAAAACCCTAGAAGAAAACATAGGCTATACCATTCAGGACATAAGCATGGGCAAAGATTTCACGGCTAAAACAACAAAAGCAATTGCAACAAAAGCCAAAATTGACAAATGGGATCTATTTAAATTAGCATCAGAGTGAACAGTCAACCTACAGAATAGGAGAACATTTTTGCAATCTACCCATCTGATAAAAGTCTAATATCCAGAATTTATAAGGAACTTAAATAAATTTACAAGAATAAAACAAACAACCACATAAAAACTGGGCAAAGGATATGAACCGACACTTCTCAAAAGAAGACATTTATGCAGCCATCAAACACATGAAAAAAAACTCAACATCAATGCTCGTTAGAGAAATGCAAATCAAAACCACAATGAGATACCATCTCACACCAGTCAGAAGGGTGATTATTAAAAAGTCAAGAAACAATAGATGCTGGTGAGGCTGTGGAGAAACAGGAGCACTTTTACCCTGTTGGTGAGAATGTAAATTAGTTCAACCATTGTGGAAGACAGTATGGTGATTTCTCAACGATCTAGAGTGAGAAATACCATTTGACCCAGCAGTCAAATTATTGGGTATATACCCAAAGGAATATAAATCATTCTACTATAAGGACACATGCACACATATGTTTACTGCAGCACTGTTTACAATAGCAAAATTGTGGAACCAACCCAAATGCCCAACAATGATAAATGGGATAAAGAAAATGTGGTACATATACACCACGGAATGCTATGCAGCCATAAAAAGGAATGAGATCATGTCCTTTGCAGGGACATGGATGAAGCTGGAAGTCATCATTCTCAGCAAACTAACACAGAAACAGAAAACTAAACACCACATGTTCTCACTCATAAGTGGGAGCTGAACAATGAGAACACATGGACACAGGAAGAAGAACAACATACACCAGGGCCTGTTGGGGGGTGGGGGATGAGGGGAGGGAACCTAGAGGAGGGGTCAATAGGTGCAGCAAACCACCACGGCACATGTCTACTTATGTAACAAACCGACACATTCTGCACATGTATCCCGGAACTTAAAGTAAAATAAAAATAAAAATAAAATAAAAGTCCAGAGGTCTGATTGATGGTTAATAGAGAGGGGCATCTCACAATGTTTCTGACAAAATCTCCATTTCAACACATCTGAAACCATCATTCACTCATTCCATCAACGTATATTTGTAAAGTATCAACTCTGTACCAGTGCTGAGCAAGACCCTGGGGACACACAGCCCTGGCTGCCCTGCAGGGCTCCTGGATGACAGGAAAGCCGGGTAGAAATCAGGGAGCAGTGGCAGGTGGTGAGTCAACGCATGACCTGGAGACAGGAGCTTTGCCACTAGGTAGATGTGGGGGTTGAACAGTGGCCCCCAGTAAAATATGTTGAAGTCCTAACCCCTGGAACTGTATGTGTGATCTTATCTGGGAAAACAGTCTTTGCAAATGGTTAAAGATCTTGAGAAGAGATCATGCTGGGATTATCAGGGTGGGCCCTCAATCCAGTAAGTGTCTTTTCAAGAGACAGAGAAGAAATGACACAGGGAGAGAGGAGGTGGCCATGTGAAGATGGTGGTAGAGACCAGAGTTCTCCAGCCTCCACCCAAGGAATGTTTGGAGCCACCAGATGCTGGAAGAAGCATGGAGACTCTGGAGATTGATTTTGACTTCTGGCCTCCAGAATGGTGAGGGAATAATTTTCTGTTTTTTTTTTTTACTTGTTTGTTTTTTGAGACAAAGTCTCACTCTGTTGCCAGGCTGGAGTGCAGTGACGCAATCTTGGCTCACCGCAACCTCCACCTCCCAGGTTCAAGACATTCTCCTGCCTCAGCCTCCTGAGTAGCTGGGATTACAGGCACATACCACCATGCCTGGCTAATTTTTTTTTTTTTTTTTTTTTGAGATGGAGTCTCACTGTTGTTGCCCAGGCTGGAGTGCGATGGCGCGATCTTGGCTCACTGCAACTCTCTGCAGGTTTCAGCAATTCTCCTGCCTCAGCCTCCCGAGTAGCTGAGGTCACAGGTGCCTGCCACCACGCTTGGCTAATATTTGTATTTTTAGTAGAGATGGGGTTTCACCGTGTTGGCTAAGCTGGTCTCGAACTCCTGAGCTTAGGTAATCCACCCACCTTGGCCTCCCAAAGTTCTGGGATTACAGGTGTGAGCCACCGTGCCTGGCCTAATTTTTGTATTTTTAGTAGAGACAGGGTTTCACCATGTTGGCCAGTCTCGAACTCCTGACCTCAAGTGATCCTCCCACCTAGGCCTCCCAAAGTGCTGGGATTATAGGCGTGAAACGCCACACCTGGCCAATTTCTGCATTGAAATCTTAGGTCTTTGCACTTCTCAACCATTTGAGTTGGCTTAGCCTATTTGTGCCCCAGTCTCCTCCAGAGTGGGGATGGTGACACACCTACCTCTCAGGGTTGCTGTGAGGATGAGAAAATCCATGCAGAGCGCTTGAAGTACCAGAGTCAGGCACATTCTCTATGGATGGGGAGCAGAGAAGTGAAGGGGTTGCCGGAGGTCCTAGCACCCTGCAAAGAGTTAGCACAGAGCTGGACATGCAGAGTTCTCAATACACATGCACGCTGTCACTGAACACTGCACTGCAAGACTAATTCCAGCCGTGTGGAACATCTCCCAGCATCTGCAAAGTGTCCCACTCTCTAGGCCTGGAGAACTTTGCACCAGTAGCCTCCTTTCTTCTTCCAACCCGGTTGATTCCTTGCCCTTCCAGTCTCAGCGCCAGCACCCTCTCTGGCCAATGCCTTCTTTTCTTTTGTTTTTTTTTTTTTGAGACGGAGTCTCACTCTGTCACCCAGGTTGGAGTGCAGTGGCACAATCTCAGCTCACTGCAACCTCCGCCTCCCAGGTTCAAGGGATTCTCCCACCTCAGCCTCCCGAGTAGCCGGGATTACAGGTGGGTGACATTTCTGTCATGCGTGTCCGTGTGAAGAGACCACCAAACAGGCTTTGTGTGAGCAATAAAGCTTTTTAATCACCTCAGTGCAGGCGGGCTGAGTCCGAAAAGAGAGTCAGCGAAGAGAGATATGGGTGGGGCAGTTTTATAGGATTTGGGTAGGTTATGGAAAATTAAAGTCAAAGGGGTTCTCTGGGAGGCAGGGGCGAGGGTCACAAGGTGCTCAGTCGGGAGCTTCTGAGCCAGGAGAAGGAATTTCACAAGGTAATGTCATCAGTTAAGGCAGGAACAGGCCATTTTCACTTCTTTTGTGATTCTTCAGTTGCTTCAGGCCATCTGGATGTATATGTGCAGGTCACAGGGGTTATGATGGCTTAGCTTGGGCTCAGAGGCCTGGCAATCACACCCAGCTAAGTTTTGTTTTTTTAGTACAGATGGGGTTTCTCCATATTGGCCAGGCTAGTCTCAAACTCTTGACTTCAGGTGATCCACCCGCCTCAGCCTCCCAAAGTGCTGGGATTACAGGTGTGAGCCCCCACGCCCGGCCTAGCACAATATCAATATATTCCTCATAACAATGTTAGAAAGGGAAAGTTCTCTTATTAGCACCTTCTGGACTCAGATGAAGAAACTGAGTCCAGAACAGGTTAAGTAATTTATCCAAGTTAACTGGCTAATGAGGGGCAAAGCAGAATGAAACCTGGGTAGAATGAGCCCAGAGCCCATGCCTGTCCACATTCCGCCCTATGCTTCTTGAGCTAGGGGCCAGCTCTGTGTTCAGGGCATTGCCTGCTGCACACTGGCTACTCAGTGTATGCTTGTTGGTGGAATGAAAGGCAAGAAATATTTATTCATCATTTATTATATGCCGGGCACTGTTGCCTGCTTTTATAAATATTACCTGATATAATTCTCACAGACAACCCAAGGAGTTAATATCAATCAGCCCACTTTGCAGATAAGAACTCCAAAGTGGGACACATTGCCAGTAAATGGTAGAGCCAGCTCTGGGTCATGGTGGGTGGGCCTGCCTCAGACCTTCTCAGTTCTTTCCCACTGCCTTTAAGAGATTTTTTGTTTTGTTTTGTTTTGTTTTGTTTCTGTATGAGTCTCCCCGGCTTCCCTCACCCTTCTCCCAAGAAAAAGAAAGAAGGGGAGAGAACTGGAGAGAGAGACCAGGTAGGGGACGGGGACTGGGGGACGAGATAGGATGGAGAGAGTCACAAAGAACCCCTGCTTTCTATCAAAGCACGGACAGTGGTTCCAGGCGCCCAGCAGATGGCAGGATGTAGCCAAAGATTCCCTGCAGTCCCGGAGAGCTGGGCCCGCAGGACTGCAAGGCAGGGGGACCTGCCTGTCCCTCAGGGAGCGTCCTGGGAACCCGCGCTCGCCCCACACGTCTTGGGGCGCATCTGCCGCACCCCTTACTTAGGCACCCGCAACTGTGGCGCGTATCTCCCGATCCAGGCTCCCGCCGCAGGAGCCCAGGGACCCTCATGCTAGCCTCGCCCCTAAATCGGACGCCGATGCCGCCCAATTTTGGGGGAATCCCGAGACTCATGCCCAGCCATTCCCAGGGAGAATGGTTTGGGGCAAACTATGGCTGTCTGGGGCCTCAGTTTCCCCATGTACAATGAAGGGGTCAGATTAGTATCTAATCTTAAGGGGTCAGAAAGTAAACAGATACTTTCATTCATTAAACACTGAGAAAAACCTTAAGAGGAACAGCGTCGGTTGGAGAGCCAGCAGACACTCCACTGCCCATCCCAATATGAATGGGCAAATACAGGCTAGCGGGGAGTCCTGGGACTCCCTTCGCAGCCGGGGCCGACTAACCACAGACCTAAGAGCCCCTCTACCTCTAGACCTCCGTCTACTGCGCTCTAAAATATGAACGATGCTTTCTTACTGCTGGGTTGTCGGAGGCGGATGTGGGATGGTGCTAACAAAGCGCGTAGCCGAGGCCTGGCCATAGTGGGTGCTGACAAACCGCTTACTGCCTGCAGGGACCGAGCTCCCGGCCGAGGGAGGAGGGCCGAGCAGGGATTCAGATTCTTCCGGGCCGATCCCTTTCTCAGCTCCTTCCGCCCTGCCGCCGCCCACTGCGTGCTGCCTTCGTCCGTCCCCTCCTCCCCCGCTCCTTCCCCTCCTTCCCCTGCTCCCGCGCCGCCTCGCGTCTCCCGCCCGCTGTAGCCGGCGAGGAGCGCCGCACGTTGGCCCCGGCGCGAGGAGCTCCCGGGTTCCCGGGCGGGCACTGGAGTAAGGAGCTGCGAGCGCAGCCCGAGGCGGGGCACGGCGGAAGGCGCGGCGAGAGCGGGGTCCCTGCGAGCGCAGTCGGAAGGGCGTCCAGGAGAAGGGGGACGCCGTCCCCGCCCCTGCACGGTGCTCGGCCCCCTCGGGCTCCGCGCGCGGCTACAACCCGGACTGGGCGCGCCCCCGGCATCCCGCATCTCTGCGCGCGTCCCACATCCCGCATCCGGCATCCCAGCGGCCGGGCATGTAGCAGCGGCAGCAACGGCGGAATATGGGCGGGAACCACTCCCACAAGCCCCCCGTGTTTGACGAGAATGAGGAAGGTAAGAGAGCGAGAGGTGCGAATTCCCGCTTCGCGGGGCATCCCCTTCCTCCACCACCCTCGGCCGAGCCCTGCGGGGCACCGCATGCTGCCCGGCGCGGGGACCCAGGCATGGCCACTTCGCCCAGCGAATGCAGTGTGTGCCCGACCCGTGCCAGGCGCGGCGCTTCTGCTGAGGCAACTCCTAGGTACCCAGTGCCGTTTAGTAGTCGGGACGGTGCCTAGCGCGGGACTGGGGAGGCGGCTTCAGAGAGTTGAACCCGAAACCTGCACTTGGGGGTGTGGAAGGGAGGAGTTGACTTCGGAGGCCAGTCGGGATGGTTCTAGGCTCGGGCTCCCCAGGAAACCGAGGTTTCCTTGAGAGCCTGAGGCTGACGGAGGTGGCCTGGAAGGGCGGGTTGCACCGTGTGTCTGTGTGTGTGTGCGCGTGCCCACGACGCATTTGGTCTCGTGCAAGGGCCTGTTGGATGCAGCTCTCCTCAATCACCCAGGACAGAGGGAAACTTTTCTTTGCTAAACTCTGTGGTTCCTAGGAGGGCGTCCTGTTCTGGGCAGCCTCCCCCTGGCGCAGAAGTGGTGTAGGCTGTCCAACCGCATCTCAACTTCCTGGCTGGATCCTTGCGGTTCAGGTCGATAGAGCTCCCTATTTGGACTAGCAGAACCCTCTTTCCAGTGCAGCGTGTCCCTGGAAAACTTACTTCACCTCTCTGAAACATTAGTCCCTTCATCAATGAAATGTGAGTTATGATACCACTAGCTACTTTATAGGGTTGTTTGAAGCTTAACCACTAGTAATCCACGTGAAAAGTGCCTTATAAATGCAAGCAGTACCGAGCTGTGCCGTTTTTTATGTTAAGAGCCCTCTGCCTCTCAAAGCTGGTTTCCTACTGTGCTGACTCGCCAGTCTCCACTGTGCCCCAGGTAAGAGCTGAGACATACTGAGCACTTACTATGTTCCAGCCATGCTAGCACATAGTGTTCACTCCATCCTTTTCATGCCCCTTGAGGTGGCTACCTTAGAAAGGGGTCTGTCCTGGTTACTGCTGGTAAGAAGTAGAGCTGGGCTTGAGGCAGGACAGTCTGCTTTGAAAGCTGTGCCTGTCATCATTACCCAGGGCACTGGCTGTGTGCGTACATCATGGATGGCTTCTAGAACTCCCAAGGCTGTGAGTGCTACTCAGATGCCTGCCTGGACAGCCCTTCTCAAAAAGATAGATGAACACAGTCAAGGTTAAGTGAGCACCTGCTGTGTCAGGCCCACGAGAGCCTTCCTTAAAGGAGTTCCTAGTCTAATGGCCCTGAATGACCGTCCATGGTGATAAGGGCATTGAGAAACCAGTGCAGGGTCTTGGGGGCACAGAGAGGCCCCAGCTTTTCCTGATCTTTAGTCTGGAGCATGTGCAGGTGAGCAGGTAAGGAGCCAGTTGTGGACAGAGGAGAGGTGGGCACAGAGGTAATGGAGGCTCTTGCATGTCCCAGTAAGAGTTTGAACACTATGCAGCATCACCCTCAATTGCACGGGCTTGTGGTTCTAGCCTGGGTCAAAGGTCATGCTTTTGCTAATTTTCCTAGCATCTTTCTCTTTTATTTACAGAGGAAATTTGCCACCCTTATATTGAAAACCGTCTCTGTCATTTATCCCCAGCTTGAAAATATTCATTGGCAAAATAGTTATCTCTGGTGTAGCCAACCTTTTGATTTTCCTGTTCCTGTTCCTTATTCTATAAGCAGATTGGGCCTAAGGTTAACTGCCTGTTTCGGTGCTTGTTAAAATACAAGGTTATGAGGCCGGGCGCGGTGGCTCATGCCTGTAATCCCAGTACTTTGGGAGGCCGAGGTGGACGGATCACCTGAGGTCAGGAGAGGCCTGCCTGGCCAACATGATGAAACCCCGACTCTACTAAAAATACAAAAATTAGCCGGGCATGTTGGCGGGAACCTGTAATCCCAGCTACTCAGGAGGCTGAGGCAGGAGAATCGCTTGAACCCGGGAGGCGGAGGTTGCAGTGAGCTGAGATCGCACCATTGCATTCGAGCCTGGGCACCAAGAGTGAAGCTCCATCTCAAAATAAATAAATAAATAAATAAATATAAATAAATATAAGGTTAGGGCTCTCCTCATTTTGCCATTGCCCAGCCCAGTGAAACATTAACTTGTTTGATTTTGCCAGTATGTCTCTCACACGTTTCCTAGTACAGGTAAAACAGTGTTACTTGCCACCAACCGACTCATTTATTTCGTAGGCATTTACTATTTGTATTTTCTGTACCCACCCCTGTGCTGGGGACCGGGAATATGAGGAGGATGAAGGCAAAGTGTTAACAATTTGCTCCCAGAGCAAGTAAACCACCTGGAAAACACAGGGTGTGTAAGTGCCCTGACGTGGGTGAGCTCAGGCGACTGATATCCTGGAGGAGGGTCCCTAACTCAGAGTGGGGGGAGGGATCTGAAAAGGCCTCCTCTTTTAGACTGGCATCTTGCAGAAATGGCAGGAGTTACCTGGGGGGAAGAAGTGGGTGATAGAAGGGGGAAGGACGTTTCAGAGAAAGGGAAGAGTATGTGCAAAGGCAGATGGTAAAGAGTAAGCCTGGCTCATGTGGGGGGATTGAGGGGGCTTAGTACTCCTGCATTGTGGAGTATGAAGCTGAAAGGCACAAAAGATGAACCCTGAATGCCTGGCCGGCCTTAAAGGGCCCAGTGGCCGTGGTCAGGTGTTTGGACTTGATCTTATAGGCATTTTGGAGTCACTGAAGGGTTTTAAGCAGGGAGTGACATGGTCCAGTGAACAAGCTCTCCCAAACCATAGTCATTGCGTGGTTGAAGGTTGAAGATGCAAACACCTGCCTGACCAGAACAAGTCTGATTTTTAAGTACTTTGATGTTAAACCACAGCTAAATATTTGCCATTGTGTAATTGTGACAGGACCGTCATCCACATTCCTAAGGCAAAAGTTTAACTCATTGTGTGCAAGTGGTCATAGCTGTTCACGCTCACATGATATATAATAAGCAGAGAAAGGATCATGCCACAGATTAATAGGCAGAGTTGCTTTTTTTCCAAGTGTTGCATAAAATAATGGTGGCTTTACTGTGGATGGCATCTAACATTTGGTGAAAAAGGGCACGTTAGCTGAGCCTCCTCCAGTTGCAAATGATGGAAAAGCAACATTAAGTGCTTTTTTGTTCTTAAAAAACAAAAGGTCTCACTCTGTCACCCAGGCTGGAGGGCAGTGGTGGGATCTTAGCTCACTGCAGCCTCAACTTCCCAGGCTCAAGGGGTCCTTCCATCTCAGCCTCCCAAGTAGCTGGGACAATAGGCTTCTACCATTATGCCTGGCTAATTTTTAATTTTTTTTTTTTTTTTTTAGAGTCAAGGTCTCACTCTGTTGCCCGAGCTCACAAAGTGCTTTTAGGGGAATAAATTGGCTCTGGCCATTTCTTGCCTTCTCCATCACTACCATTCTTGTCCAAGCCATGTCACAGCTCTTGCTTGGATTATTACAGTCACCTCCCTAAGTCCTTACATGGTCTGTCCCTACCCCCGTCACTGTCCCCTCAATGCAGCATCCAGAGTGATCCTGTTAAAACATGCCATGGGCCAGATCAGTCCTCTGCTCTGCTCAGCCCACCCTCAAATCCTCCCTCCAGCCCTAGGCACAACTTGCATCGTTAAGAAAATAAAAGCTGAAGTCCTTATAGATGCCCATCAGGTGCTACCCTCTGAGACTGCACCTTCCTCTGTCACTCCTGGCTCACCTGCCTCCTTCCTGCTCGTCTGACATGCCCTGCACCCTCACACCATAGCCCTGGCACCTGCCCCTCTTGCCCGAGGGCATCTCCCCCCCAGCCCACTCTCACTTCCTTCGGGTCTCCAGGAAAATGTTGTTGACTCATTAGACTCTCATTGACCACCCTACTTAAAATGTCATTCCAAATCCTTTTCCTTGCTTTATTTTTTTTTGTGGAAATTATCACCATCTATCATAATATTTATTTTACTTATTTTCTTGGTTATTGTCTGTCTTTCTCCACTCAGTGCAAGTACCTTAAATCAGGGATCCACAACCCCTGGGCCACGGACTGTTATCAGTTCGTGGTCTGTAGGAACTGGGCCATCAGCAGGAGGTGAGTAGCGAGTGAGGGAGCATTAATGCCTGAGTTCTGCCTCCTGTCAGATCAGCAGCCGCATTAGGTTCTCATGGGAGTGCAAATCCTACTGTGAACTGTGCATGTGAGGGATCTAGGTTGTGCACTCCTTATGAGAATCTAACTAACGCCTGATGATCTCAGGTGGAACAGTTTCATCCTGAAACTATCCTCCCTCTGTCCATAGAAAATTTGTCTTCCATGAAACGAATCCCTGGTGCCAAAAAGGTTGGGGACCACTGCCTTCAATACAGGGATCTTATGTGATTGTCTCTTCCTAAGGAATTGCAAGCTCCTTAAGGTAGGAGTTTTGCATAGTTTATTCACTTCTGTATCCTTAAGGCCTAAAATAACACCTGTAACATAATAGATGCCTGGTAATTTTTTGGTGAATAAATGAATGAGTGAATGAATGAAGGTGTCAATCTCATCAGCCATGGCTGGAAGCAGGCTCCCCATAATATCAAGAATCTTCATTCCTGGATTCTGTGCTTTATTCTCAGGCGGGCTCTCTCTTCATGGGGCTCCCGCCCCCTCCATGTTGATAGCTCCAGAACTCTGAGTATGGAAAAGAGAGGAGTATCTTTCTCATAGTAGTTGCAGAAAATGTCCCACGGTTACTTTGATGGGCTCTAACTGAGTCTTGGGTATTCTTGAATCAATTACTGTGAGCAGGGAGATTTGAGGCTCTAATTGGCTGGACTGTGTCACATGCCCACTTTTGGATTCAGGGGGTAGAGTCAGCTCCACTTGAGGCATTTGGAATAAGGATCTATGTGAAGAATTTTCCCAAGGGATATTGGAGTATCAACGGAAAAAGGGCAAGTGGACGCTGGGTGGGCAGATAGAAACAAAAAACATCCATCCCCCCCAACCTGTTATTATTGTGTTCCTTGAAGCACAGATTGGGACCCTTTGGTGTATCCTACTTAATCGTTTGATTCCACATCCACCTTTTGCACTAGACTGCAGCCTCCTAAAGAACAGCACTTAGTTGTTTTCCACCTTTGTGTCTGCAAAGCCTAGAATAAGGCCAATGAGGGCATAGAGCGGCCATTTGTTGAATGGAAGATGAAAACAATCACTTATTGGGGGCCAATTTCTTGCATTCCTTTGGGTTCTGGAGCTATTGAAAAACAAACTGATTTATTTCCAGTAAGGTCATTGGAGACTATGCCTTGGATTTGAGACCAGAATGGCCTTCCTACTCCTGTCCTTCAGTTTTGACCTTGAGACTTGCTTGAGCAGAGAACTGGTTTTTCAGCGTGGACCCTACACTGCCAGTAGCTTGGCAGCTCTTAATCATGGTGCACAGAGAACTCCCAAGAAATTCCCAAAAAGAGATAGGACATAGCTAAATGGCAGCCTGTGGTGATTTCTGACTCTTGCATAGTGTGACTCAGGATGTCACCACTCTTCCCAGTGAGAGAGAAGGCAAAGCTTTTCCCTGCTTCTTTCTAGGTAAGACAAAATTCCTACTTTATGGGATCGTAAAGGGGCCTAGAGCTTGGGGGTTGGCTTTCCAACAGTATGAGCTGAAGTGAATAGGTGTTAGGATAGAGGGAGGATTTATGTTGAGTCTTGAGGGAAGGGTTTAAATGCCTCAAGAGATAAAGGATCAGTATTTTAGCAGGATCAAACAGCATAATCTGGTGCTAAGCCTAGGCATTTTTCTGGGAGAACTGGAAAAAACAGATATTCTTAGCATTACACCATTATCTAAAATCTGGACTTTGAGAAATGGCAGACTGAGATGAAGAAACTGTTCTACAAAGAATGTTGAGGGTCCTAACACCCTAAAGGGATATTCTGGTTTACAGAACAGAGACAACAGTGAGGACACATAGTTTAGGATACCAGAGGAGAATTTCTAGTTCAGAAAGACCTGAATTACATAAGAAGAGAAAAACACACTCTATTAGGCTGAGGTCATTCCCTTAGCTAGAGCCAACCAAGGAAAAGATGGATGTCAACGTTGTTAGCAATCCTGGAGTCTTCTTCTTCTCAGTCCTTGATTTTTGTGACCTCCTTGGAGTACCCTTATGCATTGAAGATTTTGGCCTCTGCTTCATCTCTCACAAGTGCTCCATCTGTGAAGTCATCAATATAAATATCTCATTCTTTCAGTGCGGGACATTATCCTGTTTCAACGTGGGAACATTATCACTGTTCACCAACATCCTGTTCCCCTTTACTTTTCATGCACACACACAAAATTATACCTCCTTGTCCCCTTGAAGTTATGTGAGACCATGTGACTTGTTTTGGTCCATTTGAGCTGAGATGACATATGTCACATCTTGGAGAAAGTATTGAAGACCTAGTGAGTGTCACTTTATATCACTCCATCTTGGAGCAACCACAGTGATCTACATGGTGGAACTTATTTCAGTCTGGTTCCCAGAGTGAGAACAACATGGATCAGAGATCACACTCACTGCTAGCCAGCCTGCACTGAGACATGGCATGAGTGGGACAGACTCTTTTCCCATCTTTTTTTGTTTTGTTTTGTTTGTTTGTTTTTGAGACAGGGTCTCTGGCGCCCAGCTGGAGTGCAGTGGTGTGATTGTGACTCACTGCAGCCTCAACCTCCCCGGCTCAAGCAATCCTCCTGTGTCAGCCTACAAAGTAGACCATAGGAACACACCACCATGCCCTGCTAGTTTATTTATTTATTTTTTATTTATTTTACTTATTTATTTTTTGATATAGAATCTCTCTCTCTGTCTCCCAGGATGGAGTGCAGTGGCGTGGTATCAGCTCACTGCAACCTCTGCCTCCCAGGTTCAAGCGATTCTCATGCCTCAGCCTCCCCAGTACCTGGGATTACAGGCAGGTGCCACCATGCCCAGCTAATTTTTGTATTTTTGGTAGAGATGGGGTTTCACCATGTTGGCCAGGCTGGTCTCGAACTCCTGACCTCAGGTGATCTGCCCACCTTGGCCTCCCAAAGTTCTGAGATTACAGGCGTGAGCCACCACGCCCAGCTGCTTTTTTTTTTTTTTTTTTTTTTTTTTTTTGTAGAGCTGAGGTTTTGGGGTCTGTTGCCCATACTGATCTTGAATTCCTGTGTGCAAGCAATCCTCCCACCTCAGCCTACCAAAGTGCTGAGATTACAGGAGTGAGCTACTGCTCTTTTGCTGTCTTAAGCCACTGAGATTTGGGGCTGCTCATTACCACAGTATAACCACGCCTATCCTGACTGGTACACCTACCCAAACCAGCCCACCCTCAAGGAGAATGCATTCACTATTTTACAATTAAGTATTATATTAGCTGCATTGTTATTGTAGATACCCTTTATTGCACGGAAGATGTTTCCTTCTATCCTGATTTGCTGACAGTTTTTATTGTTAATGGCAGTTGAATGTAAGCAAATACCTTTTTCTGCATCTATTGAGATGATATGTGACTTTTCTTCTTTTTGTGATCAGACAAAGAATTATACTGATTGATTTTTAAATGTTAAATCAACTTTTCATTCTTGGGGTAAACACCACTTCATCATGATGTGATATATTCTTGGATTTGATTTGCCAACGTTTTGTTTATAACTTTTTAATAAGAAGATGTTATAAACCGTACGCCAATACATTCGAAGTGGACAAAATACTCTATAAAAGCACAACTTGCTGAAAATAATACAGGAGAAATTTAAATATCAGAATAGAACTAAATCTGTAATAAAACTTTCCCATGAAGAAAAGTCAAGGCTCAGATATCTTCATAGGTAAATTCTTCCAAACATTAGAAATAATAATAATACTCTACAAACACTATCAGAGAATAGGAAGGAAGAGACATTTTTTAATGGCTTTATTAAGTTTTTGTATCAATGTTATACTGGTCTCATTAAAAGAATTAGGAAGTATACCAAACTTTGGGAGAGTTTGTGAAGGACTGTTATTATTGTTATTATTTTGAGACAGAGTTTCGTTCTTGTTGCCCAGGCTGGAGTGCAAAGGTGTGATCTTGGCTCACCACAACCTCCACCTCCCGGGTTCAAGTGATTCTCCTGCCTCGGCCTCCCGAGTAGCTGGGATTACAGGCATGTGCCCCTACGCCCGGCTAATTTTGTATTTGTAGTGGAGACAGAGTTTTTCCACGTTAGTCAGGCTGGTCTCGAACTCCCAACCTCAGGTGATCTGCCTGCCTCAGCCTCCCTAAGTACTGGGATAACAGGTGTGAGCCACTGTGCCCGGCCAGGACTGTTATTATTGATAAGTTTCAAGTTTATTGACATAACATTATTCATATCCTCTTATTATCTTTTTCAGTGTTTGTAGGATCTGTAGTGATAACTCCTTTTTCAATTCTGATTTTGGTAATTTGTGCTTTCTTTTTCATCTTTTTTGATTGGCCTTTCTTGGTTTATCAGTTTTTAAATTTAAAAATAACTTTTGCTTTAATTTTTATTTGTTTTCTTTTTGATTCACTGATTTTTTAAAAATAGTTTTCTTCTGTACACTTTTTGGTTTAATTTACTGTTCTTTTTCTAGGTTTTTGAGATGGAGCCTTAGATCATTGATTATACTTACGTATTCTACACTTTATTTTTTATTTCACTTAGGAGTTTCCAATGGAATTAGTTTCCTTTGATGAAGTATTCTCTTCATCATTTCTTTTATTGCATGCTTTGTAGTGACAAATTTTTTCACTTTGTACTTGTCTGAAAATGTTTTTATTTAGACTTTACTTATGAGTGAGTCTTTTGCCAGTTATCAAATTCTATGTCAGCAGGTTTTTTTCTTCAGCATTTTGAAGATATGATTTATTGTCTTTTGCCCTCCATTGTTTCTGAGCAAAAGACAGCTGCCAGTTCTATTTTTGCTCCTTTTAAGCTTGTATGTTTTTCTTGCCAAACTGCTTTTAAGAGTTTATATTCCCTTTCAGAAACTTGATGATGTGCATAGGTATGATGATCCGGCCATCTCTGTTTGTTGTTAGTGCTTCTTGAATCTGTATCTTAGTGGCTTTGTTAGTGTTGGAGGATTTTTATTTTGTCATTTAACATTGTTTCTGACATTTTCCCCTTCTCCTTACATTATCAAACTCAAATTGCAAAAGCATTAGACCTTATCACTATGCCCCATCTGGCTTTGACAATACTTCTTTGCTTTTTGTTCTTTTTTCTCTCCTTGTTTTTAGTCTGAATATCTTCTTCTGGCCTATCTCTTTTTTAGTCACTTCAGGTCTGTCTGCTATTAAGTACAGCCATTAACTTCTTAATGTTATTCATTGTGTTTTTAGTTCTAGAATTGTCCGTCGGTTCTCTTTTATGGCTTTCAAATTCCTGCTGAAATTCTCAAAACTTGCCTTTTAATGTCTTAAACATATTAACCAAGTTCATTTGGAAGGTATGTTTGATAACTCCATTATTTGGTAACCCTGTGGGTCTATTTCCATTGTCTATTGTTTCATTATAAGCATGTTTTGTTCTCTAATTTGCCTTTTTGTAAAAAAATTGCATGCTGGGTATTACATAGGAAATAGTATAGAGATAATTTGAGGCTTTGAATGATATTATATTTCCTAGAAAGATTTTCCTTCTGGTCTTTGCAGGCATCTGTGCTATAGGTGATAGGAATCATGCTTCATCTTAAATCCTCACAGAGATTCAAATGGTCTGGAGTCCTGTGAGGGCTGGTCTATGTTTCACACTTACTGCTAGAATGTAGCTCTGTGGTGTTCTTACCAAAGCCTGGGTGTTTACCAAGCCTCCTCCTCTTTGGTAGTTCCTGATGTTCAGTGTTTGTCGCCTCCCTGAAGCCTGCAAGTGCTTCCAAAGCAGCTCCTCAGCTTCTTGGAATCTGCTTTCCTGATTGGCAGGTTCCACTTGCTGTGCCCATTTCTTTGAACTTTCCTTTCTCCTGGATATTTGTCCCAAAGTTCTTTCTTCCCTTGATAGCTCTGTAACTCCTCCAAACAGATTTTTCAAAAGTATATTTTGTACAGTTACAGTTTTACTTAGCAGGAAGGTTGACCAAAAATATTCCAGTCCACCAGAAGCAGAACTCCTCTCCTCAGTATTTATCTGTACACGAGCGCCTTCTGTTTCAAAGGTAAGCTCTCCCTAATCCCCATGCTACCTAAGATCTACTACCCAACTCTCCTCACTTTCATAACAGAGCTTCGTGAAGAAGCAGCCCACACTTGGTGTCTTCACTTTCTCGATGATAACATATTCCTCAAATCACTACATCTAACTTGTCATTTTAATTAAGCAGCTCTCACTAGGGTCATCGTGAGCTTTTTGTTTCTGAAGGCATCAGGTAACTGTAAGTTGTGTCTTTTTGGGACACACACAAAATGAGCCAACTCATGAACCTCACCATCCAACAGAAGAAATAGAGCATGTAGAATTCCCCTGAAGCTCCTTGAATGTCCTCCACTCCCTTTCCCATGTTTTCGAACTCCTAAACATTACAATGTTTAGTTTTGTTGTTGTTGTTGTTGTTTTTTTGAGACGGAGTCTTGCACTGTCGCCCAGGCTGGAGTGCAGTGGCACAATCTCAGCTCCCATTGCAAGCTCCGCCTCCCAGGTTCACGCCATTCTCCTGCCTCAGCCTCCCAAGTAGCTGGGACTACAGGCACCTGCCACCATGCCCCGCTAATTTCTTGTATTTTTAGTAGAGATGGGGTTTCACCATGTTAGCCAGGATGGTCTCGATCTCCTGACCTCGTGATCCGCCCGCCTCAGCCTCCCAAAGTGCTGGGATTACAGGCATGAGCCACCATGCCTGGACAGTTTTTATTGTTTTTGAAATTTATAAAAATGGTAGCATGTTTTATGTGTTTTTGTATAATTTGGTGTTTTCACTCAAGATTACACTTCTAGAATTCATCCTTGCTGCTGTGAGTAGCTGCCATCTATTCATTTTCATTACTGTTCCATTCAGTTACTATAGTGTAACTCATTTATTTTTTCTTCGGACACTGATTGCACTGTACTGCTTCTAGTTTTTTACTATTGTGAACCATACGGCTGTGAACAATTTTGTGTATGTCTCCTGTTGCATATATATCAGATTTCCTCTAGGATATATGCCACAGGAGAGCTGCTAGGTCATAGCACAGGTGTGTGTCCAAATTTCATAAGATGATGGCAAATTGTTTACCAACGTGATCATATTAATTTACACTCTGGCAAGCCATGTGTAGGCATTTCCATTGCTCTACATCAGCACTGTTCTATAGAAATGTGACTCAGTCGACAAATGTGAACCACATATGTAATTTTTAATAATACATTTTATTTAACCAAACATACCCCAAAGATTATCTTTCTTTTTTTTTGTCTTGAGAGAGTCTCGCTCTGTCACCCAGGCTGGAGTGCAGTGGTGCGATCTTGGCTCACTGCAACCTCCACCTCCCAGGCTCTAGTGATTCTTCTGCCTCATCCTCCCGAGTAGCTGGGACTACAGGTGCCCGCCACCATGCCCAGCTAATTTTTGTATTTTTAGTAGAGACGGGGTTTCACCATGTTGGCCAGGCTGGTCTTGAACTCCTGACCTCAAGTGATCCACCAGCCTTGACCTCCCAAAGTGCTGGCCAACTTTCAATGTGTCATTTCAGTGTGTAATAAATACCAAAATTATTGAGATATTTTACATTAGTTTATTCACACTGTGTCTTTGAAATTGAGTGCATATTTTACACTTTCAGCATGTCTTAATCTGGGTTAGCTACAATTAAAGTGTTCAAAAGTCACATGTGGCTATTAGCTAACTTATCGAACAGCATACCTTTATTTCCTCGCCAATATTTATTACTGTTGACTTTTCATATTTGCCAATTGATTGAGCATACAATAGTATTTCATTGTTTTAAATTGCGTTTTTATTGAGGTTGAAGTGTCTTTATATATTCAGTTCCCAGTCATGTTTCTGGTTTTATGAAGTTCCTGTTCATAACTTTGTTAATTTTTTAATTAGTAGTCTGTCTTCTTTGATTGACTTGTGGCTCTTTATATAGTCTACATGACATTTCTTTGTCAGTTATGTGCTGCAAATATTTTATTCTGTTTTGCAATTTCACTTTTCAAGCCTTTTATGATATCTGTTGACATCATAAATGCCTTCATTTTAATTTAGTCATACTTATTAAGCTTTCCTTGTGGTTTCCTTGTGGTTTATATTTTGTGTATAAATATGTATATGCATAAATATGTATATTTATACACAATATATAATATATAAAAACATATATGATATATATTTATTATATATTACATGTAAAGATATATTTATTATAATATATAATTCTGTACTTACATAAACATAATTATATTACATAAATATATACTTATATACATATATAATATATAAATATATACTTATATACATATAATATATAAATATATACTTATATACATATAATATATAAATATATACTTATATACATATAATATATAAATATATACTTATGTTATATACATATATAATATATAAATATATACTTATATACATATATAATATATAAATATATACTTATATACATATATAATATATAAATATATACTTATATACATATATAATATATAAATATATACTTATATACATATATAATATATAAATATATACTTATATACATATATAATATATAAATATATACTTATATACATATATAATATATAAATATATACTTATATACATATATAATATATAAATATATACTTATATACATATATAATATATAAATATATACTTATATACATATATAATATATAAATATATACTTATGTTGTATACATATATAATATATAAATATATAATATATAAATATGCATATATAATTATATAATATATAAAAATATATTTCTCCATAAGAAAACCTTCTCCTCCTTAAGATTTATGCATATTATTTATTGATGCAATATTTCTTCTTAGTTTCAGTGACATTACACCCTCCAAGGTTGCCCCCTGCTTTTCTGGCTGTTCCTTCTCCTTCTTCTTTGCAAGGCTGGCTTCCTGTCACTTGCAACGAAGCCTGGAGTTCAAGACTGAGCAATTGGACCTCTTACTTAGCTTTTTGTACTATCTCCCTGGGTGATCTTGTCAACCCCTGCATGTTCAGTCACTCTGTGTCAGTCAGGGTGCAGTCAGGACCCAGAACCTACACCAGTTTTCAAAAAGGGAAAATGTAATTCCAAGAACTGTCAACCAGTAAAAAGGTTAACTACTAAGTAGAGTCAAAGAGGACTCTAGGAGGTATAGAAGCAGCAACTTCAGCAAAACACCTAGTCTCTCTAGGGCTGAGGAAGAGTGAACACATAAAAGAACTCAGAAACTTAGAAGGTGGCCCCCTTCTCCGTGAAGTCTGTGATTCACATGTCTCTGGAGAAGGCATTGTTGCCACAATAGGCAGCCCACTGAGTGGCTGCAAGTGGTCCATGAGTGCCACTTAGATGAGGGCTACTAGGCCCCCTGGACACCATCCCGCTGAATGCCACATGGAAAATACACTGGAAGAAGGAAGAAAAGTCCTTCTTCTCACTCCGATCTTGCAGTGTCTCGCCTGTGCCTTGATTGGCAATGCCTAGCACGAGGCCAGCTGGAAAAGGAGAAATGTCTACAGGGTCCAGCTCCAACATCACAAATTTGATTTGGAGCTGAGAGTCAATAAATTAATAACTAACATATATTTTTATATGACAGTGACTCAGTAATTTTTTTTGTTTTGAGACAGAGTCTTGCTCTGTTGCCCAGGCTGGAGAGCAGTAGCGTGATCTTGGCTCACTGCAACCTCTGCCTCCCAGTTTCAAGCAATTCTCCTGCCTCAGCCTGCCAAATAGCTGCGATTACAGGCATTCACCACCACACCCATCTAATTCTTGTATTTTTAGTAGTGACAGGGTTTCACTATGTTGGCCAGGCTAGTCTCAAACTCCTGGCCTCAAGTGATCTGCCCGCCTCAGCCTCCCAAAGTGCTGGGATTACAGGTGTGAGCCACCATGCCTGGCCAGACTCAATAATTTTTTACCTTAATTCACATTTCTCCTCGGATTTCCAAACCTCTGGTTTCCTATTTATAATTCCATTTGGATATCTCAAAAGAATTATTATCTCAAATTCAACACAACTTCACCAAACTAATTTTCTTCCAGAATTTCCTAGTTTAGTGTATAGTGTCATTATCCCTTCAGTTACAGAAGACAGCATGTCTCAGGTTTTTCTCTTATCCCCACAAATCCAATTAAGCACCTGGCTATGTTGATTTTATCTCCTAAATAGCTCACAAATCTGCCTGTCTTTCCAGCCACACCAACCTCAGTTCAAACATCACGTTTCATGTGGACTCTCCTGGGCTTCCTGACTGGCCTCCCTGTCTTCTCTTGCACTTTCAGAACATTCCCCACTCAACAGCTAGAAAATAGCTTCAAATCACAAGTATGATCGTGTCGGTTCCTTGCTTAACATTTTTTCAATGGCTTCCATTGCTCTCCGGTCAAAGATTATAACCTGTAATACATCCTTCAGAACCCTGTATGGTCTAAAACCTGCCCAGCTCTCCCAACTCACTGCAAGCTGTGTTCCCCTTCACTGAATGAGTTCAATTAGTCACTGCACTTAAAGTTTTCAGCCAAATCTCTGGCACATGACAACTGTCCCATAAACTTAGCTATTTCTTCCTCTTGTAATCAATGTTATTATTTATACTCTTCAACCACACAGCCATTCTTTCAGTTTTGAAAAAGTTTACTCCTGCCCCAGGACCTTACTGTATGTTGTTCTGTCCCCTGAAACACTCTTTCCATCTTATCCCATTTGACTCAGTCATCTCCCACTTATCTTTCTTCAAGATGCCTTATCTGCTTCCTAGACTGGGTAATTCCTCCTAGAAGGTCCCTGAAATTATCACATGCTCCTTCATAGCATTGAACACAGTTGTAATATTGCATTTACTCTTGTGGCTCTTTCATTAAGTCAGTATATTAGTCTGTTTTCACACTGCTGATAAAGACATACCTGAGACTGGGTAATTTATAAAGGAAAGAAGCTTAATGGACTCACAGTTCCAGTTCCACGTGGCTGAGAAGGCCTCACAATTATGGTGGAAGGCAAAAGGTACATCTTGCATGGCAGCAGGCAAAGAGGAAATGAGAACCAAGTGAAAGGGGTTTCCCTTATAAAACCGTCAGATCTCATGAGACTTATTCACTACCATGAGAAAAGTATGGGGGAACCACCCTCATGATTCATTTATCTCCCACTCGGTCCCTCCCCCAACACATGGGAATTATGGGAGCTACAATTCAAGATGAGATTTGGGTGGGGACACAGCCAAACCATATCAGTCAGTCACCCCCACAAGACCATAGACTCCACAAGGATGGGGTCTGTGGCTCTTGAGGTGTCTCCTGTGGGCCCCACTGCTTTAGAAAGTGTCTATCATTATAGCTGCTGGTTCTTGAGTATCAGAATAGACTAAGGAAAATCACCGTGTAAACTTATAAAGGTTACAGGTTCCTTCCCAGTATCTAAAGGAGAAAGCCTAGGGAAAGGGAAAATAAAATTATACTTAATAAATACCTACTATGGGCCAAACATTTTTATACATAATATGATCTTTATTTTTATTTTTATTTCAATAGCTTTAAGGGTACAAGTGTGTATTAGTCCATTCTCACACTACTATAAAGAAATACCTGAGACTGAGTAATTTATAAATAAAAGAGGTCTAATTGGCTCATGGTTCTGCAGGCTGTACAGGAAGCATGATGGCTTCTAGAGAGGCCTCAGGAAACTTTCTATCATGGCGGAAGGCGAAGGGGAAGCACGCACATCTTACATGGCTGGAGCAGGAGGATAAGAGAGAGGGAGGAGGTGCCACACATTTTTAAACAACCAGATCTCATGAGAACTCTATCATATGAACAGCACCAAAGTGGGAAGTCCTCCCTCATGATCCAATCACCTCCCACCGGATCCCACCTCCAGCACTGGGGATTATAATTCAGCATGAGATTTGGGCAGGGACACAAATCCAAACCATATCAAAGTGGATGAATTGTGTAGGTTACTTTCAATGGCAAAAACCGCAATAACTTTTGCACCAACCTATACAATTCATCCATTGAAAGTTAACTTTCAATGGCAAAAACTGCAATAACTTTTGCAGCAACCTAATATAATGGTGAAGTCTGAAATTTTAGTGCACCAGTCACTGAGGTAGCATACATTGTACCCAATGTGTAGTTTTTCATCCCTCACTCCTTTCCCATTCTTCCCCCGTCTGAGTCTCATGTTCATAATACCACTCTGTAAGCCTTTGCACACCTTAGCTCCCACTTATAAGTGAGAACATACAACATTTGGTTTTCCACTCTTGAGTTACTTCACTTGGAATAATGGCCCCCAGTTCAAGCCAAGTTGCTGATATCTAATGTTTAGAATAACAGTGTGAGAGAGGTTTTGTTAGCTCCATTTTATACCTGGAGATATGGGGATTTCCAAGAGGTTAACTAAGTTGTCTTAGGTGACATAATTGTGGTGCTTGGTCTCACTTCTTTCTGTATAACTGAAAAGCTCTTTCCCTCATGTTGGCCTTTCCTAAGACTCAATAATTTGCATCCCACCTGCAGAATTATTATTATTTTTTTTACCATAGCTGTGTACTACCTGTACTATTGTTTAATACTTTTCTCTATCTTGACCATGACTTTAATAGAATTTTTTTGCAAGGAAACTTTATATTTCTGCTTTAAATTGGAGCCAGATTGTGACTACTATAAATAGAAAATGAGATAAAATAAAAATTAAGACGGATGCAAAACAATGATATTCAGTGTAGTGAGATGTTTTTCATTAACGTATTCATTATTTGCATAGTTACCTTTTGTGTGTGCATGTGTATGTGGCAAGAACACGTAAGACCTACTCCCTTGGCAAATTTCCAGTATATAGTATGTTATTATTAACAACGGTCACCAATGATATTGTTAACCTTTTGTAGACCTTTAGTTTGCAACTTGTTCCATGGATAATTTTGGAATGGATTTGTAAATGTGTGAATGAGCAGTAGTGCTGCATGGCAGTTGTACAGATGCAGGGTTGGAGCTGTGGAGAGGTCTGCAAGGTATGCCCAGCTTAGGGGTTTGTGTTTTAGTTCAAGGTAATGGCAGGTTCTCTTTTTTTTTTTTTTTTTTTTGAGATGGAGTCTCGCTCTGTCGCCCAGGCTGGGGTACAGTGGCACAATCTCGGCTCACTGCAAACTCCACCTCCCAGGTTCACAATGGCAGGTTCTTGAGGGAGTTTGAGCCCCACACTTTCTTTTTGACACTGGAGCTGCAGCATGTGCTCTTTTAGGCAGCTCTCTAAACTACGTTCCACCTTCCAGCCCAGCTTAGAGATAGGCTATGGGCCTTGTGCTTATGTATATCTGAGATGTACCAGGACCCCTGTCCAGGTCCATCATGGAATCTTTCAGCAGGGATGCTCCTGACATAGCACAGTGGTTAAGAGCACAGACTCTGAAGCTGCATTGCCTGGAGTCGAAAGCTGCCTCTGCTACTTCCTAGCTGAGTGATCTGAATAAGTTTCTTCACCTCTCTGACCCTCAGTCTCCTCATGTGTAAAGTGAGGGTTAAATGGTACTTACTTCATACATTGATGTCAGTACTAAATGAGTTAATGTACGTAAAGTGCTTACACAGTCTGGCAGTAATAAGTACTATATAAGATTTATTAAAATTTTATGACTGAAGATTCTATGTGGAGGTCAAAGGCACAGATTTTGGGATCACACAAGTCTGGTTTCAAATCCTGCCTTTTCTGTGTGTGGGCTATGTTACCTTGGGCCAACTACTTATCCTCTCCGAGCCTCAGTTTCTTCTGCTGAAGAATGGGGATGCAC
Organism: Homo sapiens; assembly: GCF_000001405.40. Classification (NCBI taxonomy): domain Eukaryota; kingdom Metazoa; phylum Chordata; class Mammalia; order Primates; family Hominidae; genus Homo; species Homo sapiens. The sequence continues at coordinate 5,069,916 of NC_000004.12, forward strand.
TCTGACATGGTCCTTGTGAGGATGGAGTGAGGTAACCATAGGTCAATGGCTTCATCATACAGTGTGCAGCACTTAGGAGGATGCCTGGCTCAACACAGGAGGCACAAAACATGGAGAGAAGGCAGGCAGGGGGCTGCTGTTTATTCAGCCAGAAGAAGGTGGCTCTGGCTTCCTCCCAGCGAACATTCCATCCCAGCTGTCAGGCGGTTCTTTCTCATTTCCATTCTCCTAGGAAACAGCACATTCTGATGGACTCTGCCCTCAAAGCTTCTTTGGCTGAACCCTCGTGCTACCTGTCAGGAAGGCAGAGGCCCGTTCTTAGAAGTCTGACTCTGGCAAGTAGTGTGGAACTGGTGGTTGAGGAGCAGCGTCCTCTTGTCATGTTGTTGCTGCTGATGTGGATCAAGCTGACTTTCGTGTCCTGGAGTGTTGTTTTTGCTGTATTTCTTGGCAGCCCCTATGGAGAGACTGGGGGCTGGAATGGGGACTTAGAGAGGATTAGATAGTGAGCCCCCGTCCTTTAGAAAATATCTGTCATTGTAGGGGCTTGAGGGGAAAACAATAAAAGTCCTTGGATGCCTAATGCTTAGGTTGAATTGTGTCTTCCAAAATAAGACGTGTAGAAGCCCAAACTCTGATTACTTTGGAAATGATCTTACTTGGAGATACAGGATAATCAAATTAAAATGAAGTTGTTAGGGTGGGCCCAATACAATCCAAGTGGTGTCCTTGTGAAGAGGTGAAATTTGGACACAAAGACACAAGTAAGAAAGGATATGGTAAGAGTTCCTTGGCGGTTCCATTCTCTCAGAGCAGCATCGCTCTCTTTCTGTGTTTGAAGCAAGTTATTCTGGTTGGAACAGAACATGCAGCCTTTTAGGGCCATCAGTGTCCTGAGCACCCAGCTGTGGATAAAACCCACTTATTTTGCACTCCCTTTGTATCCGGCGGAACCTCCTGAGTCCACAGAAGGCCGTCCCACAAGAAGGCGTTCCTAGGCATGAAAATGGAGGAATGGTGGATGGGTGCACTGAGCGTATAACCTCTGCTCCTGTACATGCTCCGTGGTAATTGCTTCCAGAGCAAAATCTCAAAGACAAAAGAGCAATAGCAGATCATTAAAACAAGCACCGGGCCCTCCTGAGTGCAGAATGCTGTATGCACAGGTTGCAGGTCCCTGAAGCTGGCTCTATTAGTAGAAGACGAGGAGACACTTAATGGTTTTAATATGGGGAGTGATGTGACCAGGTTTTCAGTTTGCAGTGATCACGCTAGGTGCAGACTGAAGGATGGTTTGGCAGGGGAAGAAATTGGTCGCCAGGAAAACATGTTACTCCACAAGAAAGAGGAGGGCTGCAAATGCCCATACTATTGGCTATGTTTGCATATATGTATACAGTTACTTTTAACCACTATACATTGATGTACATATGAACACAAAAATATGCCTACAGATGCTTTACAAACCTTCCATCTCCTTGATCCTGTGGAAAATGCCAGTGAATTCTCACTTGTAGGAAACAAAGCTTATCAGACTCAATATAATTGTGCTGCAGCAGAATCCTCTACCGTTCATTTAAGTGGTATAAGATATTTATAAATTCCATTTAAAATGTAATTATTTTTAAGCACACTTTCCAAACAAAATCGAAAAGTCATTGCATGTCATATTTAATAAGTTTCAACACAGTTTCTTAACCCTTCTCTCCAGAGTATAATTATGCCATCAATCTTCCTGGAGAATCAAAGGAGCTTAGCAGAACACACCTTTCATGCATTAACCAGAATTATGTTTGCTTAGGATTTGCATTTGAAAGTGATTTGCATTGGCATTTTATTTCTTCCAGAAAATAACAAATGTTTCTGATCTTTCTGAGGTATCATGGTCTTAAACTGTGGCTATAAATCTTTCAGAACTTTTATTTTACCAATTCCTTTAATTTCTGTGATATGATGGGTAGGGAGAGAAACAAAACTATAATTGAGAAACATTTTTCTTTCTTAGCCAGAAAACAAAACACAAGATCAGGCCATGGCATGCAGGTTGCCAATTTGATTTGTTTCTTGTCTTACACCCCCTGGTGACCCTTGTGTGAGATGCCCCAACTCCTCATCTTTCTGGATGCATTTATCTGTTTGTAATTAATGGGAATACGGTGTTAGATTCTGATATAAATTTATGGCTGAAACCTATAGGGCAGAGGTTTTCAAATAGGGTGTTAGTTTGGGATGAGTTTAAAGTAATAGTTATTTAAAATACCACTAGTATATTCTACACTGACAACTCTGTCTTTGTTGTTGTTGTTTGTTTGCAGGCTCAACTTGTACCCTGCAGACTCAAAATTTTAATTGGCAACCCCACATTTACATTGTTACATGGGAATCTGGTAGAAACCTCCAATTGCACTCCTGCTTCTCTTCCTATCCCTAAATGTACCCCTCCTCAGTCTTTCCTACTTCAGCAAGTAGAGATTACATTCCTTCAATTGCTCAGGTTCACACTTTAGAGTCATGCTTGACTTTTCTCTTCTTTGCACATTGCAGAAACCCCCTTACCTGTGCTCTTGTCATTCATGTCCCTTCACTCTCATCTTTCAACCTCATCATTTCAACACCAAGACACTGAGAAATCTAGAACAGGAATCCAAACAGACTCACTGCTGTCATTTGTCTCAGGCTTCCAGTCCCAATTCTGTTTATTTGCAATCATTTGGAGTTTATTCAGACTTATAACTCAGCATTTGATCTACCTTGGTAAACATGCCATCTACACTTGAAAGGAATATATATCCTTCTGTTACTGGTGTACTGTTTCATAAATCTCACTTAGGGTAAGTCTCCCATATCCTTATGGAGTTTTGTTGCTTTTTAAAAAGATAATTACTGAGAAAAAAGTGTTAACATCTTTATGTATGATTGTGAATTTTCTATTATATTTAATTTTGTCAGTGATTATGTATTTTCAAATTATGTTAATAATTATATGCACATTTAGGATTACTTTGCATTCTTGATGAATTGACCCTTTATCATTATAAAGTATTCTCTTTATCTCTGAAAATACTACTTGTTTTGAATTCGACATGGCTGCTGTTAATATGATCACAGCAGCTTTTTAATTTATTTGTATCTTTGAATACAAGCATCACTTTAAATAGCATATAGTTGGGTCTGCCTTTTGTATTTTGCCTGGAAACCTCTGCCTTTTAATTAGAGTATTTGGTATATTTATATTTAATATGATTATTGATGTGGTCAGATTTAATTCTACCACCTTGCTCTCTGTTTTCTATTTGTTTTCTGTGTTCTTTGCTCTATTTTTTCCTTTTTGTGTTTTTTGTTAATCTAATGATTTTTAAAAATTCTATCACAACTATTGGCTTTTAAACTGAAGGTGCTATAGGGATTTACAATATACATCTTTATTTTATCACAGCCTTACTTGCATTATTATGCTACTACAAATGAAAGTTTAAAAACTTATAATAGTATAATTCCATTTTCCCATTTGTTTTCTTATTTTGTAATATATCTTTATTTCTACATGTAATATAAAACTCATGGTATGTGTTATTATTTTTTCTTTAAGTACCAGGTTTTTCTTTAAGAAAAGAAAAATGTTTTGTATTTACCCATGTATATAACGTTTCCAGTGCTCTTAATTACTTCCTATGGATTCAAAGTTTTATCATATATCATTTGTCTTCAGCCTGAATAATTTCTGTTGTGCTTTCAGATAGTACAGGCCTGCTAGGAACAAATATTTTCAGCCTTTATTTAATTAAACATCTTTATTTCACTGTCATTTTTGAAGAATATTTTCACCAGACATAGAATTCTCAGTTGACTTTTTTATTTATTTATTTATTTTAGCAATATCATTCCATTATCTCCTTGACTTTGTTTTTTTCTGAAAAGTCAGCCATTATTCAAACAGTTGTTCTTCTGTAGGTAGTGTGTTTTTTTATTCCTGAATTTTTCTTTATCTTTTATCAGTTTCCCTATGATATATCAAGATGTGGTTTTCTTTCCTTTTATTCTTCTTAGGGTTTGCAGAGCCTTTTGGATTGTGGATTGATATTTTAAATCAAATTGGAAGACTTTCAGCCAATATTTTTTCTATTTTCTACCACATTCTCTCTCTCCTCCCACACATCCCTCCCCCTTTTATTTGTCTCTCTCCTCCTTTTAGAACTTCAGTAACATGTATTTCAGACCACTTGATAGCATTCCACAGACTACCGGAGATTCTGTTCATTTGTAAATATATATATGTGTGTGTGTGTGTGTGTGTGCGCGTGCGTGAAATATATTTCCTTATTTGGCTTCAGTTTGGATACAGTTTTTATTCATCTATCAAGTTCACAGATCCCTTCTGTATTGTCCACCCTTCTCTTTCTAGTCCATGAATTTTAAAATTTGAGATATTATATTTTCTAGTTCTAGGACTTTCATTTTTTTCCCCAAATTTTCTATATTTCTGCTGAAATTCCTCATGCCTTTGTCCACTGTATTTATTTTTTTCCTACAAATTCTTTAAAAATTCTGCTAATTTCAACATCTTAGTCATGTTGGGTCTCTTTCTATGGATGTTGTTTTCTTTACCATGGAACACATTCTTCTGTTTCTTTACATATCTAGTATTTTTCTTTATATGCTAGATATTGTAGATGGTATATTATAGAAGCTAGCATGTGTAAAGCACTAAACACATGTCTGGCACAATAAATATTAGCTAGCATTATCATTTCAGAATGTTTTAATGAATATTACGCTATTTTATTCAATGAACTTTTTATTTCAGATATTGTATCTCTCAGTTATGTGATTTCTACTTGGTTATCTTCCTCTGAGGAGTGTTGAGTTTTATTCCACTAGGAAAATCAATATCTGGAAGTTCATTTTGATCTTCAGATATGTGGTTTCAGACTTTGTTAGAATGGATCTCTTTTGGTTTTGCTTTTCATTCTAGAGTGTATCCTTCACTTCTGGGACTTGGTACTTACTCTTACTACACTTAATTTGAACTTCAAACTCTATGTCTCCAACACTGGGCAGCTACTGAAATCTCTACTAAGCTCTTTCAATTTTTCACCCATTGTTACACTGGGCTCCTTGGAGTTTCACCCCATTCATGCCCATTTCAAGAGACCACCAGGGATTTCAGGGGAGCTTGTATGCACATTTTGGGGCACTGAAATTAATTTTTGTGTATTGTTATTTCTTTAGTATAAATTCTCAACAATGTGATTATTGGAATAAAGGGTGTAAATGTATTTATAATTTATAACTCATAAGACCTTGGCATTCCATTTTTCTTAAGTTTTGTTGCCACTAGTACAGCACAAATGTGATCATTCTGCCATAACTTCTCTTCAAAAACATTTCAACATTGTTGAATTTGTTTTCTTAATTTGGTGGATTTGAAATGAAACCCGAAGGTTTTATTAATGTCCATGACATTGATTCCTTGACAATGTCACTTTTATTCACTTTTTTATATGTCTTCTGTGAAAATCACCTTAAAAATGTTTCTCAATCTTTTTGCTGTGTTTTTGATTTTTTAAAAATATATCTAAGTAGGTTCATAATTCATTTCAGCCATTAACCCTTGTGTCCTCCTTGTGCCCAATTTTATTTTCTCCTCCTTTTAATATTAGTTTATCTTTGGATAAATTGAATCTTAACCAAATTCAATTTTGGTGCAGCATTTTGATTCTTTTATTAAAATACATGCTTATTATAAAAAAATTGAAAAATTTAGGAAACCTGAAAATATTGTCAATAATGGTCATTTTGATAGATTTCTTATTGTTCTCTTTTCAAGAACAGGTTTTTTTCTTTATTCTGCAAATTCACTTTTTATTCTAATTTCCACTTAACAATGTCATATAAATATTCTCCTGTTCTTTCAATAAATATGTATTACTTTGTCTCTACCTTGCACAGTGCAGGGGTCCATGTAATTACATGTTTGCCTGATTGTTTCAGTCAGTTTTTGCTGCATAACATACCAGCCCAAAATTCAGTAGCATATAGCAATAAGCATTTATTTCTTGCTCATGCATCTATGGGACTGCAGCCCTGGCTGGAGATGCTGAATTAACATGGACTAAGTCCTTCTCATGGCAATGGCAGAAGTGCTAAGAGGATAAGCCCAGCTGTACGGGACATTTCACATTTCTGCTTGTATCATGTCTATTACCATTTCATTGGCTGAATAAAGTCACATGACCAAGAGAACCCAAAGTCAAAAGTTGGGGAAGCATACTGTGCTGACGAAGAGTCGATGGCATCCATGTGAATGTAGAGTACGACTAAGGAGGAGTGAAGAATTGGAACAAATAATCCAATCTACCATAATAATAAATTAGTATTATATTTTAACAATTGCATATTATCCTAAGGAGGTACTGTAATTTTCTTCACTTGTCCCCTATTTTGGGGGCATTTAGCTTATTCCTAGTTCCTCTTTCTCATAAACGATGCAAAATTGACCATGTTTGCTTATAAATTTTTTACCTTGCATTCATGATAATTTCCTTACAGTTGTCAATTCCCCAGAGTGGAATTACTAGACAAAAGCATAGGGGCATTTTTAATGTCTTCTGAATCACAATTTGTTGCCCTTTATTGCTGATAAACATTTTTTCTACATTGTTTTTTCACCGACTAGTAAATACTGCATATTCACAAGGCTGATCTATACCAATATAATCTGCATTTCGCATCTTTTCAGCTAATGCTGTGGAAAATGTATGAAAAAGCTGTTGAATTTTAAGTTGATGAACTCTGTACATGGTAATTACAGGTTGAAAAATGGAAATGATGATAAACTTCGCATGTATAAATCTTTGCCACAGTTACAGTGGCCACAATTTCCAGAGTAGATACTGATATCATAGGATCCTTGGACTTTTTTTTATAACTAAGTCTGGATCAAAAGAGAAATATTTATTCCATCATTGTAAAATTTTACTAGGCAGTGAATTTTCTTCCTTTTATATTGTTATGGAAAGTTTAGGTCACTGGGGGAAGAAGTTCAAGGAGGAGAGACAAAGGGAGGCTTCCTTGGTTCAGGCCTCATCATCTGCAGTGATAGGCTCTGGACAGACGATGCTTTTATGTGGAGGACTCCAGATTATCCGAGATACATCCCTGAACTGTAAGCTCCATGTGGGCAAGAACCTTTTCTGCCACATTTCTTTCTGTACATGCAGCAACTAGAAAACTGTGTGGCACTCCTTCCTTTTTATGTAATATTTGTCGAATGAATAAACGAGTCTGCTAGTGTACTGTACATTTAATATGGTCCCCCATGTCAGTTTACCAAAGAGAGATAAAGCGGAATATCAGCAGAAATATTATCCCACTACCTTGTCTATCTCCTTGCTGCACGCAGGCATTTCCTTTTACAGTCCAACCCTCTTGGTGGTGCTTCCTTATCCCCCAGTCTCACCCTAGGCACTCAGATGTCACTGCCGTTGCCACAGTTTCCCCAACCAGCTGTGAGGGCAGACACCCACTGAACTCAAAACAGCTTTGGAATTCTCTTTAAGACACTTCCAGGCAGCTTCTCTGCAGCAATCAGAATGGGTGCTTGAGGTAGAGCCTCTCCCTGGCTGACCCCATTGCACAGCCTTCCTGTGGGTCCACCTCCCCAGCCCTTTTCCCAAGATCTCTTCTCTTCTCCCTTGCAGCCAAGGTTAGATGCTCAAAATACCTCTTACCTATTTCCTAGCCTAAGACACCTGGCAGCTTTATATAACAACTCCAGTACCGTGCAATCCATAGCAAAGAGGCTGCGGGGGAAGGCAGGAAATCAGGTTTCCCTTATAACATCAGGGAGTCTTAGAGCCCTGGAGAATCCCAAACATTTTAACAGTTTCAAGCCTATTTTAGGGCAGACTCTATGGCAGGAGCTTCATCCTGTAGGATGCTTTTGTCTTCAGGTAATAGAAAAGGCAACAAATAATAACTTAAACTGTGAGGATATTTCTTGTGTAATTAACAAGAAGTCCAGAAGGAAGTGGCCCAGGGTGCAATAATGTCATTGAAAACCCTGGTTCTTTCTGTCCTGCTGCACTGTTGTCTGATTATGGGCTTTTTCACACATCTCTTCTCTCAACGTCTTAACATGGCTGCCACAGCTCCCACAAATCCCCATACGATAGTGTCCAGAGCAGGAAGAGCGTAAAGGAGGAAAGGGGCCTTTTCTTCTCTTGCCTCTTTTATAAGGGGGCACAATACTTCCTGGAAGCTATGTGCAGACTTCCCCTTGTAGCTCATTGGTCAAAAGTAGGTCATGTGTCCACACCCTGGACCAATCACTGGCCAAAATGTGCTGGACTTCCATATATGTCCTAGATCAACAAGGATTCACTCTCTAGAACTTTGTCAAAGAAAACCAGGAAGAAATTAGAATGGCTTTAGGGTAGAAAAGCTAGGGTCTGTTAGCCTGAAAAAACAAAAACAAACAAAGACTGAAACAAAACAAACTGACATGATATGAAAAGAGGAAGCTAAAAATTCAAGTAAAATGCAAGGCCACATTATTGTGAAGTTAATATGTGCAAGGTGGGTCTTTGCCACTAGCCAAATATTGATAAGTTCTGGGGGTCTAGAATGTTGGGGATTCAACTACGTCCGAACCTGTCTGAGCTCCAGATTCTGTCTGGCATCTCCTGGTGGCATTTGTTCACTCTGATTTAAGTATTACTTGGGATGCCTCCTTGTTGGATTCAGAGAGAATTTTGGGGACTGATGGAGCACCCTCCATCTACCTGCTTCCCAAGTCAAGGTTGCCAGAGTTTCCCTGCCTGGCCTTGGCCTCCCCTTCTCTCCCCTGCCCACCTTTCCCAGAAGACCCCCTCCACCCTCTATTACTCTTCTCCCAGAAGATCAAACTCTGCCTTTGAGAAGGGGGGGCCAGCACAGGGAAGTGGAGTTATAGTGGAATTGGTGCTAGCACCGGTTTTAGTGTATTTCAGTTTCTGTCACAACAACCCATGAAATTAGAATAACTATCTCTGTTAAAAGTAAAATTGTTTTTTTATATAAAATGAAAGTAAAAATGTTGAAAACGCTGCAGTTAGAAGAAAAAAGCGTTCTCATCACCCAGAGACAATTGTTATGCCTTAGCAATTCCTCTCCAAACTTTTTTTAGTAAGCTTTTTTTACATCCTAGTCATACTGCATTACATTTTGTATTGCCAGAATATGTTTTAAACTCTTAAAAATGTTTAATGGCTGCAGAATACTCCATCATTGGGCCATACAGTAATTTATTTAACTATATTCCTATTGTTGGATGTTTGGGCCCTTTCCAGTGTTTTATTTTTAGAAATAAGAATGTATAAATTGTATACATAAAACTGCACTTTTTGCTGTTTTCTTAGAATAAATTTATTGAAGGAAAATATACAAGGTGAAATTTATAAACATTTTTCTATCAATCTTGACTTTATTCCCAAATTATTATTCATAAAATTTATGCCAGTTCTTGGCTCACTGCATCCTAGCCAGGAAAGAGACATATTTTAAAGTTTTGCTCATTAAGAAGGCAAAATTTCAATCTCATTGGTTTAAATGAGATTCTTGTTGCTTAGAGAGTTAGAAAATTTTCATACATGGTTATTACTATGTGTCTAAAACTGAAATCTTTATCTTCACCCTTAAACAGCTGCTGCCTGCAGTTAATGGAAACTCCATCTTTTGAGAGGCCTAGGTCAAAATTTTGGGGTCATCCTTGATGCTTTGATTACTCTTCCACCCCTCATTTCTCACTCAGTCTACAATGAATCCCTCTGCATGACCCCTACTGTTCCCAGCTGGGCCAGGCCACTGTACTCTTTTGTCTGAGTCACTGCAGTAGTCTGGACTATTGCCATTTGCTACAACATGAATGAAACTGATGGACATTATGCTAAATGTAGTAAGCCAGACACAGAAAGACAAATACTCCATGATCTCACTTATATGTGATCTCTAAAAAAAGCCAAACTCACAAAAGCAGACAGTAGGATGGTAGTTAAGAGAGGTTGGGGGCTGGGGAATATAGGGGGCTGTTGGCTAAAGGGTACAGACTTTCCCATATAAGATCAAACCGTTCTGGAGACCTAATGGTACGGCATGGTGACTAGAGTTACTAATAGTGTATTGTAGCCAGGTCTCAGCACAGAAGCCAGGGTCTTCTCATTACACCATAACTAAGATCATGTTACTCCAGTGCACAGAACCCTCTGTGGCTCCCTATTACTATCAGTGAAGAAGCCCAAGGATCAAATTCTCTAAGGCCCTTTATGATCAGGCCCCCTGCCACCTCTCAGACACCATCGTCTTCTGCTTTCCCCGTCACTCTCTTGTGTATACCAAGGCCATACCTCCCTCAGGACCTTTGATCTCATTGTCTGCTGCTGTCACATTTGCTTTCTTGCTATTCTTTGAACACTCAGGCACTGCTTCAGGACATTTGCACTTGCTGCTCCTCCACCTGCCTGAAATGCTCTTTCCCAGATACTTGCATGACTACTTCTTCCTGGCTTTTTTTAGATCTTTTCTGAAACGTCAGTTTCTCAAGGAGTCCCTCTCTGGTCTTCATTTCTCAGCTTTTCGCTCTTACTGATATTTCACCTTGCACCTAGCTAATATATGCTTTTCTTATTTATCTTAATTGTCATTTACAACCCCACTAAAATTAAGCTATTATAAGGCAGATATTTTTTCCAACTTTATTGAGATAATTGACAAATAAAAATTGTACATATTTAAGGTGTACAATGTGATATTTCAATATACATACACATTGTGAAATGATTATCATAATCATATTAATTAACATATATATCGCCTTACATAGTTACCTTTTTTGTGTATATGGTGGGAAAACTTGAGATCTACTCACTTAGCAAATTTCAAGCCTACAATACATTATTAGTAACTCTAGTAACTCTAGTCACCATGCTGTACCATTAGGTCTCCAGAACGATTTGATTTTATATGGGAAAGTCTGTACCTTTTAGCCAACAGCTCCCTATATTCCCCAGCCCCCAACCCGTCTTGACTACAATCCTACTGTCTGTTTTTGTGAGTTTGGCTTTTTTTAGAGATCACATATAAGTGAGATCATGGAGTATTTGTCTTTCTGTGTCTGGCTTACTGCATTTAGCATAATGTCCATCAGTTTCATTCATGTTGTAGCAAATGGCAATATTTCCTTCTTTTTGTTTTTTAAAGGCTGAATAGTATTTAGGGCTGACTAATACGTTTAATATATATATACATACCAAATTTACTTCATTCATTTTTCCATCAACAGACACATAAGTTGGAGTTCCCTATGTGTAGTGAGTATCTTTTCTCTTGATGCTTTCAAAATTATCTCTTTGTCTTTTATTTTTAATAGTTTGATTGCAATGTGTTTTTGTAAAATCTTGTCTGGGTTCAACTACTTGAAACCTTTAAGCTTCATGTATCTGGATGTCCGTATATCTCCGCATATTTGGAGTGTTTTCAAGCCATTATTTCTTTAAATGAGATTTCTGGCCTTTTCTCTCTCCTTTTTCATCCTGGTATTCCCATATTCCCATAGTCCATCTATTATTTCTGTTGGTGCTTTCCAATACATTCTTTAGGCTTTCTTTATTCCTTTTCATTCTTTTTTTTCTTTTTTCTCCTCTGAATGGATAATTTCAAAAGACCTTTCATCTAGCTCAAAGATTCTTTATTCTTCTTGATCAAGTTAGCTGTTGCTGTTGTCTGTTGTGTTTTTCATTTCGTTCATCATATTCTTCAGTTTCAGAATTCTTCTTTTAAAATATTCTTTCCATCTCTTTGTTAAACTTCTAGTTTTTGTTCATGTATTGTTTTCCTGACGTCATTGAGTTTTCTGTGTTCTCCTATACCTCACTGAGCTTCTTTAAAAACTATTATTTTGAAATCTTTGTCAGACAATGTATGTATCTTCATTTCTTTGGGGTTGGTTAATGGAAAATTATTGTGCTTCTTTGGAAGAATTGTGTTTTCTTAAATTTGTTTGTTTGTTTGTTTCTGGCACCCTTGCCTTTCTGTCTTTGCATTTGAAAAAGCAGTCCCCCCCAGTTTTTAATGTCTCATTTTAGCAGATAAACACCTGTACTAGTCAGCCCAGCTAGGATTTTTTAGGCTTTCTTAGACCTCTTATACAGGTCTGCCTGCTCTACATCTTTTTTTTTTCTCCCTTGGAGGGATTTCTTAAGATTGTGTTCTTAATCCTGCAGATTCAGGCCAGGTACTGAGAGCCTCCCATTTGTTGTCCCGAAGGAGGTATCCTGAAATTCTCAAGTTTTTGTGACTTTTCCCAATCCTACAGAGTCAGGTCAGCTGTCTACATGTGCTCATGAGTCTTCTGCAGAGGTTCACACTTGCACAAGTCCATGGAGGTGCATCCAGGTGGCCAACTTCAGGGCAGGGAGAGAGGGATGAGGCAGATGGAGCATTGTAGGTACCCATGTGCTAATTGAGGAATCCATAGGTGAAGTATTCCAAACAGCCTGTGAGAAGACTTTTTGATGAAGTCTGTGAAGCAGTTAGAAGGAATTGCAGTCCTTTGTTGAGGAGAGAGCCCTGTTGTCATGGGGATTTTTGTCTATCTGATTCACTCCTATATCCGTATCTATTGCCTGCTGGAAATGTAATGACAACTCTAACTTTTTGACAATGAATGAATACATGTGCATTTCCTTTTCAGGGCATTGTCTGCCCAGGTTCTTTGTGGTTTTTTGTTTGGAATACTGATTAAATTTTTTTCTATCATGAAAGTAGTACATGTTCGTAGTAAAAAAAAAAAAATTGGAAAATGTCCAGAAATCACAAAGTTAAAAAACTCCACTACTCTGGTCTTAACTTTGAGTGAGAACCAATGTTAAATTTTGCTTTATTTCCCAGGAAGATTTTTTTTCTCTCCTATGCATAGATATTTTGAAAATGTGTTCATTGTGCAATACAATTCACTTTCCACTTTCCAACTTTCCATTGATTGGTATTTTCCACAAACAATAGCAATTTTTACATAATGTTTTGGTGATTTCAAAATATTACAATAAACGAACACTTTATTTTACCTAGTTTTTGTTGTTGGCTTTGTTATTTCCATTTTATTTGCCACTGTAAGTAGTGTGATGAACATTCTAGTGCATATCACTGTCTCTGTCTTTCAGATAATTTTCTTTAACTTGATTTTCTAAAGTAGAAAATGATTACGAGCAGTTTTAAGGCTCTAACTTTTTTTTCAACTTTAAGACTTTGTTTGGATAGACCTTGGGATGACTAAAATTTAGCTTTAGTTAATAGTTCCTTTTCAAAATAGATTTAGAAATCTATATCCTCTTTGGTTCATGTTGTTTGGGAGATATTTTCATTTTGGTTTATGGAGTGTGTTGAACAAAGTCCACTTGATTGTGGAAGGAAACAGGCTCTTGACTGAGTTGTATTTTCATCTTTGGCTCATTCACATGTTTCTGAAAGACCTTGGGCAAGTTACTCAACTTTTGAGCCTAATTTTCTGAATGTGTCACTTGTTTATAATTACGTCTGCTTTGTTGTAAGGGTTAAATCAGATGGACTTCATATAGCCCCTTACACAGAGACTGGCAAATAGTACATGCTCAATAAATGGACATGGACATTACTGCTATTTTAAACTATTAAAGGCTAGAATTATTCCCAGTATTCAGTATGTACATAAGTAATAATTGGGCCACTGTTTATTCATCTGTGTTTAAATGACAAAAGGAAGAGATAGTATCTATTTTGCTTCCTTAGATATAGACTGCTCTTCTGTTACCTATTTTTTTTTTTTTTGAGACAGAGTCTCACTCTCTTGCCCAGGCTGGAGTGCAGTGGCACAATCTCGGCTCACTGCAACCTCCAACTCCTGGGTTCAAGCAATTGTGCTGCGTTGGCCTCCCAAGTACTGAGGTTAAAAGCACCCGCCACCACATCTGGCTAATTTTTGTATTTTTAGTAGAGATAGGGTTTTTACCTTGTTGGCCAGGCTAGTCTTGAACTCCTGACCTCAGGTGATCCACTGGCCTCAGCCTTGCAATGTGCTGAGATTGCAGGCGTGAGCCACCATGCCCAGTCTGTTACCTGATTTGTTATACTTTCTATGTCTGTTTCTCTCTGCAACACTACTTTTCAGTAATTGCTGTCCCTCCAATCTCTGTATTTAAATCCTGGTAGTTTTCTTGGATAGCTCATATTTTAGATATAATTTGCTTTGGTGAATTAGTGAATGTCTTCAATATTTCCACAAACCTCTCTGTATCATATTTACCCCATTTTGACTTCACTTCTTTGTATTGGAGAACTGGCTGCCACATGTAGCCTTGTCGACTGGCATCTCTGTGTGTGTTTTGCTGAGCGCCTTCTGCCAAACTTCTGTATTACAAAAGACAACAGCATTATTTACAACAGTGAAAGATGGTTAATAACCTAGATAGTTAACATGAGTGGAAATATTCAGTAAATTATGATAATTCCCTAAAATGGAATATTTTGAAGACATGAAAAAAATGATATTTATGAAGAATTTGTAATGGTGATAAAATGATTATAATAAAAATATTTATGGCAGGATTCCAAGTATGGAAAGAAAATAAGATCTTCAGAATGCTTGAGTTAGCTAACAGAAACTGGCTCTGAATGCAAGGTTTTCAGATTTTTATTTTGTATTTCTTTAAATATTTTTGTTTTCAAATATTTCTGTGCTAAGAACAATTTTCTTTCTTTGTTGGAAAAAGTAACTTCTGTAAAAAATTGAGGAAAGCAAATCTGTAAGATGAACTTAGTCCACTTAGTTTTTGTATGGTTTCATAAATTAAAATTATATTTTTAAACTGTCTCAGAGTGGAACTGTTTTTTAAAGACAACCTTTAATGCTTATGCCAGAGGAGACACTAAAATATAGAAGCTCCTTTGTAATGATAATCTGTAGGTTGAACAACAACTCCATGCCCCATTTTTCAATCAATATTTAATGTAGCAAGGGCCTCTGGCATGATTCATGACAGTAAAAGTGTCGAGAAAAGCACAAATCAGTTCCCCAGTTATTAACTGTGCTTTAACTCAGCATTTTCCAGAATGTACTCTGAGACACATTAACTTTCAAGATTCTCTGAACAAATGTTTCTGTGGTCAAATTAAGTTAGGGAAATCCTGCAGTATGGTTTACAGGACAGCCTGGAAGCTAATTGATTAAATTTCTGACTCTGGAAATTACTCGTTGGAAATTTTTACTTAAAATTTCTATGCTTCCGTTTCTTTGTGTATAAAATAGGAAATATGTTGTGTGGTGGTATGAATAACAAATGACATAATAAATGTAAAATGTCTGGCACAGTGCCTGACCCACAATTATCTACTGTAATTATTTTTATACTCTTTCCTCTTCTTGAAGCTGAATAGGATTGACAATATAGCATATTAAGGATTCTGATAAATTGTGCAGTAAGGAGACATGTTTAACTTTATTTAAGGTTAATGTCACAAACATTTCACCATGGGATGCTGTAATGGTTACTTCCCCCATGGAACTGGTGTTCTAGAAAACACACATTGGAAGCATGGCTCCGGATAGTTCTAAGGAAGCACCCTGTAACATGCAGGTGCATTCTCTACTATGTTCAAAACAAACACCAACAGGCCATTAGTGAAAATGGCCGAGTAAGGAACTCTGAAATTCCATAGTTTCATAAAAGCAATAAAAAAGCATTGATAAAATTGTTAGAAGTAACTTTTTTGGAACTCTGGAGATTAACCAAAGGCTTAGACAACCCAAGAGGCACTTATTCAAGAACAGCAGCTGAACTTTGTTGAGAACAGTAAGCTTTGTGGTATTTTAACTTACCCTAGTCTCATTCCCCATTTACTATCTCAGCGATAGCCTTGAAAATAACAACCCATGTGCCTTGTACCAGAGAGAGCAGAAGAGACCTTTTTCATACAGAATTATAATTACTCGGTATGTTTGTTGGCTTTCCGGAAGAAGACTAGCTGGAAAGGCTTTTCTTTATTTTACTCAACTTGGAACTTTCCCAGTGCTACTTGGGAGGAGAAGGGTAATTGTCTAAAACATTTACAGGAAAATGTTCCAGTCACTGCTGCGTGAAGTGATAGATAATAGTTGGTGCAAACAATAGACTAAAAAGCTTTAGAAGAAATGCTGGGAAATAGGGCTCAAAAGCTTCTGTCTATTTCTGGGAATCTATAGGTTCATGTGCATGCCCAGGCTTGTGCACCTGCCTCGAGAAAGACTTGAGGAAGCCCCAGACTTTCACCTCTGCCTAACCTTGAGGGTCTGTGCTAGCAGGAAGTGAAGGCTAAGGCAGAGCTGTCAACTATCTGGCTGAGTGTTGAGGGTGTGCTCTAACAAACACAAAGCTCTTCTGCAAATGATGGAAGATTTCTTGGTTCTAAGAGTTTAAGGAAATCTCTTTATAGTCGTTAGATGACCACTAAGCTAATGGAACAGAAATAAAAGAATGAAGAGAAATGAACAAAGTCTTAGAGACACATGAGGTGCCATCAAGTGTAGCAACCATAATGGCAACCCCAGAAGTAGAAGAAAAAGAGAAAAGAGAAGAAATAATATTTGAAGATAATAATGGTAAAAAGTAATCCAAATGTGACAAAAAACAATAAGCTACACTTCCAAGAAGCTCAGTGAATCCCTAGTAAGATAAACTAAAAAAGAACCACACCGAGATTAATTAAACTGTCACAGTTAAACACAGAATTTTGAAAGCAGCAAGGGAGAAGTGACTCATCAGGTGTAGTAAGATTAACAGCTGATTTCCCATCAAACTCTGTGGAGGCCAGAAGGCAGTGAGATGACATACTCAAAGTGCTGAAAAAATCTACTGTCAATCAAGAATTGTATATCTGAAAAACTATCTTTAAAAATGAAGAAGAAATTAAGACATTTCCAGATAAACAAAAATTGAGTTTGTCACTAGTAGACTTGTCCTGCAACAGATAGTAAAGAGAGTCATTCAGAAATGAAATGTAAGGATAGTATAGAGTAACTCAAAGCTGCATGAAGAAATTAAGAACACCAGTAAAGTTAACTACATGGATAAATGAGACACAGCATAAATGTATTTTTGTTTGCAATTCTTTTTATTCCATGTGTTTTAAAAATTGTATAAAGTTATTAAATCTATATAGATAGGCACATAATAAAGCTATAATATGTGGTAAAAACAGCATAAAGGGGATGAATGAAGAGATATGACAGCATAGATTTTGTATATATTTGAAATTAAGTAGTATTAATAGAAACTGGATTATTATAAATTGAGATGCTAATTATAATACCCAGGGCAATCACTACAAAAAATAATAATGTATATAGAGAGAAACCAAAAAGAAATTACTAATGGTACACTATAGAACATCTATTTAACAAAAAGAAGGCAGTAATAGAGGAATTGACAAATAAAAAGCTATGACTTATAGAAAGCAAATAAAATAGCAAAAATAAATTCTTCCTTAACAGTAGTTATATTAAATGTAAATGGATTAAACTCTCCAATTAAAAGATAGATATTGGCAGAATGGATAAAAAACAGCTATATGCTATCTAGAAGAAACTCATTTTAAATTCCAAGGGACAAATAATTTGATAGATAGATAGATAAATGATAGAAAAAGATATTCCATGCAATAATAAACAAAATAGAAGCAGAGTGGCTAGACTAATATCAAACATAATAGACTTTAAGAAAAAATAATTACTAGAGTAAATAAGGATATTATATAATAATAAAAAGGTCAACCCACCAAGAGGACATAATAATTACAAATATTTATGGATCTCATAATATAGCCCCAAGACGTATGAAGCAAAAAGCGGCAGAATTGAGGGTGGAAATGAACATGTGAACAATAATAGTTGGAGACTTAAATACTCTACTTTCAAAAATGAAAAGAGCAACTAGACAGAATATCATCAAAGAAATCAAAGACTTGAACAATATAAATGAACTATAACTGATGGACATGTATATAACAGTCCACCTAACAACAGCAAAATGCACATTCTACTTAAGTGCTCATGAAACATTTTCCAAGATAGACCAAATGTTTGACCATAAAACAGTCTCAATAAGTTTAAAAATATTTAAATTATACAATGTATGCCTGTGATCGCAACAGAAAAAAGCTAGGAATCAATAATAAAAGGAAAGCTGGAAGATTCACCAATATGTGGAAATTAAACAGCACATTCCTAAATAACCAAAACTAGAAAATAGTTTGAGGTGAATAAAAATGAAAACACAGCATATCAAAACTCATGGTATGCATATATCATAGATTTGTGGGATCTAAAAATCAAAACAATTGAACTCATGGACATAGAGAGTAGAAGGATGGTTACCAGAGGATAATTAATGGGTACAAAAAATAGTTAAAAAGAATGAATGAGGCCTACTATTTGACAGCACAACAGGGTGACTGTAATCAATAATAATTATATGTTTTAAAATAACTAAAAGAATATAATTGGATTTTTAGTAACTCAAAGGATAAATACTTGAGAGGTTGGATATCCCATTCTCCATGATGTGATTATTAATACCTAGTATTTGATCGTACAATAGGATGAGTGCAGTCAAAATAATTTAACCATACATTTTAAAATAACTAAAATAGTATAATTGGATTGTTTGTAACACAAAGGATAACTGTTTGAGAGATGGATACTTCAGTTTCCATGATGTGATTATTATGCATTGCAGCCTGTATCAAGACATCTCATGGATCCCATAAACACATACACCTACTATGTACCCATAAAAATTAAAAGTTATAAAAAACCTTTATGGTATGCAGTGAAAGCAGTGCTCAGAGGGAAATTTATAGTTGAATGTTTACATTAAAAAGACAAGGAAGATCTCAAATCAATAACCTAATCTTTCACTTTAAGAATCTAGACAAAGAAGAACAAACTAAATCCAACACAAGCAGAAGAAAGGAAATGCTACGAATTAGAATGGAAATAAAGGAACTAGAGAAGGTTAAAACATTGAGACAATCAAAAAAGCCAAAAATTTGCTCTTGGAAGAGGTCTACAAAATTGTCAAGCCTTTTACCTAGACTGATTGAGAAAGAAAGATGACTGAAAGTACTAAAATTAGGAATAAAAGTGGGGACATTTCTACTAACCTTACAGAAATAAAAAGGATTGTAAGAGAATATTATGAATAATTGTATGCCAATAAATTAGATAACCAAGATCTAATAGACAAATTTCTTTTTTTTCTTTATTCTAAAAAAAAAACAGGGATACACATGCAGAACATGCAGGTTTGTCACATACGTATACCTGTGCCATGGTGGTTTGCTGCACCTATTGACCCATCCTCTAAGTTCCCTCTCCTCAACCCCATCCCACAACAGGCCCTGGTGTGTGTTGTTCCCTTCTCTGTGTCCATATATTCTCATTGTTCAACTCCCACTTGTGAGTGAGATTATGCGGTGTTTGATTTTCTGTTCTTCTGTTAGTTTGCTGAGGATGATGGCTTCTAGCTTCATCCATGTCCCTGCAAAGGACATGATCTCATTCTTTTTTATGTCTGCCTAGTATTTCATGGTGTATATGTGCCACATTTTCTTTATCCAGTCTATCATTGATGGGCATTTGGGTTGGTTCCATGTCTTTGGTATTGTAGCTAGTGTGTATGTATGTAGTATGTAGCAATAAACCTAGGTGTGCATGTGTCTTTATAGTACAATGATTTATATTCCTTTGAGTATATACCTAGTAATGGGATTGCTGGGTCAAATGGTATTTTTGGTTCCAGATCCCTAAGGAATCACAATACTGTCTTCTACCATGGTTGAACTAATTTGCATTCCCACCAACAGTGTAAAAGCGTTCGTATTTCTCCACAACCTCATCTATTTCTCCACAGCATCTATTGTTTCCTGACTTTTTAATAATCACCATTCTGACTGGCGTGAGATGGTATCTCATTGTGGTTTCGATTTGCATTTCTGTGATGATCAGTGATGTTGAGCTTTTTTTCATATGTTTGGTGGCTGCGTAAATGTTTTCTTTTGAGAAGTGTCTGTTCATGTCTTTTGCCCACTTTTTGATGGGGTTGTTTTTTCTTGTAAATATGTTTAAGTTCCTTGTAAATTCTGGGTATTAGACCTTTGTCAGATAGGGAGATTGCAAAAATTTTCTTCCATTCTATAGGTTGCCTGTTCACTCTGATGCTAGTTTCTTTTGCTGTGCAGAAGCTCTTTAGTTTAATTAGATCCCATTTGTCAATTTTGGCTTTTGTTGCAATTGCTTTTGGTATTTTCATCATGAAGTCTTTGCCCATGACTGTGTCCTGAATAGTATTCCCTAGGTTTTCTTCCAGGGCTTTAATGGTTTTGGGTTTTACATTTAAGTCTTTAATCCATCTTTTTTTTTTTTTTTTTTTTTTCGAGACAGAGTCTCGCTCTGTCACCCAGGCTAGAGTGCAGTGGCACAATCTTGGCTCACTGCAAACTCTGCCTCCCAGGTTCACGCCGTTCTCCTGCCTCAGCCTCCTGAGTAGCTGGGACTACAGGTGCCTGACTAATTTTTTGTATTTTTAGTAGAGACGGGGTTTCACTGTGTTAGCCAGGATGGTCTCGATCTCCTGACCTCGTGATCCACCCTCCTTGGCCTCCCAAAGTGCTGGGATTACAGGCATGAGCTACTACTCCTGGCCTTTAATCCATCTTGAGTTAATTTTTGTATAAGGTGTAAGGAAGGGGTCCAGTTTCCAATTTTCTGCATATGGCTAGCCACTTTTCCAAGCACCATTTGCTGAACAGGAGATCCTTTCCCCATTGCTTGTTTTTGTCCAGTTTGTGGAAGATCAGATGGTTGTAGATGTGTGGTGTTATTTCTGAAGTCTGTGTTCTGCTCTATTGGTCTATATGAAATGGACAAATTTCTAGAAACACAAACACTGCCAAAACTTATTTAAGGACAAATAGAAAATCTAGATAGACTTATAACAAGTAAAAAGATTTTGATAATTTTAGAACTTTTAACAAAGAAAAATTCAGGACCATATAGTTTCATGGGTAAATTCTACAAACATTTAAATGAAAATTAACACCAATCGTTCTCAAATTCGTTGAAAAATATAAAAGGAGGAAACACTTCCTAACTTATTCTGTGATGCCAGTATTACCCTGATATCAATGCCAGATTTCACCTTGGGCAAGTGCTTCTTACTGTTGACTTCAAAAACACAGTAACAAAAAAGTAAAAATAAAAAATATAAATTAGATTTCATCAAAATTAAATATTTTTATGCATCGAAGGACACTATCAAGAAAAGGTAAAAACAACCCACAGAATGGGAGAAGTGATGTAAAAATCATATATTTGATAAGGACCTAATAAACAGAATGCATAAAGAACTCTAAAATTCAACAATAAAAAGACAACCCAATTTTAAAATGAAAAAAGGATTTGAATAAATGTTTCTCAAAAGAATATATACAAATGATCAATAAACACATGAAAAGATGCTCAACATTATTAGTATTTACAAAAATGTAAATCAAACCCACAATGATACACTACTTCATACTCAATAGGATGGAATAATAAAACAGAATAGGAAATATTGGCGATAATGTGGAAATATTGGAATCCTTATACATTGCTAGTGGGAATGTATAATGGTGCAGGGCTGTGGAAACAGCTTGACAGTTCCTAAAAAAATTAAAGATAGAATTACAGTATGATTTAGCAAATCTACTCTTAGGTATATGCTGAAGAGAATTGAAAATAAGTATTCACACAAAAACATGCAGAATTATTCATAATAGCCAACAAGAAGGAGTAGGGCAAATGTTGATCAACTGATGAATGGATAAACATAATGTGGTGTATCCTTAAATGGAATATTTTTGAGCCATAAGAGGAATGAAGTACTGATACATACAGCAACATGGATGAACTTTTAAAACTTTATGTTAAGTGAAAGAAGTCTGCCAGAAAAGGTCACATATTGTATGATTTCATTTATATGGACTGTCTAGAATAAACAAATCCATAGAAATGGAAAGTAGATTAATGGCTGTAGAAGGGAGTGGAATTGAGAGTGACTGCTAACAGGTACAATGCTTCTTGCTGGAGTGAAACGTCCTGGAATTAGATAGAGGTATGGAATTAGATAGAGGTCCTGGAATTAAATAGAGGTATGGTTGCCCAATATTGTTATGCTCAAGTTCAATGAATTGTACACTTTAAAATGGTATACTAGTTTATTCTCACACTGCTATAAAGAAATACCAGAGGCTGGGTGCAGTGGCTCGCGCCTGTAATCCCAGCACTTCGGGAGGCCGAGGCGGGCAGATCACCTGAGGTCAAGAGTTTGAGACCAGCCTGGGCAACATGGTGAAACCCTGTCTTTACTAAAAATACAAGAACTAGCCCAGCGTTGTGGTGGGCACCTGTAGTCCCAGCTACTCGGGAGGCTGAGGCCGGAGAATGGTGTGAACTCGGGAGGCGGAGCTTGCAGTGAGCCTCTGAGATTGCGCCACTGCACTCTAGCCTGGGCGACAGAGCGAGACTCCGTCTCAAAAAAAAAAAAAAAAGAAGAAGAAAACCTGAAACCGGGTAATTTATAAAGACAACAGGTTTAATTGGCTCACGGTTCTGCAGGCTCCACGGGAAACATAGTGGCTTCTGCTTCTGAGGAGTCCGTCTCATCTGGCAGGAGCAGCAGCAAGGGATGGTTGGGGTGCTACACACTTTTAAATGACCCGATCTCGTGAGAACTCACTATCCCGAGAACAGCACCAAGGAGATGGTGCTAAACCATTCATGAGAAACGGCCCTCATGATCCAATCACCTCCCACCCGGTCACACCTCCAACAATGGGAATTTCAATTTGACATGCGATTTGGGTGGGGGACACAGATCCAAACTGTATCACATCGTGAATTTACATTATGTGAATTATATCTCAATAAAAATATTGGAAAAATAATAAAAAGAGGGCAAAGGAAAGAACAATAAATGTGAACAAACACCACATATGGTTGATCCTTGAACAACATGGATTTGAACTGTGCAGGTCCACTTATATGTAGGTATTTTTCAATAAACATATTGGAACAATTTTTGGAGATTTTCAACAATTTGAAAAAAACTTGCAGAAGAAAAACTTGTGTGGCCTAAAAATACTGAAAAAATTAAGAAAAAGATATTTCATGAATACCTAAAATATATGTAGAGACTAGTTGATCACTTACTACCATAAAATGTATACAAATCTATTATAAAAGGTTAACATTTATCAAAACATACACACAGACACAGACTGTACATGGTGCCATTTGAAGTCAAAAGAAACGTAAACAAATATGAAGATGCTGTATTAAATAGTAACTGCATGAAACTTAGTATATATTGTACTACTGTAAAAATTTCATAGCCACCTCCTGTTGCTATTGTGGTGAGCTCAAGTTTTTCGAGTATCTACTCTCAGCAACTATCGCAAGGACAAAAAACCAAACACCGCATGTTCTCACTCATAGGTGGGAATTGAACAATGAGAACACGTGGACACAGGAAGGGGAACATCACACACTGGGGCCTGTTGTGAGGTGGGGGAAGGGGGGAGGGATAGCATTAGGAGATATACCTAATGTTAAATGATGAGTTAATGGGTGCAACACACCAACATGGCACATGTATGCATATGTAACTAACCTGCACGTTGTGCACATGTACCCTAAAACTTAAAGTATAATGAAAAAAAATGCCATGTGATGCTAATAATCTCCAGGTGAGCAGTTTGTTGCCCCTCTAAATGTGTATCACCTGTGAATAGTGATCTCTTGTAGTTCTGGAATATTTTTCATCATGTTTAGTGCAATACTTTGGAAAACACCATGAGACCTATACAAAGTGCTAAGAGTGATGCTGGTGGTGCTTCCAAGAAGCAGAGAAAAGTCCTGACATTACAAGAAAAAGTTGAATTGCTTGATATATACCATAGATTGAGGTCTGCAGGGCGGTTGGTTGCCTGCCATTTCAAGAAAATGAATCCACGATAAAGACCAATGTGAAGCCATTGCTATAGCTACACTGGCAGGCATGAAAACCTTGCACTTTTTGTGAAATACCTCTTTATCTTACATTGAAAGTGCAGCTGTTATATGGGTGCAGGATTGCTACAAGGAAGGCATACCCATAGAGTGTAATGATTCAAGAAAAAGCCGTCACTATATGAAAACTTAAAGCAAAAGGAAGGCGAAGGATCTAAAACCAAAGAATTTAAGGCCAGCAAAGAATGGTTTGACAATTTTAGAAAGAGGTTTAACTTTAAAAATGTCAAGTTAACAGAAGAAGTGCTTCTGCCAACCAAGAGCCAGCAGATGAGTTCTCAGATGCCATTAAGAAAATCACTGGTTGGCATGATAGCTCATGCCTGTAATCCTAGCATTTTGAGAGGCCTAGGTGGGAGGATTGTTTGAGCCCAGGAGTTCAAGTTCAGCTTGAGCAATATAGCCAGATATTGTCTCTACAGAATATTTTAAAAACTAGGTGGGCATGGTGGTGTGCACCTGCAGACCCAGCTACTTGGGAGGCTGAGGCAGGAGGAGTCACTTGAGCCCGGGAGTTCAAGGCTACAATGAGCTGTGTTTGTGTCACTGCACTCCAGCCTAGGTGACAGAGAGAGACCCTGTTGCTATAAAAGAATACAGTATACAATACTTATAACATACAAAATATGTGTTAATCTATGGTTTATGTTGTTGGTAAGGCTGCCAGTCAACAGTAAGCTACTAGTAGTCAAGTTTTTGGGCAGTCAAAAGTTATACACAGACTTTTGACTGTGTAGGGAGTCGGCGCCCCTAACTCCCACATTGTTCTCAAGGGTCAACTTACTTTCTGCCCTCAATGATGTCTGAATCAACAGTGCAATCTTAGGGCAAGTATGGCAGTTCATTAATTCACCCAACCTGCATTACTGCACACTACTAGCTGCCAGGCCCTGCCCTGGGCACTGTGGGCTCAGAGAGGAATGAGATGCGGCTCTTCCTTGAAGAGCTCACTGCCTGGCAGGTGAGTGACGTAAGGTGGTGCTAATGGCACTGAGACCAGGTGCTCCTGTAGGGATTAATTCAGGGGAGCAGCTACAGCTCTGACTGGGAGGAGAGGGCTGTAGGAATGAGGGCTAGGGACATTTTCGTGAGGATTTATTTATGGCTGGGGTTCAGGTTCAGGTGGGTAAGGGCAGGCTGGGAAGAGATCACCCAGACTCCACATGTCAGGCTGGTGGTTTAGACTGTGATGTAATGGTAAGCTTAAGGTGATATGGTTTTAAGCGTATTAATATAAATTACCTTTTAAAAATGTAACGGAGAGGCCAGGTGCAGTGGCTTACACCTGTAATCCCACCACTTTGGAAGGTCGAGGTGGGCGGATCACTTGAGGCCAGGAGTTCAAGACCAGTCTGGCCAACAGGGCGAAACTCTGCCTCTATTAAAACTATAAAAACTAGCCAGGCGTGGTGGCACATGCCTGTAGTCCCAGCTACTTGGGAGGCTGAGGCAGGAGAATTGCTTGAACCTGGAAGGTAGAGGTTGCAGTGAGCCGAGATCATGCCACTGCACTCCAACCTGGGTGACACAGCTTGACTTGGTCTGAAAAACCAATAAACAGAATGTAACAGGGTTCATTTATTAAAATAATACATATTGATCTCTTCTGGGTTCCAGACCTTATACTTGGCTTTGGGTAAATGTTGGAGAGTAAAAGAGACATTGTCACCACCGTCATGACTGACCCTTTGATTGTGTGATTAGAAGTCTCTGTGGCAGCATGGCCCACAATGAGCAACATACGCGATGTGTTTCAGTATCCAATGCCAATGGAGTGGTTAAGTCATTTGGGGACATAATATGATGGAATGTTATTAATCATTCAAAGTAGTGTTCATTGACAATTTTGATGTAATATGTTCAAGATTTAAGTGAAAAAGCTGGTTACACGTGAACTGGAAAAAAATTCTACTGGATATTATATTAGTGATTTCATGGGATGTGGAATTATGAAGATTTTCATTGTCTTCTGTGTCTGTTTCTGTATTTTCTATTAGAGAAATATTTTTCTACAATGAGCATATGCTATAATACTAAAAAAATTGTTGAAAACATTCTAAGAATATTTTCCACAGGGAGCATGTGCTGTAACATAGTAAAAATGTTGTTTAAAACACCATTCTAAGACAGCTAAAACTTTGGGTTTACCCTAAAATATCCTTTTAGAATTTTCAGACAGCTAGGATGAAGTGTAAAGGGAGTAGTATCTCAGTGCTTCAGATTTTCTGCACTTTCCTGTTAAAAAAAATAATAAAATATTCTCTCCTCTCCTGGCATGATTGGCTGTTGGTAACGGTGCAGGAGCCAGCACGTGGTCAACATTTCTGCATCCCCACCGTTGGGAGTGGCCATGCGAGCCAAGGAAATTGATCTCCATGTTTCCCGCACTCCAGATGGCCTTTTGACAACAAAAAGCAAACATTCCAACGGTCACCACACACATCCTCTCAATTAGACTCCCTCCTCCCACCCTGGATCTGTTGGAAGGGCTACATTATTTCTAGATCTTCACTTTGAATTCGAGGTGTGCCTTTGGTCAGCGACAACCTTAGTGGTGTTTTTTCTTTGCTAATTCTTAAGACCTTGGCATCTACGGCACCTGCTGGGGCCAGTCGCGAACACCATGAGGCTTACCTGAGCTTGTAGGAAGGGGGAGGGCGGCGTTTACATTTGTCAGCCCACATTCAGAGACCCCCAAAGAAAGAGCCTGGCTGACTGCCAACCGGCAAAAAGAAAGGAGCAGATATTAACACTCCTAATAACTAAGATCGATTTCCATGGTGTTGGCCATTTTTAAAGGAGGAAAACACTAATGTTTATGGAGCTCCTGCTAAGTGCCAGGCACTCCACATGGAAGCCCATTCAATCATCACAGTGTCCCTAGGAGGTAAGACTATTTATTCTTCCTCTACAGAAGAGGAAATCGAAGCTGAGAAAATAAGAAACTTATCCAACTCACAAGAGGCAGAGGTAGGATTTGCACCCCAATTGGTCCAGTTCTAAAGACTTTGATTCTTCTTCTTGTCCCAACTATTGCTTTATGAACGTGAAAAGTTGTTTATTTAAAATGTACTTTCTTGCCCATGGTATTTTTGTTGTGGAATGGAAAAGGGAACGTAACAGTGGCCATTAACTAAATAGGGAAGCCTGTTTGATTTCTGCCATAAATGGATGTGGACATGCTTCATTCATGTTTATTGAATGAATGAATGATACACTTTAAATGCATATACCTTGAAAATGGCACGAGTGACACTTCTTGTTATTCCTTGTATTGAGTTTACTCTTTGTTCACAGTTTGCTGAGTTTAAATGAATCCATCCAACTTCTTTCTTGCTCAAGAGAACACATTAGCTTCATTTAGAAGGATACTGTTTCAACAGAAATGTCTACACATCAAGAAAGAAAGATCCCCTACTTGTTCCTTGGCAGATTTTAGTGTCTTACCAAACATCTCTCTCTCATGTGTTGTCCTTGATGTTTTAGCTTCCAGACACCAGATAGCCAAGAAGGGGAGCTCAGAAGCTTGGTTCTTTTCATGAAGTGACATGCAAATCTTAGTCTCTAACTTGGGTGACTCCAATCAGACTCTTCAGAAGGGCCATTTTTTATGGTTTCTGAAAGACTTAAAGGTTAACAGGACCCTGATCACTAACTCGTTAATCATGTCGATATGTGATTCAGATGTTTCTTCAGTTGCTAAGTAAGGAGGGCAGTGTATCAGTTAGCTATTGCTGCATAACAAATTGCCCTAAAACCCAATGGCTTAAAACAATAACCTTTTAACATTGCTTAATGTGTCTACAAGTCAGCTGGGGAGTTATGCTAACCTGGGCTAGGCTTAGATCATCTCAGAGGGGTTCACTCCTGTCTCTGCAGTCAGCTGGTTGTTCAGCTAGGTACTGGCCAGTCTATAACAGCCTTGGCCGGGATGGATCATCTGTTCCACGTGATCTCTTACCTGCTAACAGGCTAGCCTGTGCTTGGCCATAGACAGTGGCAGGGTTCCAAGAAACATCACTCGCATTATATTTTATTGGTCAAATCAGGTCTCCAATTCAGCCCAAATGCAAGTAATGCAGAAATAGACCCCATCTCTTGATGTGAGGACCTGAAAAGTTGCATTGCACAGGGTGTGGTATGGAAAGCAGTGAAAAGTGTTAAAGACAGTGATTTGGAGCAGAAGGACTTGTTATGTTTACAGTACTACAGGAAAGGAAACCGGGAGTTGGGCTCTATATGTATTATTCATGTAACAGGAGGACCCTGGGAACAAGTATGCCCTGGGGCTAATCACCACCCCAGCATCTCTTGGCTGAGATTGAAAGTTATTTCCTTGGTTACAAAACCCACTATCAGCAGCAGAGAGTGGGTAGAAATGCTGTCCTAGGAGTTTCTTCATGAGTATGTGGTATGCATGTGTGTGCTAAGCATTTGAAATAAATCTCATGACTGCATGCTTAGAGTGTACCAGTTACTTCTCACAAGAGTTCTTGTAAGGAGGTACTGCTAGCTCCACTTTATAGGTGAGGAGATTGAGACTTCTCAAGGTGAAATCACTACTTAAGGTCACCATAGCTAAATGTACTAAATGTAGGCCATGATTCTAATATCCAGTTTCTGAAACCAAAAACTCTGCCCTCTTCCTGGTCTCCCAGCTGTTCTCTCTTTTACAAGCTGCTTTGTTAGTAGGAATGCAGTTATGTACCCTAGAAACTAAACAGCATGGGGTGATGTATATAACACAGCCTTGTCCTGATGTGATTATGGGATCCAGGGAAAGAAGATGCTATCAGATTCAGCATCTATTGGAATATGTTGAGCACTACTGTATGGAAAGAGGGAATATTAGTATCCTATTGCTGCCATAACAAACTGCCATCTCCAGTGGCTTAAAACAACATACATTTATTTTCTTGCAGTTCTGGAGGTCAGATGTCTACAGTGTGTTTCACTAGGCTAATATCAAGGTGTCAGAAGGGATAGTTCTTTCTGGAGGCTCTAGGGGAGAACCTATTCATTGGTTTTTCCAGTTTCTAGAGGTGCCCACATTCCCTGGCTCATGACCTCCTGTCTTCAAAGCCAGCAATGGCTATTTGAGTTCTTCTCACACCCCATCACGCTGACTCAGACCCTTACAATTCCATGGGGTCCACTCAAATAATCCAGGATAATCTCCCCATCTGAAGGTCAGTGATTGGCAGCCTCAATTCCATCTGCAACCTAAGTCCCCTTTCTCAGGTTCTAGGAACTAGAATGTGGGCATCTTTGGGGACCTTATTCTGCCCACCATAGAGAGATTCTGCTAAACTGACAAACATAGATGAATTGAAGTGTCTACCAGCAAGATTTCTGCAGTCCTCTGTGTGTGTGTGTGTGTGCGCGCGCGCGTATGTGATGTGTTCACAACTAAGTGGAGTAAAAGGCTGCCTGTGAAAAGTGGTGTGGCAGGGTTATGCCCAGGAGTTAGGGGAAGGTCATGGAAGAAGATTGCTTCAAATTTTCAGTGGTGGAAAGGTAGACAGAATCTTTGTGATGGAGGTGGTCTACGAACTGGGCCTCGAAGGACAGATAGGATTTGAAAGAATAAATTTGGTTGGGAGAACATTCTAGGCAGGGGAAATATCCCAGAAGTACAGTTCCTACCAACAGAATGAGTGCTGTACTGTAGGTATATGTGGTGATACCCAGCTCGGCTGCCTTCTAGGGACAGCAGGCACAGGAATGAGAGTTGCGCCCATTCTGCTCATGAGCTCCCGGGTTTCCAAGCGGGACCTGTCTGAGCCAGGGTGGGCAGCCAACACCCAGCTGTTGTCCTGCAGGAACCTGAGCCAGGAGTGACCAGATGCTTGGTTTTCTGAAGAAGCCAGAAATCTGCATCTTTATTTGAGATGTTCGGATTTTAAAAGTTTATGTTTAATTCAGTTCTTTAAAAAAAAAAAAAACACTGAATAGGTCAAATAGAAATCAGAGGGTCTCCATTTGTAACCTCTGAAATGAGGCACAGAGAGGTGGAATGACTTGCCAAGGCCACACAGCAGAGAAGTGATAGAGCCAGCACAGTGAGCAATCCCTCTCGATGCTCCTGATGCTGCTGCAGATTCCACGGCCACCGTGATCCTCCTCTCAGAGATGGACGGGCTCTCGTCTCTGGGCCACAGGAGGTGTTCAGATCAAGAGAGGGTGGCCACTGGCTAGAGAGGCTGCACTGTAGGAGCACTGCTGTGGAAGGACAAGGTTACCCCTCCCTCCCTTCTCCCTCCCTCCCTCCCTTCCTTCCTTCCTCCCCCCAGCTGCCTTTCTTGCCTTCTTCTTCCTTCCTTCCTTCTTTCCTTCCTCCCTCCCTCCTTGCCTTCCTTCCCTCCTTCCTCCTTTCTTCCTTCCTTCCCTTCCTTCATTCCTTCTTTCTTTCCTTCCTTGCCTGCTCTTTTTCTTTTTCTTCTCTCCTTCTTCTCTCTTTCCTTCCTTCCTTTCCTCCTTTCCTCCTTCCTTCCTTCCTCCTCCCTTGCCTGCCTCCCTCCCTTCTTCCTTTCTTCCTTCCTTCCCTGCTTTTTCTTTCTTTCTCTTTCTTTCTTTCTCTCTTTCTCTTTCATTCTTTCTTTCTTTCCTTTCTTACTTTCTTTCTTTCCTTCCTTCCTTTCTTCCTTCCCTCCTTCCCTTCTTCCTTCTCTTCCTCCCTCCTCCCTCCCTCCTCCCTCCCTCCTTCCCTTCTTCCTTCCTTTATTCCTTCCCCTTCCTTCCTTCCTTCCCTCCTTTCCTTCCTTCCTTTCTTTTCTTCCATTCTTTCTTTCCTCTCCTTCCTTCCTTCCTTCCTTCTTCCTTTCTTTTCCTTTTTCCTTTCCTTTCATTTCTTGGATCTCACTCTGTCCCCCAGGCTGGAGTGCAGTGGCACAATCATAGCTCACTGCAGCCTCGAACTCATGGGCTCAAGTAATCCACCTGCCTCAGTCTCCTGAATAGCTGGGACTCTCAGCTAATTAAAAACATTTGTTTGTAGAGATCTGGGGGTCTCACTGTGTTGCCCAAGCTGCTCTCAACTGTGTTGCCCAAGCTGCTCTCAAACTCCTGCCCTCAAGCAATGCTCCTGCCTCAGCCTCCCAAGTTGCTGGAATTAATGGCATGAGCCTGATTCCAGAGGACAAGATTTTTTTCAGCCCTCAGAGATGCTGTCATTGCAGGAATATTTGGGGCACACACGGTGGCTTCCCGGGAGGGTCTGCACTGTTCCGCAGCATGCCTTCGGGGACATTGATTTAGGGATGGATGTACTCTAGTTGTTTCTCTGAAAGAGAGAGGGGAGGGAGAAAAGAAAGGAGAAAGTGGGAAGAGGCAGGAGAAGAAGAAAAATAAAAGAAAATTACTTCTTTTGTCAATGCCTGAAGAAAAGGCATTTGGCTCACAAGAAGGGGATGGGTAATTAAGACCATCATTGATATGAAAGTTCATTGGAAATGCTGTTATTTTTTCAAGAAGGGAATGATAGAAATTATTCCTTTATCATTTTTTCTGATACAATAGAAATTTTATCCCATCTTGTACCCCAATTACAGGCTATAATGACTTAGGCTTCTGAAAGAGTTTTCTTTCTTTGCTATTTTTTTTAACTCAAAGCATTTCTTTAATTTGCATTTCCACCCTCTGGGACTGACTAACAAGCTGTGTGATGACAAAACCGCAACCAAAATTCCTGTCCAATGTGAATTGTAGATTAACACTCAGAAGCGTGCCTTTCAAGCAAACGCATCCTGTCAGTAAAATTCAGTTTTGTAAATATGCCTTGCTCAATGTCATGTGGTAGTTAAAATCCAGGCCTTCAAGTAAGACAGGCCTGAGTTAATTCTTTCCACAGATATTTATTTATAAAGTCATCTTCCATCCTGGTTTGCCTAGGACCATCCTGTTTGTCCATTGTCCCCTCAGGTTCGTGTCCTCTTCTGTTCTCACTTGTGTCCTGGCTCAAACAATAAAGTGTGTGGTCATGCTGTTGATGGTGGCATTGCTGTCAGCCCAGAGATAAGGAGTGAACCAGTCGGATGATCCCTGTCCTTTCCTGGTAGAACCCCCTCATAGCCCTCTGACCTCGGGCAAGTTACTTCACATCACCGTGCCTCAGTTTCCTCATTTGTAAAATGCAGGTAGTTGTATCTGAGAAGTGGCAGAGCAAGTACAGTAAACAATCCTGGGCTCTTGATGATCCTGCAGATTACATGGCCACCATGAGCTCCTCTGAGAGGTGAACAAGCTCCTGCGTCTGCACCACCGGAGGTGTTCAAACCAAGAGAGGGTGGCCATTGGCTAGAGAGGCAGCCCTGTAGGAGCACTGCTGTGAGAGGACAAAGTTCTTTCTTTCCTTCTTCTCCTTCCTTGCTTCCTTCCTTCCTTCCTTCCTTCCTTCCTTCCTTCCTTCCTTCCTTCCTTCCTTCCCTCCCTCCCTCCCTCCCTCCTTCCTTCTTTCTTTCTTTACTTTCTTTCTTTCTTTTTGATGAGTCTTGCCCTCTTTCCCAGGCTGGAGTATGCAGTGGTGTGATCATGGCTCACTGCAACCTCCGCCTCCCGAGTTCAAGCCATTCTCCTGCCTCAGCCTCCCAAGTAGCTGAGATTATAGGCACACACCACCATACCTGGCTAATTTTTTTTTTTGTTTTTAATTTTTAGTAGAGATACGGTTTTACCATTTTGGCCAGGCTGGTCTCGAACTCCTGACCTGAAATGATCTGCCCACCTCAGCCTCCCAAAGTGCTGGGATTACAGGCGTGAGTCACCGCACTCGACCTCTCTCCTCCCCCTCCCTCCCTCCCTCCCTCCCTCCCTTCTTTCCTTCCTTCCTTCCTTCCTCCCTCCCCTCCCCTCCCTTCTCCTCCCCTCCCCCCTCCCCCTCCTCTCCTTTTTGCCCCTTTCCTTTCCTTTTCTTTCTTCCCACCAGCATCCATGTACTGGCTACTTTGACCAGCTCATAGGAGTAGAAATATTCAAATGTACCACTCCAAATGTCTCTACGTTTATGGGGAAATTGTGAGACCTCAGGTGTGATCAAGTAAAATTGCCCTTAGAATCCTTCATGGATTTGGGGATCCATGAATAAAATTACTATTTTGTAAAAGATTTTAAAGAATGAAATGTGTCAAAGACAAGCATAGAAATAATATAACACACACCAGTGTACCCTGCCCTCAGCTTACGAAGTGAAACATAGACACAGTTAAAGCCCCATGTTTGCCACATCCGAATCCTTCTCCCTTCCCAGAGCTTACCTTGAGCATTTCCATGCAGGTTTTTATTCTTCTGCCTAATGTTATATAACCCAGAAGGATATGTCTTATTTTTAAACTCTACCAAACTGAAATTAGATCATTTTGAATCTTGTTTTTCTCACTCCCCATTATTTTTTATGTTTACTCATATGATGCAGTTCATTTAATTTAACTGCTCTACAGTATCACCTGTGATTATGGCATACTTTATTGACTCATTCCCTTATTGATGATGGATGGGAACATTGTTGTTTGGGTTTCCTTGTGCACATCCATGGGAGTTTCTGTAGGGTAGGTACTCTAAATACACGCTGAGAAACGGTAGAATTCCTGGGCCACGGAGTTTGCCCATCTTGGGATTTAGAAGATATTAACAAATTACTCCATAGTGGGGTAATTTGCATGTCACCTACAATTTTAGTAGCTGTCATTTACACAGATGTAGTCCACATGTGAATGATTTAGGACTTCCATTATTTTTGCCAGTACGATGAGTATGAAATGGTATCTCATTACATATTTTTAAAATTGCATTTCCTAATACTAGTGAAATTGAGCCTCCTGTGAAATAGTTAGAGTTCACTCGGATACCTTAAATGGCAAAGGATATTGATCATATTCTTGCCTATTTTTTTCTAATAGGTTGAATTGTTGAGTAGCATCTATAATAAAAGACATCCTTGTCTTATTCCTGACTTTGGTGGAAATGCCTCGAAAGTTTTAACAGTAAGAATGATGTTGCTTGTAGGTTTTTGATATTAACTATTGATATGGTTTGCCTGTGTCCCCACCCAAATTTCATCTTGAATTATAGCTCCCATAATCCCCACATGTCATGGGAGGGGCCAGAAGGAGATAATTGAATCGTGGGGGTGGTTTCCCCCATACTGTTCTCATGATAGTGAGTAAGTCTCACGAGATCTGATGGTTTTATGAAGGAGAGTTTTCCCTGAGCAAACTCTCTTGTCTGCTGCCATGTAAGACATCCCTTTGCTCTTCCATCATCTTCCACCATGATTGTGAAGCCTCCCCAGACATGTGGAACTGTGAGTCCATTAAACCTCTTTCCTTTGTAAATTACCCGGTCTCAGGTGTCTTTATTAGCAGCATAAGAACAGACTAATACAATTATTATCAGATTAAGGAATTTAACTCTATTTCTAGTTTGTTAAGTGTTTCATAAAACATTGTGAATGGATAGTAATTCCAACTTTTAAATGAAATATTACCTACAGCAAAGTGCATAAGGCATAAGTATAAAGCTTGATACATTTTCAGAAAGTGAACATATACATGTAATCAGCAGCCAATCAAAGTACAGAACATTAACAGTATAACTCAGAAGCCCCTTTCATGACTCTGTGTCTTCTTCTCTGAGGTCATTCTTATCACAAATTGTAACACGACTGCTTAGTTTTGCCTGTTTTTGAGCTTTATATAAATAGAATTATGAATGAATATTATTTTGTTCCTGGCTTTGTTTTTTCAACGTGTTTGTAATGTTCATGCATGTTGCATGTAGCTTTAGTTTGTTTATTTCCATTGGAGTTATGTTCCATTGTAGGACTATACTACATTATATTTTTCTATTCTGCTCTCAATATGTATTTGATAATAGAATAGCACTCATTGTTTGAGTATATGCCTAAGAGTGAAATTTCTAGGTCATAGAGTATGCCTGTGCTCAATTATCTAAAGCAGTTGCAGGAATTTACATTTTCACTTGCGACGTAAGAGGGATCCCTTTGCTCCATATCCTTATTGACAATTGTTGTTGTCTGACATTTTAAATTTTAGCTACTGGTAGGTGTGTAATGACATCTCATTGCAGTTTTGATTTACATTTTCTATCATTAATGATGTTGAAGGCTGGGTGCAGTGGCTCATGCCTGTAATCCCAGCACTTTGGGAGGCTGAGGTGGGAGGATTGCATGAGGCCAGAAGTTCAATACTAGCCTGGATACCAGAGCAAGACTCCATCTCTACAAAAATAAAAACTGAAAAACTAAAAAATAATTTTAAAATAATGTTGAATAACTTTTTATATGATTATTTGCATTTAGATATCCTCTTTAGCGAAATACCTATTTAGTCTCTTTTCTAATTTTTCTATTGAGTTTATCTTTCTTGTTGATGAACAGGAGTCCTCTCTATACTCTGGCTATAACTTCTATCACTGAGATTCTGGCTCTGTGATAGAAATATCTGCTCCTATTCTATATTGCGCATTTTTACTCTCTTGCTGGTGTCTTTTTTTTTCTGAGACGGAGTATCGCACTCTCACCCAGGCTGGAGTGTAGTGGCGGGATCTTGGCTCACTGCAAGCTCCGCCTCCCGGGTTCACGCCATTCTCCTGCCTCAGCCTCCCGAGCAGCTGGGACCACAGGCGCCCGCCACCACGCCTGGCTAATTTTTTGTATTTTTAATAGAGACAGGGTTTCACTGTGTTAGCCAGGATGGTCTCGATCTCCTGACCTAGTGATCCACCCGCCTCGGCCACCCAAAGTGCTGGGATTACAGGTGTGAGCCACCACGCCCGGCTGAACAGATGTTCTTTAAGTCAATCTAATGAATTAATTTTTCCTTAATGATTGCTTTGCTTACTTTAACATTGTGAAGATATCACAAATAACAGAAGTATAGCCCTTTTGTATTCATTGCCCATAATGTTGAGTAGCATCAATCATAGAGGATATCCTTGGCCAGGTGTGGTGGCTCATTCCTTTAATCCCAGCACTTTGGGAGGCCGAGGCGGGGGGATCACTTGACATCAAGAGTTCGAGACCAGGCTAGCCAACACGATGAAACCCCACCTCTGCTAAAAAAGAAAAAATTGCTGGGCATGGTGGTGTGTGCCTGTGATCCCAGCTACTTGGGAGGCTGATGCAGGAGAATCACTTGAACCTGGAGGCAGAGGTTGCAGTGAGCCAAGATCACACCACTGCACTCCAGCCTGGATGACAGAGTGAGACTCCATCTCAAAAAAAACTTTTTCTTTTTAATCGTAGAGGACATCCTTGTCTTGTTCTTTATGAAAATGCTTCTAAAGTTTTAACATTTGCAATGATGTTTAAGATTTTTTTTATTGTCAACTATTACCATGTTAAAGAACTTTACTATATTCTCAGTATTCCCCTAGAAAACTTTGGTTTTACTATTTATACTCAGATCTATAACCTACTTGGAATAGATTTTTGCAGAGGTGTGAAATAGAGGTCTTTATCACACTTAATAAAATAAATAATAGTTACTTCATGTCATTCAGTCCATATTCAGATTTCCTCCATTGCCTGAAATATGCCATTTATAGATTGTTTATTGAAATCAAATCCAAAGATAGGTCCATCCATTCTGTTTCTTAGATCCTGCTCCTTAAGTTTCATTGTCTCTTTTAATCTATAATAGTTGTCTCTCTTTAAATATTGCTTTTCCATGCTATTTACTTGTGTAGATGGCCAATTGTCCTGAAAAATGTTTCATTTACTAGATTTTATTATTGCTTCCTTGTGGTGTCTTTTGATTTGTTCCCCTGGCCCTTAAATGTCCTGTTGAATCAAAATTATATGTAAAGTGTGGATTCGATTTAAATTGAATAATTTTCAGCACGAATTCTTCACTTGTGCTATACATTGTATCCAGTGTTGAGTTGTATCACTTTTTGTGATCCTAAAGCAGGAGTCCCCAACCCCCAGGAACCCGGCTGCATAGCAGGAGGTGAGAGGCAGGTGAAGCTTCATCTGTATTTACAGCTGCTCCCCATGACTCTCACATTACCACCTGAGCTCTGCCTCCTGTCACATTAGCTCCGGCATTAGATTTTCATAGGAGCGCAAACCTATATTGTGAACTGTGCATGCAAGAGACCTAGGTTGCAAGCTCCTTATGAGAGTCTAATGCCTGATGATCTGTCACTGTCTCCCATCACCCCAAAATGAGACCATCTAGTTGCAGGAAAATAAGCTCAGGGCTCCCACTGATCATTATGGTGAGTTGTATAATTATTTCATTATATATTACAGTGTAATAATAATAGAAATAAAGTGCACAATGCATGTAATGTGCTTGAGTCATTCCGAAATCATCCTCCCCTTCCCCCGTCTGTGGAAATTGTCTTCCACAAAACTGGTCTCTGGTCCTAAAAGTGTGGGGACCACTGTGCTAAGGGATTGATCAGGGAGTTAGGCAGGGACAATCTTATGAGGGTAAAATCCCTCATCAACTTTCCACCTGGTAATTTTACAAGCCATCAATGACCATTGCTAGAATTGATAATTAACAAGAATTACAAAATGGTAACATTTAATATATCATTCTTTCTATGTTTAGTAAGTGAAAGAACTCTACCTCATCGTCTGCTATTTGATTACCCTGAAATAAAATTCATTCCAGAATGGCAGAATAAATGTTTAAGTATTTCCCTTTATTGACGAAATTTCAAAGAAGTTGGTGTCTTTACAGATTCCAGTGTTATCCAATGAGTTTTTTTCTCTTTTAAAATTGAGGCTCATGTGAACTCATTTTTTTTGTAAATTCTATGCATTTTAATAAATTGCCATCTTATTTTTTATATAAATGTTTATTAAAACGTAGCAAACACACAGATGATTGCACAAATTATTGATCTACAGCTTGAGGTAGTCCTCACAGGGTGAACACACCTTTATAATCACCACTCACATCAATAAATGCAACATTACCAGGCCACAAGAAGTCCCTCTCATACTCTTTTCCATGTAGCCACTCCAGGGTAACCATTGCCCTGATTTTACCACCATTATTTAGCAATTTTCTGGTTTGGAACGTTATAAATGGCAACTTGTGCTGTGTCTTCTTTTGCATCTTATATGTTTCCGAGGATGTGACCTGTACTGATTCACATAGTTGTAAATTATTTTTGCTGCTACATTATATACCAGTGTTAGAATATATTGCAGTCTATCCATTTTGCTTCTGAGGCAATTTGGATTGTTTCCAGTTTGAGGCTAGAATAAATCTCATATATGTCCTGCACATGCTTTTTGATGTACCTACAGTTTTTTGGATATTCATTTTGGAGGGGAATTGCCAGGTCACGTGTAAATTCCCAGTCTTGGTTGGCGCTGTTAAATAGTTTTCTAAAGTGCCCTTCTCATGTTTGGGTGTTGAGGTTATGCTGATCTCATAAAACACGTTGGGAAATATTCCCCTTTTCTGTTTTCTGGAAGAGTTTACTTAATTTTGTCGTTTTTAATATTTCAATGGAAGAGTTCTCCATTGAGGCCATCAGAACTTAAAGATTTATTTGTGGCAATATAGTTAATTTTAGATTCAACTTCCAGGTAGAGGACTATTCATATTTTCTACAATTTTTTTTGTTAAGTGGTCCAGTGACTCGCAGAGTCGGTAGTTCAAGTTCATGTGGCATTCCACCTGTCTTAGACTTCAGTATCACCTGAAAACCTGAAATCTGCCGATGCTGTGAGTCTGTTGACTCCACAAAGTAGGCTCTTTTTTTACCCTCTAAAATCACAAGTAGAAATCATGAGCAAAAACAGGAGAGTGGCTAAAACAATAATTAGGGAAGAATAGTTACGTTACATCTGCAGCACTCATTAGTCTTGAATAATGGAAACCTGAAATGGCAATTTCTATGCAAACACTCCCAAGGCTGGAGGTGCACAAGGCTGCACTCTGTTACTGACCTGCCAAAGCCCACTGCTAAGGAGGATTTTTCTCTCTGCTTCTTAATTGCCATGGTCTCCCCAGCTTCCTTGTCCAGTTAATGCAGACTAAAGCCACATTCTTATCCAGAGCCTTGTCCAGCAACAAAACTATGTGCTTTATTATCCTGTGAGCCCTGACATCTCAGAATCTCAGGATACAAGACCCAGAAGCAACTTTCCAGGTGTCATGCGCAGCTGCCTCATTTTTCTAATGAGAAAACTGACTTAAGAGAAGGGGAAGGCAAATGGCCAGGGCTAGTTATTCATTCATTCATTCATGTATTCATCCAATATTTATTGAACAACTATTTTATGATAGTCACAAAGGACACACACATGGACGAATGCTCTTGCTGAAGACAGACAGTGGAGCTAACAAATGAATACATAAAAATTAGCAAATATGATATGTACTAGGAAAGAAAAATACAGAATGCTGTGATAGAAAATGATAGGCATGTCCACATGAACAGAATTAGGAGCAAGGACCGTGTGATCATCTCAGTAGATGCAGAAAAAGCAGATTGATAAAAAGCTGGATTTTATAAAATCCAGCAGTCCTCCATGATAAGAGCCCTCAACAGGCTAGACATAGATGGAACATAACTCAGGATAATGGGAGCCATGTATGGCAAAGCCACAGCCAGCATCATGTTGAATGAGGAAAAGTTGAAAGCATTTTCCCTATAATCTGGAATAAGACAAGTTCCACTATTCAACATAGTACTAACAGTCCTAGCCAGAGCAATCAGGCAGGAGAGAGAGATAAAAGGTATCCAAATTGGAAAAGATGAAGTCAAATTATCTCAGTTCTCTGACAACATGATCATATACCTCGAAAACCTTGAAGACTCCTCTAGAAGACTCCTAAACCTGATTAGCAACTTCAGTAAAGTCTCAGGATACAAAATTAATGTATGAAAATCAGTAGCCCATTTCTGTATATCAATAACATTCATACCGAGAACCAATCCCGTTTACAATAGCCACAGAAAAAAAAAACCTGGGAATACATTTAATCAAGGAGGTGAAAGAGCTCTATAAGGAGAACTACAAAACACTGATGAAAGAAATTGTAGACAATGCAAACAAATGGAAAAACATCCTATGCTCATGAATTGGAAGGATCAATATCATTAAAATGACCATATAGCTCAAAGTGATATACACATGAAATGCAGCTCCTATTAAATTACCAATGTCATTTTTCACAAAATTAGAAAAAAAAATCCTAAAATTCATATGGAACCAAAAAAAAAAAAAAAAAAGCGCAAATGACCAAAGCACTCCTGAGCAAAATGAACAAATCTAGAGACATCACATTGCTTGATTTCAAATTATACTACCAGGCCATGGTAACTAAAACATCATGGTACTGGCACAAAGATAGACACATGTATCAATGGAATGGAGAACTCAGAAATAAAGCCACATACCTGCAACCAACTTGTCTTGGGCAAAGTTGACAAAAATAAAAAATGGGAAAAAGACATCCTATTCAATAAATGGTGCTGGGAAAACTGGCTGACCATTAAGTGGAAGAGAGAGGCTGGACCCCTATCTCTTACCATATACAAAAGTTAACTCAACATGGATTAAAGACCTAAATGTAAGACCTGAAACTATATTAAGTCCTAGAAGAAAACCTAGGGAAATGCTCTTCTGGACATCAGCCTAGGCAAATAATTTATGACAAAGACCTCAAAAGTAAATGTGACAAAACAAAAAAATAGACAAATGGGACTTAATTAAACTAAAAAGCTTATGCATAGCAAAAGAAATAATCAACAGAATAAACAGACAGCCTACAGAATGGGAGAAAATATTTACAAGTTATGCCCTCAACAAAGGATTAATATCCAGAATCTATAAGGAACTCAAGCAACTCAAGAGGAATAAAATAAACAACACCATTAAAAGCTGGGCAAAAGACATGAAAATACATTTTTGAAAAAAAAAAGAAATATAAGCTTCCACAAACACATAAAAATGCTTAACATCACCAATCATCAGAGAAATACAAATTAAGACCACATTGAGATATCATCTTACATCAGTCAGCATGGCTTTTATTAAAAAGTCAAAAACAACAGATGTTGATGTGGACGTGGAGAAAGGCAAATGCTCATACACTGTTGATGGGAATTCAAATTAGTTCAGCCCTTATGGGAAACAGTATAAAGATTTCTCAAAGAACTAAAAAGAGAATGACCATTTGACTCAACAACTCCACTACTGGGTATCTGCTCAAAGGAAAATAAATTATTACACAAAAAAGACACCTGCACTTGTATGTTTAGTGCAACACTATTTATAATAGCAGAGTCACAGAACCAATCTAAGTGTCCATCAGCAGTTAATCAGATAAAGAAATTGTGGTGTGTGTGTGTGCAATGGAATAGTATACAGCCATAAAAAGGAAAACATCGTGTCCTTTGCAGCCACATAGATGGAGCTGGAGGCTGTTATCCTAAGTGAACTAACACAGAAACAGAAAATTAAATATTACATGTTCTCACTTATAAGTGGGAGCTAAATGAAGGCTACACATGGACATAAAGATGGAGAGAATAGACTCTGGAGACTTCAAAAGGGGTTGGGAAGGGTTGAAAAATTATCTATTGGGTAGAACATCCAATATATGGATGATGGGTACACTAGAAGCCCAACCCCTGTCATTATGCGTCTGATACCCATGTAACAAACAAACACATGTACCCCTGAATCTAAAATTAAAAATAAAGAAAACGATGTGTATGGACCTCCTTGATGATTCTATCTCAGTTTGGGTTTCCTTACAAGCAGATTCTGAGACAAGGATCCATGTGCAAATAGCTTGTTTAAGATGTGGTCCCAGGAAACAGGCAGGAAGAGAAGTGAGACAGGGAAGGGAAAGCAGCAAATAAAGGAGATTTCATCATGCAGGTACCACTGTGGGCATGTGCACACTTTAGTAAGCAGTGCATAACATGTCTTAAAATCATCCTACCCTTTGTTTAAGAGACTTGGGATATTGGCCCACCCATGCCCATCAGTCACCAGGTAAGAGCTGCTCTCAGAGTACTTTAATCCCAGACATTTCTCACCTGCTGTGCAGGGCAGAAGGGGTTCTCACTACAAGAGAATGCCCTACAGCAAAGAGAAGCAGGTGCTTGCAGTCTGTGGATTGAAACAGTAAGGATAGAGGGGAGATGGGTGGGGGTGTCTGCTGTGAGATTGTATTTGTCAGCATTCTCCAGAGAAACAGAGTCAATAGAATGTAGATCTATATAAAAAGAGATTTATTATAAGGAATTGATTCATGTATTCAGGAGACTAAGACATCCCAAGGTCTGCAGTTGGCAAGTTGGAGAGCCAGGAGAGCTGCTGGAGTAGGTCCAATCTGAAAGCCTACAGGCTCGAGACCCAAGAAGAGCTGACATTTCAAAGCTGAGTCCAAAGAGGGCTGATGTCCTGGCTCAAGGCAGTCAGGCAGGAGGAGTTCCCTTCTACTAGAGGAAGGGTCAGCCTTTAGTTCTCTTCAGACCTTTAGCTGATTGGAAGAGGGCCACCCACATAGGG
This sequence comes from Homo sapiens, assembly GCF_000001405.40. Taxonomy (NCBI): domain Eukaryota; kingdom Metazoa; phylum Chordata; class Mammalia; order Primates; family Hominidae; genus Homo; species Homo sapiens. The sequence continues at coordinate 5,112,584 of NC_000004.12, forward strand.
AGTCAGTCTGCCAATTCAAATGTTAATCTCATTTCCAAACACCTTCACTGACACACTCAAGATAATGTTTGATGAAATATCTGGGCACCCCATGTCGCAGTCAAATGGACATGCAAATGAACCATCACAAAGCTAGTACAAGAAAGCTTCTCTGTGGAGGAAAAATCTAAGCTGAGATTGGAAAAATGAACCACAGTGGTTTCACAAAGAGCTGGTGAAGAACATTTCCAAAGAAGGGAAGAGAAGAGCTTGGCTTGCTGTGGGGGTTGACAGATGAATGTGACTGATCAAAGTGAACAAGATTCATGTATTCAAAAGATATTATTGAATACTGACACTGTGCCAGACACTGGGGATAAGAGAATGAGCCAAACAGGCAAATATGCTACTTCTTAAGGGAAGAGACTGACAATAACCAAAGAAGGAAAATGTATAGTAGATGAGATGGAGCCTCTGTCAGCTGGGGTCCTGAGTGCTGTCATCTGGATGTCTGTATTCCCCCAAAATTCTTACATTGAAACCTAATCCCCAATGTGATGGTGTTAGGAGGTGGGGGCCTTTGAGAGGTGATCAGATCTTGAGGGTGGAAACCTCACGAATGGGATTAGTGTCCTTATAAGAGAGGCCCTGTACAGACCCCTCGTCTCTTTCACCATGTGAGGACACAGCAAGAAGATGGCTATCTATGAACCAGGAAGCAAGCCCTCACAAGACGTTGAATCTGCCATGCCTTGATCTTGGATTCCCCAGCCTCTAGACTGTGAGAAATAAACTTCTGTTGTTTATAAGCCACCCAGTCTATGATATTTTGTTATAGCAGTGCAAATAGACCAAGACACCGTGTGAATGCAGCACACAAAGCTTCTTGCTGATCTGTGTGGACATGTAGTATGGGTAAAGAATAAGTACTTCGTGTTATAAGCTATTAAGGTTTTGGGTTTGTTTATTACAGAGCATAACCTAGCCATACTGACTGATGACCTATGTTGTTAAATGGCAAAACTGATCATATCACTCCATTTCTTTAACGTACACACACATTCTTCTACTACTAAAACCCTGTAGGGTTCAACTTTGCCCTCAATATAAGAAATAACAGACTTATCAAAGCCTCCGCAGCCCCTCATGGTCTGCTTCCGCCTACCTGTACTAGTCTATTTTCATGCTGCTGATAAAGATATACCCAAGACTGGGCAATTTAAAAAAGAAAGAGGTTTAATGGACTTACAGTTCCACATGGCCGGGGAGGCCTCACAATCATGGTGGAAGGCAAGGAGGACCGAATCACATCTTACGTGGATGGTGGCAGGCAAAAAGAAAGAGAGCTTATGCAGGGAAACCCGCCCCCCTTTTTAAAAACCATCAGATCTTGTGAGACTTACTATCACGAGAATAGCATGAGAAAGACCTGCTCCCATGATTCAATTACCTCCCACTGGTTCACTCCCACAACAGATTGAAATTGTGGAAATTGTGAAGGATACAATTCAAGATGAGATTTGGGTGGGGACACAGCCAAACCATATCACTACCTCATCAGCATCATGTCTTCAACCACCCCCATTCTCTCCAGGCCAGTCCCAGCTGAACCTGTCACTCTCCTTCCCATCTCAGTGTCTTTGAACTTGCTATTCCTTCTGCTTGGAATAGATTCTCATACTTTCCCCAGTTCCACCCCTCCTGCCCTTCATTCTGACTTTGCCCAACTCCTACACATCCTTCTGGTCTCAGTTTAAAGCTCACTTCTTCAAAGGAACCTTCCTGGACCCAGATGTATTTCCTCCCATAAAACATCTTCTTATAGCACCCCTTCTCCAAATCACAGGTGAAATTGCTGTTTAGTGTCAGGCGTCCTGTTTTCTATCACGCTCACCAAAGACAGATGATGTCTGTCTTATTTCTCCTGGTGTCCCCAGAACATAGCACTGACAGTGACAAAGAATGAGCTCCCAGTAAATATGCATTAGATGAATAAATAAAAGGTCCTTCTGGCACTTTCCCACTAGACTGCTTTAATTAAATGCCAGGTTTTCTTTTAAAGGGAGTCTCGAGTAGAGACATATAACTTACATATAACTTACTTTTGTTCAGTTCAGATCTTTTCAAACAACTCGCTCCCGTCTTCCAATGAAAAGGAGACGTTCATATCCAAGCAGTACATCTTCAGAATGTCCTGTTCCTCCCGCAGGGGCCATGTAGCTATTCAGGAAGCCAGGTAGTGCTCTAACTGGGAGAACCCAGGCTCGTTATTCCACGGGGTGGTGCCATGCTGCATGTCACAGGTTGGAGCCTGTCCTTTGTTCCTCAGCACCCTGCACCCCAAGCCTCTTCCCACACCCTGACCCCATATAATGAACAAGAGCAGGGAGAGAGCCACTGTTCAAACAACTTTGTAAAGTTATGGGCTGCAAGACACCTGCTCGACATGGGGGAGGGCCCCTGGAGACATTCTCTCAGACTCTGTCATCTGTTTGCAAAGATAATAGTGAAATTATGACTTCATTTTGTTGGAAGCTAAAGGATTTGGGCAATTCTCTGTGAGTGTGAGATCTCAAGCTGTCCTGCATTTTTGGTTGAGTGTGCTGTGTTGGCTTATTATCCAAATGTGATTGTCACTCTCTAGATGGGAGGAACTCATTCTCCAACTTGGAACTCTGATGCCCCAAGGGCCTCACACAATGATTTGCACACATTGGATTAGGCCCAAGCCCAGTTCTAATCTCTGCATCAGCATACTTCCCAGAGCCCCTGCCCTGAAAAAAAAGTCAGAGTTTGTGGGGTAGACACACATATGTGAGCTTGAAAAACTGCTTTCCTCCAGCATTACAGGAAACATTTAAATTGGCTCTGTAGGCACTTTAAGTATAACAGGGTGGCACACATGAGCATCTGAACAAAGACAAAGGAGAAAAGCAAAGACAGAAGTGTGTCTGGGGCAAAGCTGGAAATGTGCATCTTAAAAGCCCTCAGCCAGATTTGAGCTTCCTTGAGGGCAACTGGAGAAGTGTAACCTGGGCAGTTATCCACACAGGGAAACCAGTCCCAGTGCAGAGAAGCTCCTGACCCCAGCCCAGGGAGGAGTTTCTCCTAGGGGTGCCACAGGACACGTCCTCAGGAGAGCTGGTGCTTTGCTGGTGGTGGAAACTTGGCAATTCATTTGACTTCTCATTCAATCAAAGACAAGCATCTCTGCTCTTTTTCCCTCCCAGGGCTGCCATGAAGGTCAGATAAAGGTGAAAATGCTTTCTGAACCAGAGAGAACGACACCAGCATGAAACATTATTATCTCTATGAAATTGATAGTATTAATTAACCTTTCCGAGCTTCAGTCATCTTAACTGTAAAATTGGGCATAATCAAAACCTCACCAGGTTTTTGTAAGAATGTAAATCTTCTGCTACGTGGCAGGACTGCTAGTAACCTTAATTCTCTCCCTCCCTGGCTTTCTTTCCTTCCTTAAGTGGGAGAGACAGACCCTCAGACTAGAGAGGGTGAGTGGACCCAAATTAGAGTAACATGGTTTCCATTTATTGACTCTATTAAACACTGCTGGTGCATCAGCTGCTCTATATGCTCACTCAGATGTGTGTGTGCATGCACGCACACACACACACACACGCACACGGGATATTTTCCTACATTACCTGCAAGCAAGGCCAGCTTTATGGGTGTGTGACCTGGGCAGTCACACAGGCTCTGTACTTAGAAGGGCCCCGTGCTTGGTTTAATGCTCTGTCATCACCATCTTACACTTTTTAATAATTTGTTGTCGTTGTACATTTTATTTTTTAATAGAAAAGTAAAATCTGTATATATTTACAGTCTATGGCTTGATGTTTTGATATACCTACATCTGTGGAATAGCTCAATCAAGCTAATTAATATATCTATCAACTCATATACTTATTTTGGGGGGAGTTAGAACACTTAATATCTACTCTTATTTTGATTACTCTATATTTGTAGTATATTTTGAAATCAGGTAGTGTGATGCCTCCAGCTTTGTTCTTCTTGTTCAAGGTTGCTTTAACTAGTTGGGGTCTTTTGTGGTTCCATTTGAATTTTAGGATTCAATTTAGGATTTCTATTTCTGTGAACATTTTTCTTTGGAATTTTGATAGAAATTGCATTGAATCTGCACATCACTTTGGATGGTATGGACATTTTAACAGTATTGACTCTTCCAATCCATTAAAACATTTACTCTTCCATTTGTTTGTGTTTTAATTCCTTTCATCAATGACTTACACAGTTCTCAGTGTACAAATGTTTCACTTCTTTTGTTAAATCTATTCCGAAGTATTTTATTATTTTTGATGCTATTGTAAATAGTATGGTTTTCTAAATTTCTTTTTTGGATAGTTCCTTGTTAGTGTGTAGAAAAACAACTGATTTTTGCATGTTGAGTTTGTATCCTGCAACTTTACGGAATTCATTTGTTAGTTTTAACAGTCTTTTTAGAGTCTTTAGAATTTTCTATATATAAGATATATGTCATGTGAAAACAGAGACAGTTTCATAACTTCCTTTCCAATTTGAATGCATTTTCTTTTTCTTGTCTAATTGCTCCGGCTGGGACCTCCAGCACTAAGATGAATAGCAGTGGTGAGAGTGAGCATCCCTGTCTTGTTTCTGGTCTTAGAGGAAAGAGCCTTCAGCTTTTCATCATTGGGTATGATGTAAGCTGTGGTCTTGTCATATATAACCTTTATTATATTGAGAAGTATTCCTGCTATACCTAATTTGTTGAAAGTTTTTATAAGAATGTTGACTTGTGTCAAATGCTTTTTCTGCATCTGTTTAGATGATCATATGATTTTTTTTTCTCCAGCACTGAATTACATTTATTTAAATTTTTGTCAACTCCAGATGAGAAAAAGTAATTTTCCTTGTACTTGTAATTTGCAGTTCTTTGATTAGTGGGACTAAATATGTGTTGTGTGTTTCATTTTATTGGCTTTTCGTATTTCTTCCTTTGTGGTTGGCCTTATTTTTAGCCTATTTTTTCAATGGGGAGATGAGTTCTTATAATTGGTTTCTAAGACTGCTTTGTATTTTAGGGATATTTACCTCTTGTCATGTTTGCTCCAAATATTTTTTTCTAGCATAACATTTGCTTTTTAAATAAGTTTATATTTTTTGAAGGACTGAAATCTAAAATTGTATATATTATGTAATCAAATACACTAGTTTTTTCTTTCATGTTTCTTTTCTTCTGATATTTTAGATCATATAATTTTATTCTTCATTTTGTTAATGTGTTGTATCATGTTTACAGATTTGTGTATGTTGAACCATCCCAGCATCCCAGGGATAAATCATATTTGATCACAGTGAACAATTCTTTTAATGTGCTGTTGAATTCAGTTTCCTAGAATTTTGTTGAGGATTTTTGCATCTATGTTCCTCAGGGATGTCGGCCTGTAAGTTTATTTTCTTGTAGCGTCCTTGTCTGGCTTTGATATCAGGGTAATGCTGGACTTGTAAAATGAGTTTGGAAGGGTTCCTTTCTCTTCAATTTTTTGGGAACAGTTAGAGAAGGATTGGCCCTAATTCTTCTTTAAATGTTTGGTAGACTCCACCATTGATGCTATAAGGTCCTGTGCTTTTGTTTGCTAGGGGAATTTTTTCTTCCTGATTCGATCTGTCTTCTTGTTATTGGTCTGTTCACATATTTTTTTCTTTATGACTCAGTCTTGGTAGGTAGTGTGTCTTTAGGAATGTATTCATTTCTTCTAGGTAATCCAGTTTTGACTGGCATGTAAGTGTTCATAGTAGTCTCTTATGATCCTTTGTATTTCTGTGGCATCAGTTGTAATGTAGATACACAAACCTTTTCTTGGATTTTCAAAAATACCGAACTCACTCCCGCCCCAGGCCTTTGCCCATGCAGTTTTCTGTGCTGAACGTGAATGAGCTTCTCATCAGGCATGGCTGCAGGCTTCTCTCCTTCTAGGTCTTGTTTCAGAAGCCATGTGCTCAGAGAGTCCTGCCCTGGCCACCTGTGCTGAGCCACCTCCTTTGCATGACTCGCTGGCTGAATCCACCCCCACTTTATCTCCCTCTGCAGAGAGTTGCCACTCACAGTTGTCCTACTTATTTGCTCCTTTCCTCTCTGTCTTCCTGCTCAGAAGGTAAATTCCACAGGGAACTGGGGATCTGGTTAACCCTGGTCACTGCTCTTTCCCCAGCACCGATCCCATGTCTGACCCAGGTGGGCTCTCCATTATGGCAAGTACCTGTTCACCAGTAACTAGGGTGACTTCACACACATTTGGCCAAGGGGCAGCAGAGGACCTGTGTTGTGCTGTCTTCCTCCCATGGCAGCCTCAGCACCATAGACGAGTGCTTCTCAGCCCTTCTTTCCTTATCACCCCCACCCCACACCCAGGAGCCTTTTTGGACGTTTTGTTTTCCTAATTTTCTTCCCTACCTACCATAAAATTTGGATGCCATAGATATACTACATATCTGTTTATGTAATCTGTATGAATCTGTGTTTTCCACATAAAAGGGTAAGGTTATTGTGTCCCCCAAAGCCAGCCTTCACCTTGCTGGGAACGCGGGCTGCAGGCTCTCCTGATGGCTAGCAGATCCCGCACCCTCACAGGCTGGTGGTTTGGCATAATTCCCACAGCGTTTAGCATAATTTCCACAGCGTTTAGCCAGCACTTTCTGTGCCTTGTCCTGTGTGTGAAATTATGTGGACATTAGACAGGGGAAACTTGATATTCTCTTAGCTGGAAGGACTCAAGGAAGGAACTAGAGCACCTCCCACCAACGGGGCTTTAGAAACATTTTAGTACCAGGCCAGAACATTTGCCATTTCCACATGGAAAAGTGGGAAATAGTTTGGCCTTTCTCTTAGCAACCTTCTGAAAATGAATGCCTGGGAGCTGTGCTTGACAGTGGGAAGCATGAGAATTCCAGA